>NC_000018.10:47921911-48222577 GCF_000001405.40 Homo sapiens | reverse complement strand
CCGAGCTTCCATGAGCTTAATTTTCTCAATCGATGAATGTGGATGAAAGCACTACTTTAAAAACTGGACAGTATAGAGGGAGAGAATTGAAACGCTTTTGAAATGTGGAGGACTATTGTATAAATATGGTCCTGCTCTCAACACAAGGCTGTGGTTCCTCCCACACTCTCCTCTCCTTGGCCACAGTTGCTCAATGGGCAGGCATCTCACATGTCATGTGTGTTGGCTGAGCTCCAAGATCATGCAGGATGCAGCTGGTGGAGAGCAGGGAGCACACCTTAGCTGTGTCGGTTTCATAGGCAGCTTTCGCAGTATCCGGGTTCACAGGATGCTTTCCTAGAGGCAAGAGGGTGGAGGCTGGGAGCTTATAGGGGGAGGCTAGGGAGGGTGCAGCAGGGACACCAGGGACAGGATAGATGGGAGGCTAGAGACAATAAAGACAGGAGACTAGGACAGTATAGAGGGGAGATTAGGACAGTACAGAGGAGACTAGGATAGTATAGAGGGGGTCTAGGAACAGTATAGAAGGAGAAGACTAGGGCAGTTTAGAGGAGATTAGGACAGTATAGAGGGAGACTAGGACAGTATAGAGGAGACTGGGATAGTATAAAGGAGACTGGGACAGTATAGAGGAGACTGGGACAGTATAGAGGAGACTAGGACAGTATAGAGGGAGACTAGGACAGTATAGAGGAGACTAGGACAGTATAGAGGGAGACTAGGACAGCATAGAGGGAGACTAGGACAGCATAGAGGGAGACTAGGACAGCGTAGTGGAGACTGGGACAGCATAGAGGAAACTGGGACAGTATAGAGGAGACAAGGACAGTATATAGGGAGACTAAGGGACAGTATAGATGGAGACTTGGACAGTATAGGGAGACTGGAACAGTGTAGAGGAGACTAGGACAGTATAAAGGAGATTAGGACAGTATAGAGGAGACTAGGACAGTATAGAGGAGACTGGGACAGTATAGAGGAGACTGAGACAGTATAGAGGAGACAAGGACAGTATAGAGGGAGACTAGGACAGTGTAGAGGAGACTAGGTGACAGAATAGAGGAGACAAGGACAGTATAGAGGGAGACTAAGGGACAGTATAGAGGGAGACTAGGACAGTGTAGAGGAAGCTAGGACAGTATAGAGGAGACAAGGACAGTATAGAGGGAGACTAGGACAGTGTAGAGGAGACTAGGGACAGTGTAGAGGAGACTAGGGACAGCGTAGAGGAGACTAGGACAGCATAGAGGAGACTAGGACAGTATAGAGGGAGACTGGGACAGTATAGAGGAGACAAGGACAGTATAGAGGGAGTCTAGAACATTATAGAGGAGACTAGGGACAGTATAGAGGAGACAAGGATAGTATAGAGGGAGACTGGGACAGTATAGAGGAGACAAGGATAGTATAGAGGGAGACTAGGACAATATAGAGGAGAATAGGACAGTATAGAGGAGACAAGGGCAGTATAGAGGAGACTGGGATAGTATAGAGGAGACTGGGACAGTATAGAGGAGACAAGGGCAGTATAGAGGAGACTGGGACAGTATAGAGGAGACTAGGACAGCATAGAGGGAGACCAGGACAGTATAGAGGAAACTAGGACAGTATAGAGGGAGACTAAGAACAGTATAGAGGAGTCTAGGACAGTACAGAGGGAGAGAGTATAGAGGGATACTATATAGGCAAGTCTGGGGACAATGTAGAGGAGACTAGGACAGTAGGGAGTGTGCAAGGGAGAGTGACTTGACCCCTCTGTGCCTCCGTTTTTGCTGCTGAACAGTGGAGTTTATGATATTTGCTTCCTTGGACTCTTTCTATTGTAGAGTGAGTTGACATATGTAAAGCACTTACAAAGTACTTGGCATGTAAGAAGTTTTAACCGTCTTTATTGCCACCTGTGGGTTGATTTATTGATTTCTCACAGGGTTGGGCAGAGACCCTGCTTATCTGTTTCAATCCTGGACTGTCTGTAAAAGCTAAATATTGCTATTCTGGGCACTTGGCATGTCAGGCCCACGTGTAGGAGAAAATTTGAGCTCCATGGTCTGTGGCCTTGGCAAGTTTGATTCTAAGTTACATCCCTGCCCCCAGCACCATGCCTGACACTTAGGTGCTCAATAAGTATTTGTTCCCTAGAGGCAGCCTTACTCCCCTGGCATCTGTTGGGGAAAGTAAGGCCTGCTTGCTGTTTGAGCCTTAGCCCAGCATCTCTGAGGAGCTCCAAGGCTCCCATCCAAGGTGCCAGCGCTGGCACTGCAGCCCCAATAAAGTGGTGCTTGACTGAGCTGCACTCATTCATCCCCTCTCCATCCTGGGTCTGTGCCTGATTTGAATAGGATCTCAACTGCACTATGGGCCAAACTGGACTGTGAGTGAACTGAACTGTGCTCTGCCTTCAGAGGGAACTGGGGCTGGCACCTTCAAGTTTCTGAGTGTGTGAACTTGGGGCCTGGGATCTCTGGTCCCAGAGCAGATGTTGAGTTCACCAGGCCCCTCAGCAGCAGAGAATGGGTCTGGTGAGCAGGCTAGTGGGCTCTGTGCCACATCTGCGGATGACAGAAGTCTTTGGGACAAATGTTGGCCAACACCCCAGTGTGAGGCCATCTTCTGGGAGGGGCCATAACAGGACACATGGGGGCCTCCTCTTTATCCACTGCCTCAGCTTTGGTCTGGTTCTGTTGCAATTGCCTCCCAACCTGTCTCTCAGCCTCCATCCCTCTCCATCCATCCCACTCTCTGCTCTGACACCAGTTACCCAAATAGGGATCTACCTGACCAACTCAGTCCACTCCTCCAACACTCTGATCCCCTCTGGCCAAGGATGCGAGATGCAGCATGCAAGACTCCTTGCTCAGAGATCTCTCTTCCTCCCTCCTGCCACCTGCCCACCTTGCCACCATGTGACTCTTTTTGCAAATGAAGGCATTACCCCTTGTTGAAATGCAGCCCTCTAAGCCTCTGTGGGTTGTCAATGCCTGAGTGTGGCTTTGTGCATAGAACTCTGCCACCTGCTGCCTAGGCCTGAATCCTTTCCCCGCTATTTACAGGCTGTGTGACCTGGGAAGGCACTTAAGCTGTGTACCTCAGTGTCCCCACCTGGAATGTGGGAATGATATGGTACTTGCCTCATTGGGATACAGTAGGGAGTAAATGAATTAATGTGTGCAGATGCTTAGAACAAGGCCCTGCATGAAGTCAGTTCTCATCAGATGTT
Organism: Homo sapiens; assembly: GCF_000001405.40. Lineage (NCBI taxonomy): Eukaryota > Metazoa > Chordata > Mammalia > Primates > Hominidae > Homo > Homo sapiens. The sequence goes on along the minus strand of NC_000018.10, from coordinate 48,219,360 downwards.
AGTGTTGTCATCATTATTGTTATTTTACCCAACTAGCTGAGGCCAGATTTTGCTAGGAGGGAGAGCCCAGGGCAGTGCCTGGGAGGGCAGGGGCCGGCAGCATATGCAGTGTGGGAGGAGGGATTGACACTGCAGCTCGGGAGTGAGTCCGATATACTTCTGCTGCCATGGGCAGGTGGCTCCCCCTCATGCTCTGGCTGCTGCATCTATAAGACAGAGAAAACAGGAGGCTTTACCCAGCATTCCTCAGTCCAGTCCCAGGCCTGAGGGTCAGATGGAACGATAGATGGGAAGGGGCTTGTGATGGGGGCTGCTGTTATTATAAAGTTGGAGAAGGGGCTGGTTGGCAGACAAGCTGTGGTGAACACATACAAATGGGGTGAGGGTCCTGTGTGCAGGGGCTCTAGGGAGAGCCTCCAGGGGGGTCTCTGCCACATGCCTTTTGCTGAGAGCTGCCTGGGAGAGAGGGACCTTCACTCTTGGCCCCGGCATAGCTGTCTTCCAAGTGTAGGCTCTTACTGCCTAGGCAGCCCTGAGGGCTAGTGGTGGATGGAGCTGTAGCAGGGCAGGCCTGTAGGTGGGTAGCCCCACATGCAGAGCGTGGATGTCAGCCATAGTCGGCAGTGGTGCAGAAGGCTTGAGGTGAATGAAAGGGAGGTTCTTAGGCCAAGGAGAGCAGAGTCCAGGATGCAGAGGCTACAACAACCTGTTTGAAGGAAATAAATGGAAAATGTACTTGTGGTTTAAAAATCAACAAACACCACCACAGATCCACTGAAACCAGGCCCCTGCTTTCAAGCATCTTACCAGGCAGGGCCCTGTGTGTGCCATGTAGAGAGAGGGCTGGACCAGGCAAACCCCAAGCTGTCCCATGCGTGTGCACGCCTTTACTGTTTGCACAAGTGTGTATAGAAGGCCTGCCTTTGGCCTCACCCTGTACCAGGTCTTCTGCCCTGGAGAAGTTTTCATTCTAGGAGGGAATACCTGGGGGCAGAGGCAGCACCTCCTGGGAGAGAGCAGGGTGACCAGCCTCTCGAGCCAGCAGAGGCACAGTCACATTCCTTTTGATTCAGCGGCCCTTTGCAGCACCATTGTCTGCAGAGCACTGGTACTATGGGGAATGGGCTGTCACCCTGACTGTGCAGGCCTGGGGTGAGGGTGGCAGGAGACTACCACATGTACCCAAGGCCACAAGGGAAGCTGAACGTGGACGCTGCCAGGTCTAGTGAGCCACCCCGGAACCCTGGTGTTCGGTGTTGACTTTGAACCAGGCACCCTGGACTTGCAGGTGCAGGTAGGGCTCCATGACCTTTTCCATGGTGGTGGTGTGGCAGTCTCCCTGAATAGGGCAGCAGGAGACCCAGTGTCACCTTGGCCTTTGCTGTGGTCTGTCTACTGTGGTACACTGAGTTGGTAGCCGTGTGGCTCATCCCAGGGCTCCCCCTGGGACGGTGATGTTGTGAGCACATTGTTCTCTATTCTAGAAGGACTACCATGAACAGATGCTCTTAGAGGAGCCACAAGCAGACAACCCAGTGTTCCCTGGCCACCCAAGGCCACCACCCTCTAGTCAGGCCAGACAGGGCTGGCTGGGAGGCAGGGGCCTTAAGATATGAGACACGGCCTAGTGATAGGGCCCTGTGAGTTGGGGCAGTGGGGTTAGTGCCGTGATGGATGGGATTACACGGGGAGTGTGGCTCTCTGGGGGCTTTCATCTTCCAGGAAGAAATGGGGCTTTTCAGGTGGATAAGAAGATCTTCACAGAGATCCAGAGGTGAGTGAGGGACAGCAGGCCCCACAGGAGACTGCAAAGACTTCAGGGTGGCTGGCTAGGGGTGTGTAGAGCAGAGGAAGGAGAGGAGAAGGAGGGGGACTCAAAGGCCCTCAGTGGTCAGGTGGTGGCTGGCTTACGTCCAGTTGGCCAACTTCAAAATCCCCTGTGCTTACGCTGCAGGAGAGGCCTCCGCGGGTTTTAAGCCTGGGAGTGACAGGGTCAGATCTGTGTCTTAGTAATGCTTCTGATGGTTGCGTGAGGGCTTCTTGGGGACAGGAAGGACAGGAGGGCTTGAAGGCAGAGAGTTCAGGCCTACCAAAGAACGCTGGGGAGAAATGGTGTTTTCGTTTGCTCAGGCTGCCGTAGCAAATCACACATACTGAGTTGAGTGGGTGAGGTCATAGGAATTGATTGTCTCATGGCTCTGCAGGCCAGGTGTCTGAGATCAAGCTGTCAGCAGGGTTGGTTCCTCCTGAAGCTGTGAGGGGAACCTGCTGCAGGCCTCTGCCAGCTTCTGGAGGGCTGCTGGCAGCCTGTGGCACTCCTTGGCTTCAGCTGCATCACCCAAGCTCTGCCTTCCCATCACACGGCCTTCCTGCGCATGCTGGTGTCCAAACCTCCCCTTTTTATAAGGACACCAGTCAGGCTAGATTAGAGACCTACTCTCATCCGGTATGACCTCATCCTAATTAATTACATCTGCAGTGTTCTTATTGCCAAATAAGGTACTTGAAGGTAGGACCTTACCACATGAATTCGGGGTGGACACAGTTCAACCCACAACAAATGATGAGGGTCTAGTGGCTGTGGGGGCCATAGGATGGAGAGGAGGGATGGATCCACAGGCACTCAGGAGATGGACTGAGCGGGCTCAGGATGCACAGAGTGTGGGCTGACGGAGCGGGGTTTTAGGATGACTGCTGGCTTCTGATGAGAAGTTGTCAGGGGGAGGAAGCAGGAAAGGATTTCTACTTGCCTTGGAAAATTGGCGAGGAGCTTGAGATGTGTCTGGCCCGGAGACCCAGGTTTGGGACTCGTCAGTGTATGCCACCTTCGCCCCCCAGGGAGTGAGCACCCAGAAGCCAGCCATGTAGATCTCTCTTCCCTCAACTCCTAGCAACTGGGTTGCCCTCGCTGCCCATTTTGCCTCGTGATTCTGCAAGGTTATGCAACTGCTTCCAATGTGTCTGCAGCACTCTCTCCACCAGACTGTGAGCCTCAGAGACCAGAGACTGCATTTTCTACCCCCTCAGGCTTCTCTGATGCCCAGCAAGTCCACACAGCTCTTCCTCCTTACTGGTGAGCTGGAGAAAACAAATTTCTCTTCAGCACAATAAAGAACTTGAAAACAAGAAAAGCTGCCCACCATGAAATCAGCTGCCTGCTGTGGTAGTGAGTGCCCCATGGCTGGTATAAACCAAAAATAAAATTCTAAGTCCCCCACTGACTGAATGGACTCCTCCTCTCAGCCAAGGGGATTCCATAGAAACCCGAAAAACTAGTTCAAGCCATGAAGGGAAGAGAGGGTTGGACACGCCTTATTATACTCTCCTCCTTTTGGAATTCAGGCACGACTGACCAGCATTGACAATAAAACAGAGATGTTAAGACTGACAAGACAAACTCTTTTGTACCATTAAGATAACAACCTGACTTTAGTATAGCATCACATGACAGCAGGCCCTGAAGGAAAATCAAAGTACTTTACCCCAAAATATATTTCTTTAGCATATTTTGAATTATGTCAAAAAAGTCTGAAAATATGCCCTGAAAATCTGTCTACTGTGGGGGAAATTTACATTCTGTAGAAAATCCCTTTCCCTTTCCAGGTCTTTTTCTGATCCTGAAGAGAGTAGCTGAGAGACCAGCACCTTTTAAAGGTCTAAATGGGAAACACTTGCCATCTATTGCCTCTAAGGGTGGCCATTTATGAGGCTTCATCTACATAACAAGAACTTTAGTCTTGACAGCCCCTTACCTTAACCCAGACACTCCTTTCTATTGATTCCAGGTTTTAAAATAATAACTTAACTCTTTCAACCAAGTGCCAATCAGAAAATCTTTGAATCCACCAATGGTTTGTAATTCACTGCTTCAAGTTGTCCCACATTTCTGGACTGAACCAATGTATACCTCTCATATATTGATTGATGTCTTATGACTCGCTAAAACACATAAAACCAAGCTGTAACCCAACCACCTTGGCCACATGTTCCCAGGACCTCCTGAGGCTGTGTCATGGGCTGTGTCTTCCCATTTGGCTCAGAATAAATATTTTTGAATATTTCACAGAGTTTGGCTTTTTTGGTCAACACTGGGAGTAAGCCTACCAAGCTGGGGATGCTATGGAGAGGAGTCTACCCCAAGTGGACCGTTGGCTTCTGTGTCTTCTAAGGTTCTGCTAATGTCAAGATTGAATAATGAGGATGACCACGATTCCATGAGCAGGATTATTGGAACTGGTCTTTTTAACCTAGAACCTGGAGGAGATTTATCATTAATCAATGTATTTTATCATTTTATGTTTCACCCACTTCAAAAGAGGACTAGTGACATTGTGAGTTTTATAAACACATATATGCAACAAGATGGCTAAAAATAAGGTTGGAGACCATATGATCCAGCAATCCCACTTCTAGATATAAACCCGAAGGAATTGAAAGCAGAGACTCAAACAGATCCTTGTACACCTATGTTCATAGCAGCATTATTCACAATAGCCAAGAGGTGGAGGCAAACCAGTGTTCACTGATGGATGAGTGGATAAACTTGATATATACATAAAATAGAATATTATTTAGCCTTAAAAAGTAGGGAATTTTGACACATGCTACCACATGTCACAGGGTAAACCCCAAAATTGGGGTTCTTGGCTTTATGCAGGAAGAAATTCAAGAGCGAGCTAACAGAGTGAAGTGAATGCAAGTTTATTAAGAAAGTAAAGGAATAAAAGGGTTGCTACTGTCATGGCAGTGGTGGGAGTTTCCTTTAGCATGCTGATGTATTATAATTAGCATATAATGAGCAATGAGGGTGGCCATCTTGGTTTTGGTAGGTTTTAACCAGCTTCTTTACTGCATCCTGTTTTATCAGCAGGGGCTTTGTGACCCGTATCTTTTGAAACCAGTCCTGCCAACATGTTTGAACCTTGAGGACATTATGTTAAGTGAAATAAACCAAATGCAAAAGGACAAACACTGCATGATTCCATCATATGAGGGACCTAGCATAGTTAAATTCCTAGAGACAGAGAATAGCTGGTGGTTGCCCATGGCTGGGAGGAGGGAAGAATGGGGAATTTATGTTTATTGGAGACAGTTTCAGTTTGGGAAAATGAAAAAAAGTTCTGGAGGTGGATGGTGGGGATAGTTGCCCAACAATGTAAATGTGTTTAATGTCACTGAACTGTACACTTAAAATAATTAAAATGGTAAATTTTCATGTTATGTGTATTTTACCACAATTTTAAAAAATTGACTTGGAGAAAAAGCAGCCACCAGTCTTTCCAAGTCTACCCTGTGTCGTGGCACCAAGGAGTGCACAGTGGCCTCTAAGTGGTGCCTGCACACGGTGTCCGCTCTCACCGCAAGGCAGGCTGATGCGTGTCCAAGCACCTTTGACTCACCTCACCCTGCATTTGCCACACACGTTGTCACAGCTGTGCAACCGGAGGCCATTTTTCATCCCAGCCCTACATTTTGACAGCTCCATGGAACCACCTCACATGAAAGCTCGGCCCAGAGAGGGGCTCCTTTGCTCTGACATTGCCCGTTAGCCAGTTTCTTCTTAGTGCCCATTCCCATCCCTGCCAAAATTTTCCAGCATGTCCTTTAGCCCAATGGAGCCTCTGCATTGGGGTCAGAACAGTCAGAACCAGTACCCAAATAAGAAGGTAATAAATTTGGATAAAGCACATGCTGTCTGTGCCCAGTCCTCTTTACTGCTGTCTAAAATGTAGCTGCTTTCTTTTCAGATTTGATCTAGATTAAAGTGTTTGCTTCATTTATGTCAAGAGCAATGAGATGCCAACAAAGGCGAGGTATTCTGATAACACAGATCTGTTATCATGGGGATACAGTAGGAGCTGTTTAATCTCTAGCACGCACAGGAGAAACCATTGAAGACGGAAAGGTTCAGGGAAAGAGTGGGTCCCACTCAATGCAAGTGCAGGACACTCTGGTTGTAATTATGAAAACATCAGCTCAAGAGTGACTGGGGCCATCACTAAAGGTTCTTCTGCAGCAGGCCATCATGGGCACATTAATTTCCAGACACTGGAGGGTTTGCGGACAGAAAACTAAAAGTAAAGGCACCTGTGTAGTCAAAAACAAAACCCTGGTCATTGAGAAAGTTAAAGGACAGCAGGATTGAGGATTGTGTCTAGGGCAAAAAGCCATTCTGGCCCGCATCTTCTTCCTCTAGTGTACCAGCCTCATTCCTTCCAAAAGGTCTGTGCCCTGGCTGCTCCCACTATGAGAGCTCCAGGGAGAACTGCCCCCGCTGAAACCAGGAGCCAGGCGAGGGTGTAAGCTGGGGGAGCTGCAAAACAGATTCTCTCGCCGGTCTCCGGCTGGAGGAAAGGCCTTCCCTTTGTGGGTCTAAGCCAGACCTTGTACGTGGCTGCACTTGGGTTTGAGGAGTTTTGTAGCCCCCACACATAGTAGTGGTCCAGGCTGGCCAGGCAGAGGAGGGTTTTCAGCATTCTTCGAAGTTGGCCTATATTCTCCTTCCCCACACCTGGATTAACTCTCCTTTCCAAATTCTACTCCTTCTTCAAGACCCAGCCCAATCCCCCCTTGTCTGGCATGGACAGTCTCTCAGCTTAGACCTCCTGCCTTTCCTGCCATACCAGCCACTCAGCTATGAATCACAAACTAACTTGTCCCCTCTCTTCTCTTGGCTTAGATATTTTTTATTAATAAAATTTACTTTTCACAGCAGTTTTAGGTTCACAGCAAAATTGAGCAGAAAGTACGGAGAGTTCCCTTATACCCCCTGCCCCCATTCATGCACAGCCTCCCACATTATTGACATCCCCCCTGGCCCCTGAGAGTGGTACATTTGTCACAATCAATGAACCTACAGTGACACATCATTATCACCCAGGGGCCATAGTTTACATTAGGGTTCACTCTTAGTGTGGTATATTCTATAGGTTTGGACACATGTATAATGACATGTGTCCATCATAACAGTAACATACAGAGCAGTTTCACTGCTTTCAACATCCTCTGTGCTCCACCTATTCATTCCTCCCCCCAACCCCTGGAAACCACTAATCCTTTTACTGTCTCCTAGTTCTGTCTTTTCCAGAGTGTCATATAGTTAGGATCATATAGTATGTAACCTTTTCCAGACTGACTTTTTAAAAATATATATATGTTTTTAATTATTTGTAGAGACGGGGTCTTGCTCTGTTGCCCAGGCTAGTCTCAAACACCTGGGCTCTAGTGATCCTCCTGCTTTGGCCTCCCAAAGTGCTGAGATCACAGGCATGAGCCACTGCGCCTGGCCAGACTGGTTTCTTTTACTTGGTAATATGCATTTATGTTTCATCCATATCTCTTCATAGCTTAATAGCTCATGTCTTTTTAGCATGTCTCTATGTACCATGGTTTATTTATCCATTCACCCGCTGAAGGACACCTTGGTCACTTCCAAGTTTTGATGATTATGAATAAAGCTGCTATAAACATTCATGTACAGGTTTTTGTGTAGACATAAGTTTTTAATTCATTTAGGTAAATGTCAAGGAATGTGATCACTGGATCATATGGTAAGATTATGTTAAGTTTTATAAGAAACTGCCAAACTGTCTTCCACAGTGGCTGTATCATTTTGCATCCCCACCAACAATGAATGAGAGTTCCTGTTGCTCCACATCCTCACTAGCATTTGGTGTTGTCAGTGATTTGAATTTTGGGCATTCTAATAGGTATGCAGTAGTGTCTCCTTGTTGTTTTAATTTGCAATTCCTTAATGACATATGATGTTGATGTTGAACATTTTTCATATGCTTAATTACCATCTGCATATCTTCTTTGGTGAGGTGTCTGTTCAAATCATTTGTCTACTTTTTAATCAAATTGTTTCTTAGTTTGAGTTTTAAGAGTTCTTTGTGTATTTTGGATACCAGTTCTTTATCAGATTTATTGCTTGCAAATATTTCTCCTACTCTATGGCTTGTCTTCTTATTCTCTTGACGTGTTTTTTGCAGAGCAGAAGATTTTCATTTTAATGAGGTTCAGCTTACCAGTTGTTTCTTTTATGGGTTGTGCCTTTGGTGTTGTATCTAAAAAGTCACCATCATACACAAGGTCATCTAGGTTTTCTCCTCTGTTATCTTCTAGGAGTTTTATAGTTTCACATTTTACATTTAGGTCTATGATTCACCCATTTGAGTTATTTTTGTGAAGAATGTGAGGTCTTTGTCTAGATTAATTTTTTGCATATGGATATACAGTTGTTTTAACACCATTTATTGAAAAGATTATCTTTGCTCCATTCACTGGCTTTGCTCCTTTGTCAAAGATCAGTTGACTATATTTATGTGGGTTTATTCCTAAACTGTCTTTGTTCCATTGATCTATTTGTCTATTATTTCACCAATACCATGCTGTCTTCATTAGCATAATTTTATAAGTAGTTCTTGAAGTCAGTCCTCTGAATACTTTGTTTTCTTCTTCAATATTGAGTTGGCTATTCTGAGTCATTTGTCTCTCCGTAAAAACTTTATGGAATTTTTAAAAAAACAGTTTAATTGATATATAATTTACATATCATAGAATTCACCCATTTAAAGCATATCATTTAATAGTTTTTAGGACATTCATGGAGTTTTGCAACCATCTCTTCTAATTCCAGAACATTTTCCCTACCCCCGGAGACACCTCGTACCCATTAGCAGTCACTCCCAATTCTCTCTTCCCTCACTCCATGACAACCACTTAATCTGCCTTCTGTCTCTAATAATTTGCCTTTGCTGGACATGTAATTTAAATGGAATTATATAATATGTGATCTTTTGTGGCTGGCTTCTTTCACTTTGCATGATATTTTCAAGGTTCATCCATGCTGTAGCATTTATCAGAACTTCATTCCTTTTTAAGGCTGGATTCTGTTTCACTGTGTGGATATACTGCCTTTTATTCATTCGTTCATTCATTCATCAATTGATGGACATTTGTTTCCACTTTTGGCTATTTTGAATAATTCTGCTGTGAAGTTCATGTATAAGCTTTTATGTGGATATATGCTTTGGGGTATATATTTAGGAGTGAAATTTCTGGATCATATGGTAACTCTATATTTAACCTTTTGAGTAACTGCCAGGCTGTTTTCCAAAGTGGTTGTGCCATTTTACATTCCTACCAGCAGTGTGTGAAAGCTACAATTTCTCCACATCCTTGCCCACACTTGTTCTTAGCTGACTTTTTGATTCTAGCCATTCTAATGAGAGGATAGTGATATCTTATTATGGTTTTCATTTGCATTTCCCTGGTGGCTAATGATATTCAGCTTCTCATGTACTTACCGGCCATTTGCATATCTTCTTTGAAGATATGTCTATTCAGATCCTTTGACCATGTTTTAAATATTGGATTATCTTTTTATTTTTGAGTTCTGAGAGTTCTTTAAATAGTCTAGACACAAGTCCCTTATCAGATATATATGATTTTCAAATATTTTCTACCAAGTGTGGGTTGCTTTTCACTTTATTGATGGTGTCCATTAAAACCCAAAAGTTTTAAATTTTGATAAAGTCCCATTTATGTTTTATTTTGTCATTTGTCCTTTTGGTATCATATGACTTGGATTTTTTTTTTTTTTAAGAGACAAGATCTTGTTCTGTTGCCCAGGTGGGAGTTTAGTGGCACATTCATGACTTACTCAGCCTTGACCTCCTGGGTTCAAGCAATCCTCCCACTTCAGTCTCTAGAGTAGCTGGGACTACAAATGTGACCCACCATGCCCGGTTAATTGTTTTTTATTTTTTGTAGAGATGTGTCTCACTATGTTGCCTGGGCTGGTCTTGAACTCTGGGCCTCAAGCAGTCCTCCTGCCTCGGCCTCCCAAAGTGCTGGGATTACGGGTAAACCACTATTCTCAGCCAGTGACTCGCATTTTAAAATAAATTTTATTATTGACTTTTGGTAACTTTGTGTCTTCCTAGCACAACTAAAATTTAAGTTTGTTAAAAGCAGAATTCATGTGAAATTCATTGTTGTATCTGCTCCAATGTCTGGACTTGTTAGCTTGATTTGGATCTGACCTGTACCTGGGTTGGGATGCAGACACTCATCTCATGGAAGTTCCCAGATGCCAGCTTCCTCTTTGGACTCCTTTGACCTGCACATTTCCGTTTGGAGCCTGAGGGTTGAATAACAGGTCCCAACTTGGAGCATCCATTGCCTCCTTGGCATCAGAGAGGGTTAAATGATACTGCATTAGCTGAGACCCCTTTTCTGTCCTCTTTTCTGTCTCACTCTGTAATATCCATTTCTCTATAAATATATCCAGGGGAATATTCTCTATTTTGCCTTATGGGCAACAGCTGCTGTTTTTGCCAGGCTGTCATCTATTTAGTTGTTACTTTTTCGACTTTATTTTTAAACAGTATTACATGGAGTACAGCAACAGTGAGCACAGGACAGATGGAGAACAAATCCAAATAACAGACTTTCAGAGCCACCCTAATATAAGTGACTGGGGTAGGGTGGGAGAATAAAACCAGATTGCTGGATTGCTAAAAGCAAACAAATATCAATAAATCACAAATTAAGTCAGGAAAGGGAAAGCAAATAAGGAAGTGGCACACCTCAGCCATCCTTCTGCCACACAGAGTCTGAGATGTTGGGAAGGTGAGTGAGCTGAAGTTGACAGGGGCTTCCGAGCCAGGCCAAGGAGCAGGATCAGTGGTGGAGATGAGAAGAAAGGCTGACAAAGCCCTCCTGGGGCAGGCAACACATTTAGTGGGTGGAAATCTTAAGGAGCCTGCAGGAGTTAAACGATATGTAAAGCAACACCTCTCATATCTGGGTGAGACTCCAGGCTCTGTGCCAACTAAGATATTCCCCCACCCCCTTTGTCTCCTGGGGCATAAGTAGAAGTTAGAGAGACATGAGTTCGAAGATCTGGGGTTTTAAAAAGGAAAAAAACCAATTTTATTAATTTCTTCTAGAACAGCCAGCACTTGATGCAAATCAGGGGTGGGGACAGGGGTCTCTGTGGTCTCCAGGAACGGCATTGGTGGACAGTCCCCAGGTGGCAGCTTAACTTCCTGACTCACACTCCAAAAGTAAAGGAACCACTCTTGTTTATTTGTCCTTTCAGAGTGGACTAGGTGCTGGTAAAGATTCCTTTTTATCTTCATTGCTGACCCTTGATGCATTAACCTTTTTACTGGAACAGCTGCTCTGTTCCCCAAGGCTCTTGGGCACAAGAAAGGCCACCAAGGCCAGCTCTCAACCCTCATTATACCTTGCCTGGCTATACTTTATTCTCTTCTTGTCTTCTGACTGCAGTCCTGTCTTCCACCATTGCCCCCCAACACACCCCCCTACCTTTTCAGTAAAGTGTCCAAACCTTAAATGCACAGCTTGATGAATTTTCACATAGGTAAACACTCTTGTAATCATGCCATGATCATCTTCTAGAACATTCCCAGCACTCTGGATAGCTCCCTCTTAAACCTCCGTCCAGTCGGAACTCCCTCAAAGGTAACCACTATCCTGACTTGTATCATTGTACAGCAGTTTTGCTGTTTTGAGCTTTATATAAATGCAATCATGCCATATTCACTCATTTTATATTTCACTTAACAATATATCTGTGGCCTGGTGTGGTGGCCCACACCTGTAATCCCAACGTTTTGGGAGGCCGAGGTGGGAGGATTGCTTGAGCTCCGGAGTTCAAGACCAGCCTGGGCAACATAGGGAAATCCAGTCTCTATAGAATATATTTTAGATGGATAGATAGATAGATAGATAGATAGATAGATAGATAGATAGATAGATGATAGGCAGTGGATAGATAGATGATAGATGATTGATAGATAATCTGTGAGATTTATTCATGTTGTAGACTATTCAGAAGTTTATTCTTTTTTGTAGCTATATAGTATTCATGCAGTAACTATGCCACACTTTTTTTACCCATTTTATTGTTGATGGATATTTTGATTATTTCTAGGTTGAGACTATCTTTTTAAATGCTGCTGTGAATATTCTCATTGAGGTTTTTGTGTTGTACATAAATATCTTTTCTGGGCACATACCTAACAGTGAACTTGCTGGATTGTATGGTATATGCATGTTTAGCTCTAAGAGATATTGCTTAACACTCTTTTGAAGTAATTGTATTGATTTACACTCTTGACTGTCATTGAAGAGAGCCCAGTTGTTACACATCCTCACCAGCGCTTGACATCTCACTTCAGCCATTCTGGTTGCTTCAGTGCTACGTCCCTGTGGTCTTTTTATATTGTGTTTGCATGATCTTATATGTTTATTCACCATTTCGATATCCTCTTTTGAGAAGTGCCTATTCAAATATTTTCCTATTTTTTAATTGGTAAGTCTATTTTTTTCTTATTTGTTGTCTTTCTTTGTATGTTTTGGATGTGATTTCTCTGTCACATATCTTCTCTCATTCTACAGCTTGCGTTTTTACTCTTTTAATGGTGTTTTTGAAGAAGAGAAGTTTTAAATTTTGACAAATTTCCATTTATCAATCTTTTCCTTTCTGGTCAGTGCTTTTTCTGTCCTGTTTAACGAACTTCTTTGCCTACCTGAGATCACAAACATATATTCTCCAGGGGTGTCGTTCAGCAGCTTTGTTGTCTTAGCTTTCATGTTTAGGTCTATGATCCCTTCGAAATTACTTCAGTGGAAAGCAGTGGTCAACTTTATTTATTTGTTTGTTTGTTTGTTTATTATCTTGCTCTGTTACCCAGGCTGGAATGCAGTGGTGAGATCACAGCTCACTGCAGCCTCAGCCTCCTGGACTGAAGCGATCCTCCCACTTCAGCCTCTGGAGTAGCTGGGACCACAGGCATGCACCACCATGCCCAGCTAATTTTTTATTTTTATTTTTTGTAGAGACAGGGTTTCACCATATTGCCCAGACTGGTCTCTAACTCCTGGGCTCAAGTGATCCTCCCACTTCAGCCTCCCAAAGTGCTGCGAAACATTTATTTTAATATAGCTATCCAGTTGACTCAGCACCATGTATTGTAAGCACCATTCTTTCCCAGCTGAAATGCAGTGGACCCTTTGTCATAGTGACCATATGTGAATATGTCTATCTCTGGATTCTATTCTGTTCCATTGGCTTCTTTGTGTATACTTGAACCTATACACCATACCACTCTGCTTACTACTGTAGCTTTACAGTAGAAGTTTTGATATCACATAGTGTAAATTCTCTTTGTTCTTCTTCATTATTGACCTGGGTATTATAGGTCATTTGCATTTCCATATACTTTTGGAATCACTTCTCAGTTTCCACACATGTATACACAAACACAAGGGAACAAAACTGCTGGGATTTTGACTGGACCTGCATTGAATCTAGAGTCTCCTTTGGGCCCACTGGCAATTCTCATTTGGCTGCTGCCTGACTTCTCTTGGCCACTAAGTAAATAGGTAAGCACTCATTTTAATTGTGGCAAGGGACAGTGAGCAATAAAAAAGCAGCCCAGCTTGGGGGTAGTGTGGGGAACAACCTTGAGAGAGGTTATACCTGCCTAGGGACTAATGGCCAGGGATCCCTAGGGCCCTGGGGACATTCTTCTTTCCCCTGCCTTGCTAAGTAATTGTATTGACCTAGTAGTCATTTCAGAGAGTCCCAGTTGTTATACATCCTCGCCAATACTTGATGTTTTATTTCAGCCATTCTGGTTGTTGCAGAATATGGTCTCTTTATTTCGCATTTGCATGATCTTTTATGTTTACTCACCATAGATGACTAAACATATAAGACTTAAAGAAATGGAAGTACTATGTTCATTAATTGAAAGAATCAATAGTGTTAAGATGTCTATTTCCTTCCTACAGGAAATTGACTTCGTTATTAATACTGTCTATTTCCTTCCTGCAGAAAATAGACATCTTAACACTATTGATTATTTCAACTCATGAACATAGTACCTCCATTTCTTTAAGTCTTATTTGTCTCGGCATTGTACTTCTCAGTGTAGAGGTTGTGCCCATATTTCACTGGTTTTATTTCTTAGGTATTTAATTTGTTAATGCTATTGTAAGTTGTATTTAAAAATTTTGTCCTCTACATATTGTCACTAGTCTATAGAAAATATAATTGATTTTTGATTATTGACCTTTTGTCTAGCAGCCTTGCTAGATTCATTTATTTGTTCTAGTCTTGCCTGAACCAAACTGTAAACTAAGGGGTTAGATGTCCTCTAACCCCTTCTGCAGAGTGCTAGACCTCAGTAAATACTTCCTGGCTACCCTGAAAATCTTCCTACAGTGAAGAGAGGGGAAAGAAGAGTGTCCCCAGGGCCCTGAGGATCCCTGGTCATTGGTCCCTAGGCAGATATAACCCCCCTCAAGATTGCTCCCCACTCCACCCCCAAGCTGGGCTGCTTTTTTATTCTCACTGTACCTTGCCACCATTAAAATGAGTACTTACCTCTTTGCTTAGTGGCCAAGAGAAGTCAGCAGCCAAATGAGAATTGCCAGTAAGCCCAAAGCAGGCTAAATGTACACACTTTCTCTCTCCTTTGAGAGCTCCTGGCTGAGTTTCCATGGGAGCCTCTGGCATAGGCTGCAGGGGTATAGCTGGGATGTGTTGGGAGAGAGGGTGGAATTGGTACTGAGGAGTGGGTCTGTGGAGGTAACCTTAGGCCATGGAACACATAACACAACCATTTGTCAAATATTTGCCAAGGTCCTAGTCTGGGTGACTCTTTTGCTTGGTCCTCAAGAGGCATGGTCTTGTCTTTAGGAATGTTGCTGTAGATAAGGAGGCAAAGCTTAAGCTACATGAAGGGAAGGAATGTCTCAGGAGTCTGGAGGCCTGGGTTTAAGTTCCGGCTCTATCAGCAAGGAAAGCTATCAGGCTTTCCAACCTGTACCTTCCCTTCCTGCATGGGCCTTGTCTCCCAGCGAGATTATAAAAGGGCATTAGTCATCCTCTCCAGTTCCACCTGGCTCTGAGCCTCTCCCTTAGAAGCAGCCCAGAAGGCCAAGAAAGAGGAGGAGATGATAAGTGCAGTGGGTATCTAGGTAAAAAGATCCGTGTGGAATGGGGTGGGTAGGTTCACAAGGGAGGCTGGAGTGAGAGACTGGGCATGCGCAGAGTTGGTTGGGTGGAGAGGAGGAGGCCAGCTCCTCCCAGCACGTCTGCTGTCTCTGTGAGGACCCTCTCCAGGCACATTCTATCCATCTCCCACCACCGCAAGCAGTGTGACCTGATGGAGTGGCCAAGGTATAAATCAGAGGTGGAAGGAATGCAAAAAGGAGGGAGGCACTGCAGAGAGAAGGGGTGAGGGCCTGAGGGGGAGCCCCCATCTCCCAGGTGTGCAAGAGCAGCTTCACACTGTAGCTGATGTGTGGGCCACCTGGTTCAGGATCAGGGACTCATGCAGAATGGTCAAGGATGGCTTAACAGCTGTCACTGAAAAATCCCCAGGGAAATTATGAGTAGAGGAGACACCCCCTCTTCAGAGCCTCTCCTCCTCTCTACCCTGTACTGCAAAGACTATTTGGTGGGGTGGGGGGCTGCCTGCACCTTGCACTTCTCAAGCAACTCCCTTGTGCCAGGCTCTGGGCTGGGTGCTGGGGATGTAAAGATGAGGGGGACACAGCTCCTGCTTCAGGAATCATTTAAAGAGTGGCGGGACAGGTGCTGTGGTGGAGCTCAGGGTAACCACAGGAACACCCAACCCAGGGGGTGGGGCAGTGGGGGCCCATGGTCCCACTTCTGAGGGAAGGTGACACCAAAAGATTTAGCCCTGAGAAGGTCACACAGAAATGAAGCAACCTGAAGGCAGCTCCATGGGGCCGCTGTCCCTGTTGTTGATGTTTCTGGAATATGGGTCTAGGATCAGAAGCAAAAGAGGAAGTCCATTCTTTTGCACTGCAGAACATTCCTACAGTGGACCCAAGCTGTTTTGTCCTTCTCAGCAGCTTTAAGATTTCTCCACATAGGGTGAGTTAAGGAAAGATCCCTGTAGCGGAGCCTGCCAGCTTTCGGCCCAGGCCAGCCATGTCCCTGGCCACATGAGTCCAGTGGTGCCACCTCCCACATCTCCTGCAACCACCTGGAGCTGTGGCTCTGCTGACTTAGGACTGTGCTTGGAGCCACGCTGTGTGTTATTGTGAGCCCTTAGGCCTTGGTGCATGAATTCCTGGAGTATGGTCTCTGCTGGGAAAGGGTGGAAAGAGGGAGACTGAGTGAGGCCCCGGGCAGAAAAGGGGGAAGACTCTCATGGCAGAGGCACCAAAGCTAGGCATCTGGGCCTCCATCCTCTTGCTCAACAGAGGGCCTGACATTCCATGCTGGGAGGTGTGGACACCTTGGAGGGGCCGTGGCTGGGTGAGGGTGAGAAGAGGGGGTCTTGAGGCTGCTGGATGAATGGCAAGCAGGGTAAGAGGGCAAGGCCAGGGGCGTAGGTGGGGAGGTAGGAGGTGATCTTCAGGCTGGAGACTTCTGTGGAGGCAGGGGAAGGCCATGCCCAACTCCTGAGCCCTTCCTCTGCCCAGGGTTGTGGGTTACAGCTGCCATGGGACTCCTGGCTACATGGACACTCTTTATCTCCTGGGGTAAAGCTGCAGGGGAGAGGGCACCCAGTGCATCGTGTTCCACCTCTGTTCAGGCTGTGCCAGTGTCAACATCACTGGCCTTCTATGTCCTCCCATGGCCTGCGTGCGGCGGGGGTGGGGTGGGGGAGGAAGCAATCACAAAGAGCTTCCCCCGTACACCCATCCCCACTGAGGATCTGAGCAGAGCACAGTGGGGTACTAAGGACAGCTGGGCGGGGAGAGGTGGGGTTCCTTTGCATGTTTAGCTTGCACACCCACCCTCGCAGCCCGCTGCCACCAGGACCCTGCCCAGCTGGCTTCATCCTGCCAGCCACCCCCCGCCCCCCACCTGGTTTTGTCCCCCTTCTGTCCCGCCCTGCGACTGTGCCTCCTGCTTCACTTTCTCTCACCTGGAAGGTTCCAGCATGTCCCTCCCTCCCTCAATCCTTGCCCATTCTGAGTTCCATCTCTAATCCCTCGCGACCTCTTGGACTCAGCAGCCCCCGCTGTGCTGCACAGGCAGATACCCTGAACTCCAGCCCTGCCCATGAGGCTTTGGGCTCCCTCTCTGCGTGTGTCTGTTGTCCCCAAAAGACTACAAGGCCATGGAAGGCAATGTCCATGTCCTGCCTCCTCCCAGCCCCTGCACCATTCCTGATGCACAGAGTGGCCTAGTGCCTGAGCGTGAGCAGGAAGCACTGTGGTCCCGCCCAGCAGCATCACCCAGGCAAAGTCCCTGCTCCAACACTCAGCTCTCCGCTGACCTGCACGTGTGGCTTTTAGCTAGGTGGGAACCTTCAGCAAGCCAGTTCGCCTCTGGGATTGGGAAGCGGTCAAATCATAAAGGAAGAAGACAGGCTGGTGGGTGGAAGGGAGCTTCGTGCAGCCACAAAGGGTAGTGGAAAAATTAATATAGTGGAGTCCAGATGACAGCTGGTTATGCCTTGGATTTATGCAGCTCTCTGGGTTTTTCCCGAGGAAGACTGGAACAAAGGCTGCTAGGAATTGTGGTGTCAGAGAGGGATGCGCGCCTCGGATTAGAAAGAGCTGCTTTTTATTTATGCAGCCTGGTGGTGGGTGCACAGGTGTTCATTATAGTATTTTTCTGGCCTTTTTGTATGTCTGAAATATTTCATAACAAATTTTTAAAAGCAAGAGGCACCTGGGGTGGAGATAAAGGAGGTGGCTCTGGAAAGATGGAGGGAAAGAGGCAGGAGGAGAGGCAGGACACCTGGAGTGTAGGTGGAGGGAGGGGCAGACTCCAGAAACGGGGGGAAGAAGATGTGTGGAAAATCGAATGCCATGAGTCACTGGGCTCCCTCAAGAACTTGTCAGAGCATGGGACAGGGACTGTGCTAGGCAGGGCCAGAGCCAGGGGTGATGTCATCACAGGAATGGACATCAGAGGAGCCCCGATCAAGTTTATAAAGATACAAAGAATCCCCTCCTGGGGCCTACCGTCCCCTGGATTTACATCCTGGGCTATACCTTTGCTTCCCAGCATTCATGCATGTCTGTCAGAGGAGGGTTTAATTGTTGTTGATGTTGATGTTTTTTAAAAGAACAATTCTAAAGTAGGTGATTCTCCTTCTCAGCATGCCTGGTGTTCAGTCTGAACATCTGAAGAACAGATCGATTGTATGTGTCATGGAGAGGGGGAAGCCATGGAGGGGAATGATTCACTTTACAAAAATGACTTTGTACTTATGTAGCCATGTCTTTAGGGGCTTAAAGTGAGATCTGGGGTGTCGGGATGTTGTCCTGTATGGAAAGTGGAGTTCACCTGCGCAGGTGCGATGCCCACATGCAGGTGTTAGATGTTCCGCACCTGCCTGGGGCTCCAAGGGGGTGGTGCCTGGGGTGGCCTGCTTCATCCTGACCAGGGTCAGGCGTGAGCCACACACCTCAGCTTCTCCCCACAGTGAGTGGGACCGTGTCTGTTGCTTTTCAAGAGGCAGGTGGGGACCTGGGCCAAGTGTCAGCTTCCCCATAGAGAGCCCATCTACTTTCTGCTCCGCCAGAGGCTGCTTGGCCATCAGGGCCTGAGTTTAGATGCTGTTGTGTGGAGTCTGAGCTGGGACGAGGGCGGAAGGCTGATGGCCAGCCTGCCCTGCACCGTGCTTCTGTGGAGGTGCAGGGTGCCTGTGGTTTATCTGAGGTAGCTCTCAATACAAGGACCCATTTCCTGTTGACGGGCATCTGTCTGCTAGAAAACTCTATCCTCATGACTAGGTGGATTTTCATATTATTTATGAGAAAACTGCAATAACAGGCTAGCAACTGGCCTCTGGGTCTTGATTTCACACCTGCTGATGCTTGTGGTATGAGATATTTCGTGCCTGTCCTACTTGTGTTTGGTGTGGTGTATCAGTGATATACCACTGTGGACTGAGTCTGTCTCCAGGTAGGGGTTAGATTTGCCCTCCTCGTCCTTCCCTGGTCTGGCCTGTACTACAAACACCGGCCACACAGGCCCTTCACCAAGGCAAAATATGGAGTGTGGGTCACTAAATATGTCTCGGTTGGGTTTTCTGACATATGAACCTGAAAGGGGCACGACCAGGTGGGAGATGTGGATGATTTGGGGTCACCGTGCCTACTCCAGAAGGGTTTCTTGCTGACTCTTCACGGTTAATTCACTCTTTAGAGTCCCTTGGGAAATCCCAGTGTCGTGAAGTTCTGAAATAGGTGTCGTACGCTGGGCTCCAAGAATACTGGCAGCCAGGGTCTATTCTCCAGGCAGGGTGGCTAAGGGTTCCTTTGCAAGTAAACTGACTGGCCCAAGAGTCAAAAAAAAATTACACACACACACACACACACACACACACAAATACATTTCCTCAAATTCTCACCCGAAGTAGAGAAGTGCTAGAAGTGTCACCACTCAGCGTGCAGTTTTGAATGCCTTCTTTCATTTTGAGTATAGCGCTCAAGCCTTCCCTCAGCCGTAAGCAGTGTCTCCAAGCCTGGAACTTCTTGGATCATATCCTCTGGAAAATGACCAGATCCCTCCCTAATCCTCCATAGAGAAATGACCGACTTTTTAGTGTCTTACTCTTAACTATAAATGGTGGTGAAGTATCAGCTGGTATTTGTAGAAAGGAAACCTCTAACAGGAGACAGAGAGAAAGAGAGGGGAGGAGGAGGAGGAGGAGAATGAGGAGGAGCGGGAGGGGGAGAAGGAGGGGGAGGAAAAGGAAACAATTATACAACAACAGAAAAAGAGCTCGAAGGAATAGAGCCAAGCCCAGGAGTGGAAGAAAACTTCAATAAAACTGTAATTGATGTCCTCAGAGAGATAAGAGGAGATAATGCATCCATAAAGTGAGAATGGAAGGTTATAAAAAAGAAACATCCAAGGAATAAGGAATTAAACATATAATAGCAGAAATTTAAAATTCAGTAGAAGATTTGAGGGAGAGAAATGACGGACTTTCTCAGAATGTGGGAAAAGAAGACAATGATTTAGAAACGAGGATTTGAAAAAATTAAGGAAATTAGGAGGGCCAGCAGTAGGAGTTCCAGAAATGGAGAATAAAACCCGAGGAGAGGAAAGTATCAGAGAAGTTATACAAGAGCTTCCAGACTGCGAGAATGAATGGCACAGACCCACAACGGGGCACATCATTGTGGAATTTCAGAATACTAGAGATAAAGAGAAGAGTTATAGAACCTTCAGAGAGAAAAAAAGGACGTTGCCTGCAAAAATCGGAACACAGAACAGCATTAGACTTTCTACCAGCGTTCCTGGAATCTAGAAGCTACTGGGACAGTGCCTTCAGCCTTCCAAAAGACAGTGGTTTCCAGCTTCGCTTTCTATTCCTGCCAGTCAAGAATGAGAGGAATAAAGTCGTTTCAGGTAGGCATGGGCTCAGATGATGTGCCTCCAATGCAGCCTTTCTCAGGAAGCTGCCAGAGGAGCATTCATGCCACTGAAACCAGAGTAAACCAGAAACAAGCATGGTGTGTAGGGTAGACAAGATAATGGTCTCCCAAAGATGTCCACATCCTAATCCCCAGGGCCTGTGAAAGTGTTAGGTTACACGGCAGAAGGGATTGAAGATGGTAGATGGAATGAAGGCTGTGAATCAGCTGGCCCTGAGATGGGGAGATCGCTCTGGGTGATCAGAATGTGCTGGATTGGATCATAAGGGTCCTTATACATGAAAGAGGGAAATGGAAGAGAGGTCAGAGGGAGGCAATATGGGAAGGGCTCGCCCGAGGTTGCAGGCTTTGAAGATGAAGGAAGGGAACTCTGAGCCATGGAATGTGGTGGCCTCTAGAAGCTGGACACGTCAAGGAAACAATTCTTCCTGAGAGTCTCCAGAAGGAATACAACCCTGCCGACACTTTGGTTTTAGCACGCTGAGACCCATTCCCAACTGCCGACTTCCAGAACTCTAAGATAAGAAATCTGTGTTGTCTTATGCCACTTGGTTTGTGGAAATTTGTTAGAGCAGCACTCGAAACTGATGCAGTGTGTCTGGAGGTCCAATGCAAGAATCCAGGTGACAGCTGTGCACCAGGCTTCGGAGCACTTGGTCTAGGACTGGAGTTGGAAGATGGGGAACTCTAGATGGGGTGATTCTAGGAAAAAATGAAAATGGAATGGACAGATTTCTAACTTGCTGAACTGTCTAGGAAGGGATTTTAACAGACCTGGAAGTCAGTTTATGTGTAAATAAGAGTTAAGTGCATATAAAGCCATTGTTTTTAACAATGAAAGGAAAAAGTACAACGTTATGCAAGAAGGGAAATCGTATCTTGTGCTCATCCATGAATCATATCTACCTCATCACAATACTGCAAACACTGACAATTGATTTCACTAAAAATGATGGTATCAGGAAGATACAGGGAACAGAAACATGTGGTTAGAGGGAGATAAAACCTCATTTTCATTATGAGACACTAATAGATAATATCTAAAGTAGGAAATCTAGAAATGTGCTATGAACTGAACTGCATCCCTCTATAATTCTTATGTTGAAGCCCTAGCTCCCAATATGGCTGTATTTGGAGTAAGGAAGGAATTAAGATTAAGCAAGGTCATAAAGGTGGAGCCCTGATCCCATGGGATGAGTGTCCATCTAACAAGAGACACCAGAGAGTGTATTCTCTCTGGCATGTGAGGGCACAGTGAGAAGATGGTGTCTGAAACCAAGAGCAGAGCCCTCAGCAGAAGCTCAACTGGCCGGCACCTTGACCTTGAACTCTCCCAACCTCCAGAACTATGACAGATTTCTGATGTTAAAGTCACACAGTTTATGACATTTTTGTGACAGCAGCCCTAGCTGACCAATACAGCATTTTATTTAAAAATATGTCAGTGAAGAACAGGAGAAGTGGCTTTTTAAAAATTGAGAGCTGTTATCTCTGGGAGTTGGGGCTCAGTGTGGAGAGGGCTGGAGCAGGGGCTGCTATTTTTCATTGCTGAGCTTTTATTATTTTTGATTTTGTAAAACCATGTATATTTATCAGTTTGATTTTTAAAAGTTAGCCAATTCAAAACAATAAAAGTAATTTATTGACTTAGGTAAATGAAAAGTTTGGAGGCAGGATGATTGGAGGCAGGATGATCTTCAGGAGCAGTTTGATCTGGTCCCTAGTTCCATTTTTCTGTGACTAGCTCAGCATTGCTCACTGGACTTCTTATGGTAACAAAATGGCTGTAGCAGCTCCAGGCCTTGCATGCACCTTCCACATCTCTAATAGTGGAGCATCTTCCCCAGAAGTCCCTAGCAAACATCTCCTTGCATCTTATGTGACAGAATTTGGTCTCGTCACCGTGGCCAGGGAACAGATTTGAGCTGATTCACTTAAGCCAACCATGACCCACCCCTGAAACACATTGGTTGTGGGGGCCAGGTGGTAATCTGGAAGGAAATTAGCTTTCTCTTTCCAAGAGGAAGGCAGAATGAAAGGTGGATGGTTCAAAGTAGCAAATATTCACTACAGATATGTTCTTCTGAAGGGCATTTTCCTTCTTCTCTTCATGAGTTGCAGGTGCCTGCTAACACTGTACTTGAGATTGGTTGGTTGGTCGGTTGGGTGGTTCATTGATTTGATGGCATTTGGGTTAAATATTGACTTTTGCTATATGTGACCCATAGAGCTGGGTCTAGAAAAAAAAGACTTTCAGAAGGGAAGTTAAAAGAGGAGAGGATCCCATACAACATAAAGGATTTCAGAACATGAAGAATGAGAGATAAGTCCGTGGCCACATCTTCTTATGGGGACATGTGCACAGCGGTGACACAATTGGACATAAACCTAGCCTCAGGAGGGTGGTTTGATTGAGAGACTCCTAGACATCCCTCTGACCCCCAAATCCTTCCCCAAGCAACCTACTGCAGATGCCTGAAATTACATATTAGAAACTCACCTCTGTAAGAAGTTCCTGTCACCTCTGGGAGAGTGGTGCATTTGGCTGTTGTCTGTTACTAAAGCTGTAAAGTTAGTTTGCCAAATCCTTCCTAGACAGCTGCAATGGGAGGAAGTCTTGGGTGGGGATGCACGGAGGGGAAAGGCATCTGGAGAGATATAGCCCACTCCCCAAAGGGTGGAGTAGGGAAGAAGCAGCCCCAGGGGAGGACTGGACCAAGGTGGGCACGCCAGCATCAGGTCCTTAGTCTCTGAAGAAGTAGCCTTCCTAGGTCTGGATAAGGAGGGCACTGGATGCCCTCTAAACTGCAATTAACTGTCTTGCCAAATTTACCAGCTTTCTCCATTCCCCCTGACTGATACCCACAGCTAGAGGAACACTTGGGACAGGAAGGCTGCTGTCCAAGATGTCCACCATGTCTGCTCCCACCAGCTGAGCCAAATGCTTTCCTGGAGGCAGCTGGGCTTCATTCCCAAACCTGTTTATGCCAGTGGAACTTGCTATTGTAATTATGCAATTTAATTAAATATTATACAAGCCAATTAAATACTGTTGCAAAAAAAAAGAAGAAAATATTTCTATGAAAACTAAGTTGAAGCTTTGGAAAGACTCACAAAAACATTTTTGAGTCATTTTGAGTCATTTTTTAAAAATGCTGTTGAGTTAGGTGTGGGTGAAACAACTGCGGAAGGTTGTTGGGGAAATATCAAAAAAATCTAGGGAGACTTTTTACACTCAGATTATTTTGCCAATGTATTTAATTTGTCATTCAAGTGGAAAAAAAAACTGAAAACTGGAAATTGTAGGCAGTGCCATATGTATTAGTCTGTTCTCACACTGCTAATAAAGACATATCCGAGACTTGATAATTTTATAAAGAAAAAGAGGTTTAATGGATTCACAGTTCCACATGGCTGGGGAGGCCTCACCATCATGGCAAAAGGCAAAGGAGGAGCAAAGTCATGTCTTACATGGCGGCAGGCAAGAGAACATGTGCAGGGGAACTCCCCTTTATAAAACCATCAGATCTCATGAGACGTATTCACTATCACGAGAATAGCAGGGGAAAACCCGCCCCCATGATTCAATTACCTCCCACCACATCCCTCCCACAACACGTGGGGATTATGGGAGCTGCAATTCAAGATGAAATTTGGAAGGGGACACAGTCAAACCATATCACCATATGAGTATGGTTTATGTAAGAAATAATAATAGAAACAATTTACCAAAAAATAGAAAAAGACCTTAATGTTACATCAAAAGTTTGGTGAATGAATGTACAAGTATATATTAAAGGTTAAAATCTTTCAGGTAGCTCACTAGTCCAGACAGCTAAGAGGGCCCCTACCATAGTATATTTGCCAGGGCTTTAGCTCCTAGAAACTCACTCCTACTTCTCTGAATCAGAGGCTGGTACGCAGAGATTACATTTTTGGGCCACAGATGCTTAGTTGGCTGAGTTTCCCAGAGCTGGCAAAATTGGGAGTAGCCAAGGGGAAGCAGGGATGGGGATGACTTCAGCCTGAGCCAGTCCCTCTGCCCCCTCCCCCCTCCCAGATGTGTCTCTGCAGGGCCCGAACAAAATGCTGCACTCCAGCACCCACTCCTCCTCATCTGTTCTCCCTTCCCCACAGCTATCCAAAGACTCAAGCCCAGAGTCAGCTGGCGGGCATTTGGGGTTCCTCAGCTGCCCTCCTGGCTGTATTTCCTGATCCTCTCTGCATATGTCATCTGCTCCAGCCAGACCTGGTAACTCACTGCCCTGGTGATGCTGGGCCTGTCCCTGCCTCTGCAGCGTTGCTAAGAATCTCCCCTGTCTAGACTGCCCTTCACCCCTATCTCTCCAAATCCTCCCCATCCTGCAAGCCTCTGTTTACTCTGCTGCCCCTGGGAGCCCTCTCACATTATCTCCTGAGCTTACTGGGCATGATCACCTTGCTGCACTTAGTTCTCACCAGGGTTCACTGGCCTAACCACACCTCCCCCCAGCTATGAAAGTGGAGTCCTTCTTTAGCCCCTTTCTAGATTTTAGTTCAGACAACCCCCGCAATATCACCACTCTGCATAAATGCACATATTTCACCATGGATGCTCCTGCAATGGACAGAGAGCTGCAGGATGACTTAGAAGCTGGTGTGAGAGATCCCTCCTCCCCTGGCTGTCTGGGCAGGGGGTAGGGTGGGGAATCCAGGAGTACTTGCCTGAGTCTAGAAAAAATAAAATGTACGTGACTGAGCAGAGGACCCAGATTGGGCAGCCAGACTAGGGAGATGAAGCCTTTGTTCCTTGGACAGGCTCATCTGCCCTCCCCTTCCTTGGCCCAGGCCCCACTGTTGGCCTTGGCTCTGGGCTCAGCCCTCCCTCTTTCTCAGGGCTATTTTAAGATTCTAGGCCAAGGTCACAGAAATGTGGACTTCTAAGGGGCTGTCACCCCAGAGCAATGACTGAAGGAGGATTCCATTATCTCAGCCACACACAGACACAACCTCCCCCACTCCCTCTGAATCACACCATGGCTTCATGCCCTGCTGGCTAGGTGGCAGGGAGTAGACCCCAGCTGACCCTCCATAAATGCTTGCTGGGCTTCCCAGAGGCACCCCCACGATGGGTCCCTGGACCAAGGGGCTTCATTCTGCTTCTGTCTCCACACTGACGAGGCAGGATGCTCAGAGATGACTCCACGCGCCTGCCACCTTGTTTCAGTGGATCCTGGCCTCTCCACCCTTCCCTGCAGGAGCTGGTGAGTGTCCATCCTGCTGGGGAGGGGAGCAAAGCAGAGCAGGAGCAGCCAGGGGAGTCATCTCTGAGATATGCTCTCAGCGCTGCGGCAAGTGCCCCCATTAACAAACACAAGGTTTCTCCTATGGCGTGTTCCTTCCACCTGAATTCTGCTATTCATTTTGTTCAGCAAGTACTCTGTTGGGAGGTTGGGTAAGGGGCTTATAATCAGGTTTTTTTTTGGATGGGGGAGCAAGAGGCATGCAAATAATTACTATTTAATTCAATACCTGTTTATTGAACACCTACTATATCTGGTGTTGGGAGTGTGGGGAATAGGAAAAGGCTGGGCAGAGTCTAGCCTCTAGACCTGCGAGGAGGGGGCTAAGTCTATTATAGACCTTCCCTCTGGAAGTCAGGGAGAGTGTGCCTGGCCCGGGGTGTATTCTCAGAAAGAGTGAATTAAGAGTAGAATCATTGCCTAATAGCCGGAGGTGCCCGGGTTGCTGGGGTGCACAGCCCTGTTTGCATCACCAGCTGGAGGCCCTGCTGGCCTCCCCACTTGACTTTCTCACACAGTCTCTAACATTTTGGCCAGACATGGTTGCACTTCAAGTTGGGAGGATCGTGCAGGTCTCACAGTCCTCCTCCAAGTCCCCAGCGTGGGGCCTGGGAGTCCAGTGGGGACTCAGTGATGCCCCATACTTATTGGCACCGAGCGTTGTGTTTTGAAATGGTTGATTTTTTTTTAATTAAGAAACTTTATTATTTAGAGCAGTTTTAAATTTATAGAGAAATTAAGCAGAAAGTACAGAGAGTCCTTACAACACATCCCTTTGCAATACCCTCCCTCGCCTTGTTTCTCCTATTATTACCATCTGGCATTAGTGTGGCACATTTGTTATAATCGATGACACAATATTGACACATTGTTATGAACTAAAGTCCATCATCCACTGGGTTCAGTGGCTCACGCCTATAATCCCGGCACTTTGGGATGCCAAGGCAGGCAGATCACCTGAGGTCCAGAGTTCATGACCAGCCTGGCCAACATGGCGAAACCCCATCTCTACTAAAAAGACAAAAATTAGCCAGGCGTGGTGCCACGGGCTATAGTCCCAGCTACTTGGAGGCTGAGGCAGGAGAATCACTTGAACCCGGGAGATGGTGGTTGCAGTGAGCCAAGATCGCACCACTGCACTCCAGCCTGGGTGACAAAGCAAGACTCCATCTCAAACAATAAAATAAAGTCCATCATCAACCGTTTACACTGGAGTTCACGGTCCACGTTGTACCATTTTATGGGTTTTGACAAATGCATAATGTCATCTATCCACCTTTACAGTATCATGCAGAATAGTTCCACTGCCTTAAAAATCCTCTGTACTCTGTCTATTGATCCCTTCCTCACCCAACCCCTGGCAACCACTGATCTTTTTACTGTTTCCATAGTCGTGCCTTTTCCAGAATGTCATATAGTTGGAATCAGACAGTATGTAGCCTTTTCCAGTTGCCTTCTTTCACCTGCTTTCATGTTTTTTAGTAATATGAATTTAAGTTTCCTCCATATCTTTCTGTGGCTTGATTGCTCATTTCTTTTTATCGCTGAATTACATTCTTTTGTCTGGATGTTCCACAGTTTATTTATCCACTCAGCTACTGAAGGACAGCCTAGTTGCTTCTGGTTGTTGGCAATTATGAATAAAGCTGCTATAAACATTTGTGTGCAGGTTTTTGTGGGGATATAAGTTTTCAGATCGTTTGGTAAATACCTGAGGGTGTGATTGCTGGAGTCTATGGTAAGCCTGTGTTTAGCTTTGTATACAACTGCCAAACTGTCTTCCTCAGTGGCTGTACCATTTTGCATTCCAAGGGTGGTTGATTTTAGTATTGGAGATAAAGCAAACATAGCCTCTGAAGGATCCTGGGAGGGGCAGCTGCTGCCTCCCTGTCACTGCAGACTCTCAGCTGGACAACCCCCGGGCCTCTCAGGACTGAGGCTGGCCCACCTGCTGTGAAAGCTCAACACACCAGGCCTTGTTCTCACCAAGCGCTGGGCTCCCACTAGCCCCAGAAGTACTTTCTCCAGGAATGTGGTCAGCTATCATTTATGTGCCTGCCCCATGTGAGGCACTGAGGACTGAGCAATAAGCATAGTGGCTCAGTGTCCTCCACCCGCCACCATGGAGCTCACCTCCCAGGGAAAAGCCAGCCTTGCTGGCCCCAGCTGAGGTCCTGCACCAAGTGTTTCTCCTTGTTCTTTTATTTTATTCTTGCTTCAACCTTGTGAAATAGGATGTAGGTAGCGTTATTATGCCCCGTTTGCTGGTAAAAATCTGACGCAGAGAGAGGTTAAGTCACTCGCCCAATGTCACACAGCTGGTCGATGGCAGGGCCAGGCTGCCTCTGAACCACCAAGCATCATGGCCTCCTGGGAGCTACAGACCCTGCCACAGGGCCCATGACCTGGCCATCCTCCCAGCCACAGACACTCACTGAGGGGTGGCCATGTGCTCATCTTCCACCTGCTGGAAGGTCAGAGGAAGCAAAGCACAGCCCGTTCCTACCCTCCCACCTCTGCAAGGTGGGTGTGTGCAGGCCCTGGGCAGGGAGTTTGGGAACCTGACTTCCGCTCTTGTCTTTAGTGTGCTCAAGGCAAGGTATTTGGCCCCACTGGGCTTCCGTGGCCTTGGTTGTAAAGTGAGAGATTTGTACGACTCCCCCAAGCATGGGACTTGTTTTCCCCAAAAGAGACTCCAAGAAGAACAACACCAATTTTGTGTCACATGCCGATTATAAGTGCTGTGCCCAAGAAAGGTTAGTGCAGATTGGGTGGTGGGGGGAAGATGTCATGAATTTGCCTCAACTTTCAAGGCCTCTCTACAAAGGCTGCTGAGAGGGGGGATCTTTAGCAATGGGCACAAAGGCCATGGACAGCAAGGCTGTGTCTGCAGTGGGCTCTGCACTGTGCTCAGCTCAGGGCCTGCCTCTCTGGGGTGCCTTGGGCCTCCCATGCACTGAAGCCCACAGTCGCTGTTTCATTCTAGGCATAAAATCCCACTGTCCCCAAACCATCCTGTCTAGTGGCTGTTCCCTTCTGAAGGATGTCATGCAGGCTAAATTTCATACTAAACTCACAAGTCATATAGGTAGAGTTGCAAAGGGCCCCTGAGTTCATGGGCTTGATTTGAGCACTGCTTCAGTGTCTGCTAGCTGGATGACACTAAGACAATTGCTCAGCTCCTCTGTGCCTCCGTCATCTTGTCTACAACCCTCCTGCACGGAGTTGGCAGGCAGGATTCACACCTTTTCATATCTGCATCCCCAGCAGGTACTCAACAAATGTGTTGAATCTATTCTACCTACCTGATACATACGTGGGAAAATACTTCTTTAATCATAAACCATCATATAGTTAATATCAATGGTAATGTTAAGATTAGTATTAATGTTGTTCCTTACAGAGTCTTGATTCACACTTAGTCTTCTTCTTGCTCCTGATAATCCTGGGCAGTCTGGAGGTGGGGGCAAGAGTGTTTGTGGCCACACATTCACAGACAGACACTGCACTCCCACCTTCCCAGCATCTGCCCGCACCCAAGGCAGAGAGAAGAGGGACGGATGATGATAGGGAGAGAAAAGGATGTCAGGAAAAGCCTTGGCCAACAGCACTCTGGTCAAGGGCCAAGTGTTTCTCCCCACGACAGCAGGCAGGAGCCAGAGCCCCTCCACTCCACTCCCTGAATGTTGCTTCCATTTCTCACCTGTCGGGAAGAGCCAGGAGCATCTGCCCCGCAGAGGCCAGCCCTTGACAGACAGCACTGGCTGGTCACCGAGCCAAGGAGAGACAGAGCTTGGATGATGCCCTCCTGCCCCTTTCCAGCCATTTTTGGAGATTCAAGAAAACAACTCATTAGTCTTGAGTATTCCTTAATGATCTAATGAGAGCAAGGCGAGCCAGGTCGTTGGGATTGAGAGCACCCAGGTCAGGGCCTGGGAAGGCACCTGAAATGATTAAGGACCTTGTTCTGGCTGCAGAGGTGTGAACTTATGCCGTATCTATCCAAGGCGAGGGGCACCTGGAAGGATGGGTGGGGGAGAGGCAGCAACTGCTAACTTGGAAGGTCACTAGCTAATTTCACATTCCTAAAATTGAATCATAATTTTATTTTTCTAAGTTGGAAGAACCTTTGAGACCACTCCCTTGTTTTGCAGATGGGAAGACAGAGGGGACGAGGCTTGTCCAGAACTCCTGTCAGTCTCCCCCTGTCTCCAAAGCCTGGATTTTTTTTTTCTTTTTTACTTCTAACATTATTTTTGAGGCTTAAAGTACATTCCAAGAAAAAAAATCCAGGGCATAGAAAAAAAATTACCCATGCTATTTATTCACTCTCACTTGGAGAAGCTGTTAGCTCTAATGACCTTTCCAAATTAATAAAATCTGTAAATGCTCAATTGTTTATTGCACACATTGAGTTACACCTCTAAGTGACTGGAAGGAACTGAGCGTTCACCTGGAATATTTAGCTCCAGGGCTCTGCAGCCAGCAGTCATGCTTTGTGCCCTGGGCAGGGGAGCTATGGTTAGAATTCCCTGAGAAAGGAGGCAAGGCAATCCGGCAACCATGGTGTGCTCAGCCCTGAGCTACAGCTTGTGGTGGACAAAAAAATGTTAGCAATAATCATTGCTCAGGGTTCCTTTCAGGGACTTATTAGAAGAGACCAGATTTTCAGACAAGAACATGAGATAGTACCTAAGAAGTGATTGATTACGGGCTGTGGCATTCAGAGAAAGTACAACTGGGAGGGATCTGGAAGGCTTGATGAGGGAGGTGGACTTTGATGTGGACCCAGTAGAAAGAGTAAAATTAGTTCAGATGGCACAGGAAGGGGCTTTCTAGGCAGGGGTATGAGGTGAACAAATGGTAACAATGAAAGTGTAATAGGAGCCCAGGTTCCCGGTGGGGAGAGCAGACAGGGGACACAGGGATAGGACTGGCTAAGTGGAAGGAGGCTGAGTTCTGGAAGGTGATGGTGTTTGGACTTCAAGAGGTGGGAATAGGAGAATCCTGTCTCTCAATGCTCAGACCCCTCTCTCTGTCTGAGGCCACATTGCACAAACACCATGCTTATGAGCCATGGGCTCTGATATAGTTTGGCTGTGTCCCCACCCAAATCTCATCTTGAATTGTAACTCCCATAATTCCCAGATTCTGTGGGAGGGACCCAGTGGGAGATAATTGAATCATGGGGCTGGATTCCCCCATACCGTTCTCATGGTAGCAAGTGAGTTCTCACGAGAGCCAATGGTTTTATAAGGGGCTTTTCCTCCTCTTCACTCTGCATTCTCCTTGCTGCCACTATGTGAAGAAGGATGTGTTGCTTCCCCCTCCACCATGATTTTAAGTTTCCTGAAGCCTCCCCAGCCATGCAGAACTGTGAGTCAATTAAACCTCTCTCCTTTATAAATTACCCAGTCTCGGGTATGTCTTTATTATCAGTATGAGAATAGACTAATACAGGCTCCCTGGCCCAGTCACACTGTCCATTATGTCCTTTGGTCCCAGTGAGTCTCCCTGTCCAAGCTTGTGAATGACACAGGCCACTCTGACTTCCAAAATGAAGATGGACTGAAGTCTTGCAGAGAAACAGTGTGGAGGTGTATGCTGTGCTATTGTTGCAGGGGGATATTTATTTTAACCATTTGTTAAGTGTGTAATTCATTGAGTACATTCACACTGTTGTGCAATCATCACCACCATCCATCCTAGAACTTTTACATCTTTTCAAACGAAGCTCTGTCCCCATTAAACAATAACTCCTCATTCTCCTCTCCCTGCCCAGCCCCTGGCAACCACCATTCTACTTCCTGTCTTTTTTTTTTTTTTTTTTTTTTGAGACGGGGTCTTGCCCTGTTGCCCAGGCTGGAGTACAGTGGCACCATCTCGACTCACTGCAAGCTCTGCCTCCCGGGTTCACGCCATTCTCCTGCCTCAGCCTCCCGAGTAGCTGGTACTACAGGCACCGGCCCCCACACCCGACTAAAGTTTTGTGTGTGTGTATTTTTAGTAGAGACGGGGTTTCACCGTGTTAGCCAGGATGGTCTCGATCTCCTGACCTCGTGATCTGCCCACCTTGGCCTCCCAAAGTGCTAGGATTACAAGCATGAGCCACCATGCCCGGCCTTCTACTTCTTGTCTTTATGGATTTGACTTCTCTAGGTACCTCATATAAGTGGAATCATACAGTATTTGTCTTTTTGTGACTGGCTTATTTCACTTAGCATAATGGCCTGGAGGTTCATCCATGCTGTAGCCTGTATCCGAATTTCCTTCCACTTTAAGGCTAAATAAAATTCTGCTGTATGTATTTACCACATTTGTTTATCCATTCTTCTCCCAATAGACGTTTGACTTCCCTCCGTCTTTTGGCTATTGTGAACAATGCTGATGAACGTGGATGTACAGATATCTGCCCCATTCCCTTGCAGGAGGATTGAGCTTTTTAAAAACAAAGTGCTTCCAGCTTTCAAATGATCAGAGCTGATCTGCCGGCCCTCACTGCTAAGGCTCCACAAGGAGCAGATTGCCAGCTTGCCACTGCTTGTGTGCTAAGACCCTCCTCCCTTGAGCAGAGCTGCACAGTATCCTCTGCCAGGGACACAGATCAAAGCTGGCCTCTCGCACCCACCCCTTTTCCCCATTCCGAGCTAGGCTGCTCAGTCTGCGCTTCAGCCAGTGTCAAGGCCTCTTTGCCTTCACTTCTTATCCTGAAGTGCATCAGTCATGTCGAATTTGTCCCTCGCTGAGGTAGCAAATGCTTTGTGCCCTTGCTTGGTAAGTTATTTCCCCACCTTCGAAAATGTATTTAGCCACGATTGTAAAAGCCAACTAAAATCACTCATTAACAGTCTCCCCTCCTGTCCAAGGAGCTCCCCACTTCCTGACTCCCTCCAAAAATCCACGTATGCATCAGCAGAACTAAAGGGCATCCTGTCTTGAAGCATCACTGCCTCTGGGCGTTAATTGCCCAGACTCACATTGCAACACTTTACAGTGATGACACACTCAGGCGAAATGCAGGAGAATTCACAGTTCAGGTTAGCGTTGTCATTAACTCAAGTCTTTGGTGTCAACTCCCTCCCGCCCCGAACGTTCCTGCCTGGCCTTACAGTCAACCTCCCCGATGCATTTTCTGGCCTTTGTTGGTTTGTGTCAGCTCTTGAACATTATTTAAATGTAGTTTGGGGTCCATGAATGCAATTACCATTGTGTTATTATTCAGAGCCAGATTGTTAAGATGCAGGCAGCTGTACAAGGAGATGCCCTGTGCTGTGAGGTCCAATTTAGGAAGGCCTTCCGAGCTGCACGCGCAGGGTTGCTAGGCAACCCCATGCTACAGAAGTGGAGGCCTCACTCCGGAGTGGGAAGAAGCCAGGGCGCCTTCAGGGAATTGGAGGCAGTGGTCAATCTGAGACTGGCACAGCGCCGGGGAGGGAGAGGGAGGCAGCGTGGGCCGAGCCCACGGGCCTGGAGGGGTGGAATCCTGCGAGGAGCGAGGGGCACCCACCCAACTAGCATGCAGTGTGCCTGGGGAGGGGAGAGTGCTGCTGGGAGTGAGAACACAGAGAAGGTGCAGAAGCCTGAGGTCGGCCGGGAAACTGCTGAGGATACCCAGAGCAGATGCTAATATGATTCTCCGTCCCTTTCTTCTCTTTGCAGGAAATGAGCAGATTTGCAGAAAAACTGGTGTCCTGAAATTTAAAACTAAGGCATCGGTGCTTGTGAGTATGAATTTTGCTTTTTTAGTTCTGTGGCTTAACAATGTTCCTGGGAAGTGGGTGGATTTCCCTGTTAGGGGAAAAGAGCATGACCTGGATGGGATTGGCTTTTGGTTCTTCTTCTGGAAGCTTCCTCCCTTGGGGTGGAGCTGAACCCAGGAATGTAAGGCACTGAATTGGAGGAGGGTGGTTTGAACCCTGGCTCTGCCCTCTAAGTGGAGAATGTTCCCACTGGCTCATGAAAGAGTCACTCCCTTGACTCGATTGCTGTGCGGGAGAGCAGGACTCTAGAAAAAAGAGAGATGTGCATTTTTTTTTTACTTGGGGCCACAAACAGTTTGTACAGTTCTAAGTTTGCTGCTAGGTTGACCCCCTATTCAGAACAGTAAATTCTCATAGAGGCCATTTAACAGTGTGTTAAACTAAGTGCAGTCACAGGAACCAATCCATTAATCAATCTGAGAATGTCATTAATCACCAGGTGCCAGGCAGCACCTGGAAGCTCTGGGAAATCCACGAGAAGCAGCAGGCATTGGCTCTGTTTTGGAGGAGCTTTCAGTCCAGTTCAGGAAGAGAAGACACCTGCATATGAGACAAAGAACTTTATGACCAGGTGTGTGCACCAGCTCTGGCTGGCATGGCCCGGGCAGAAATGCTGGGGATGGGAAATGGTTAGGGAAGACTTCCTGGAGAAGGAGAGGCTTGAACTGGACTGATGGAGGAGGGAGGCCATTCCAGGAAGGAAGGAACAGGGGTGGATGCCTATGTGGAGGATGGTGTAGGCATGGGTCTGAGGGTGGGAGGGGAGAAGATGCTGGTGAGGTTGGACAGGGCCAGGTGCTGGAGGGCTTGGCATGGCTTCAGGAATGGTCCAGATGCAAAGAATCAGGATGGAATAAAGGATTCTTCACCTATGTAAATAAAATTTAGTTTCTGCCTGTTTGTCGGCCACTCCACGATATGAAAATGGCTGCATGAATTTTTCACAAACTTGAGGTTGTATTTGAGATCAGTCTATACACTGAGTAGATTATAGGAAATCTGCATTGGAGATACTCCCTTTGTCTCAGAGAGAGAGAGGGAATGAGAAAGACAGAGAGAGAGAGAGAGAGAGAGAAAATTCTCCACACAGCTGCAGCCAAGGGCCACCAGAGCCCTGTGAGGCCAGTAATGGGGCCACATCTTGAGCTCCTGGCGGACAGTCACCAATACAGCACTCCCAATTGTCCACTTGCCTTTCCCCCAGAGCCACTTCTCACGCAGGGAGCTCTAGGTACTGTGCTCAGGATGAGGGGCAGCTGGGATATATTTATTTAATGATGATTAATTAATATTTGTCCCAAGCAAGCAGGAGAAGGTAGCTAGTTATAAATCTCCATAACAACAGCCAGTATTCACATTGGATGAGCAATTTGCAGCACTCTTGAAGGTACTGCCTCATAGGTGCTTTACAAAGGCTCTATCCAGTATTCCCATTTTGCAGATGAAGAAACTGAGGCTCAGAATCATTCAATATTTGCTCTAGTTTGCTCTGCTAGTAAGTGGTAGAGCTGCCTAAGACGTCCACACTGACTTTCCGCTGCACATAACTGGACATTGCTCAGATTATGCAACAGGTCCTTTTGGCTCAGCCCTTGCCTCCTGCTTATTCATCCTGGGGAAGAAGAGTCATCATTGTGCTGCGCCACGGGGTCCAGTTGTCAGAACTCTGTCTGTTCTGGATGTCCATGTTTTGCTGTTGCTGGCTTTCGTGGGCTGTATTATGTCAGACTGGTGGTCTTCGGCAAGGC
Organism: Homo sapiens; assembly: GCF_000001405.40. Lineage (NCBI taxonomy): Eukaryota > Metazoa > Chordata > Mammalia > Primates > Hominidae > Homo > Homo sapiens. Next base: position 48,184,146 of record NC_000018.10, on the reverse strand, counting down.
AGGAAGGTGGTTATGGTGCTGCCTTCAAGGAGGAAGGCTCACGTGTGCTTCCAACTCCTGGGACAACCCTCTGAAAAGATGCTGGAGGGCTTCATTTTGAGCCACTGGTGACTGACTTAGGTTGGGCTTCCTAGAAGCAGAGCCTGAGTCAGTTTTCAGTGGGATGTGATGTATCCAGGGAGAGCTCTTAGGAAACACTTGTCAAGGAGAGAGGGAAGCAGGGTAAAGAAGCAAGAGCTGAGTGGGAATGTGGTCTCAGGGCAGGTCTCCCTGGGTCTGGTCCACATCAACTGCACTGCAGTGATGTCTGACTTGGAGGCAGGGGGCAGGGCTTGTGTGTCCCCTTATTTGTCAGCAGCTGCCCCCAGAGTGTTGCTGGTGGTGCAGCTTCCAAGGCATCACCTCAACCAAGAGCAAGGACCCGAGAATGTCATGAGTGAAAGCTGTGTACCACACTCAGCAGCTGGGGAGTAGGTACAGAGACCTGGGCAGGGCATCAATTGCTTTTATTCTCATGCGTGTGAGCACCACTCTTGTCAAGACAGCCAAATGTCATTTTCACTGACCTGGCAGTAATTTTCATTGCAGTAAGATTGTATTTTGGGAGTATAGGTATTAAAATAGAAATCAATCCCGAAGTCTGTTTTTTTAACTGAAAATAACATGTGCTTTTTTAACTGGAATTTTATTCTTAACAGACAGTATCGTCTCAAGGCTCTAAATTCAAAAGTACCAGAAGGTATATTGTAAAAAGTCTCCCCTCTACCTCTGGCCTCAAGCAGGCTCCTGTCCTAGAGACAACCAATATTGCCAGAGTTTTGTGTTACTTTCCAATGATAGTCTACAACCAACAAGACTGTGGTTTAGATTCCAAAATTTTGGTGAATCTGATGCAGTATAGAAAGGTGCCACCTTCTTGGGTCTTTAGAGTCAGCAGTTGGGGTTATTCCAGAAGGGATTGAGCCGAAATAGGCCTTTTCTTTGGAGAGGGAGCAATTAATAGCCTGATTCAGCTCTCAGTGGAATGTTTAAAATGCATAAGAACTTTACAAACGTTTTCGAACTCTTTAGAGTTACTATATAAACAATTGATATAGGAATTGAAAATTATTTTTACTTCTAATTGCAAATAATAAATTATTTTTATTTCTCATTGCAAATAATAATTATTATTTAAAGCAAATTATACATAAAATTTAAATTATTATTTAAAGCAAATTATTTGAGATACCGCATGACAGCCCCTGGAATTCCCAAATATTTAAAATAATTTAAAATTTCACTAACTTCACTATTTAGTGCAAATCATTGAGGTCTCCCTGCATTTATTATCTGATGTCATTTGCATATTGTGTATTCTGTTTCCAAAGTGCATTTAGATTTCCTGCATTGTCAGCACCGTGTGAGTTTTCACTGTGGTTTCCTTTTATTCAGTGACTTGACTATAATTTGGAGGTACTTCCTCAACACAGGATCTGGTCCAAGATGGAATGGGTTCTTTTGGTGGCGAGCCCCCTCTGGTAGAAGGGGCTGAAACAGGAGCTAGGTCATCCGTCAGCACAGTTACACAGCTGATCCACACTGCCTGACAACAGGCTTAGAAGACGTCTAAGGTCCTGTCATAGCTGAGTCTCCTCTGTGCATCTTTGGTATTATCATGGCATTTTTAGGCCATTTACCTCACTTGAATTCCAGGCTGTAGGGCTCACACCGGACACTTACCTTCTGAAGTTCGGTCTTGAATGCTCTGTTCAATGCCAGTGTACATTTTCCAAATTGAGCTTATTTTATAATCGTGGAGGCCTGGCAGATATGTTTTTCTCTTGCAAGCAAGCTCCCTTCTTTCAGTTCTCCTTCATGTTTACACTCTCTCTCAGGTTACAAGAAAATCCTCTAACTTGTTCATGACCTGTTCCAGCCCGGAGACAGATGTTGGTGGCACCCCCATGAGGCAATGAAAAAAAATCTCATTTCCGTTCAAGAAGTAGAATCATTATCTTGATTGAAATAATATCTTTCCTCAACCTGCAACCAGATAAAGCATCAAATTGGTGGAGTTTCCTTATCACTGCACAGAGTTTGCAGGACACAGAATAATGGCCTGTCAGCTGCCTCTGGTGGGGTGGGTGCTGTAATACAGAGCCCACAGCTCCTGGCCTGGTTTGGATTATACGATGTCTGGTGTGATGTAAAATAATTCAATTAATGACAAATATCATTATATTAAAAAGAGAAGGTAGCGTAAACCCTAAAACAGAATAAGCAATAAAGGCAGCTACAACTATTATAGTGGTTGTTTTTAGTAGACACATCTAACATGCATAGGCAATTGTGGGGGTGACTGAAGGCTACAGATGTTTATGTCCTTTAAGGATGTAAGTACTCTGGAACCTGCAACCCCACTAGGCCTAAGATTCCAGGGCTTCAGTGGGAGTAAGGGGGTGACTGGGCTTGAGAAGGTGGACGAGGTCCTAGTTTTGGGTAGAAAACAGGACAGCCAGAGGGCAGCAAGCTGATATATTTGGAAAGGGAGCTGAAAGAGCTGTGGGTAGGGAGGCAGGGGGTCTGGGTTCCAGTCCTGATTCACCGTCATTGTCATGCAGCTTTGGGCTCTTGGGGCCTCAGTTGCCTCTTTGTTCAGAAAGGATAACATGGGGGTACCAGGAGAAGGAGGCGAGGCAATGTTTGTGCAAAGCCCAGGATAGTGGCTGTACCTTTGATCCCTCCTGTCCCTTGTCCACTGAGTGGGGAGGCTCTGCTACAGCCCAGGCAGGTCTGCCAGGTGGTAAAATGCTGATTCCCACAAACACTCTTTTCTTATGCACTGCTCAGCTCACAGCACTCCTGCATGGAAGGTTTCCTTAGCCTTAGAGAGCAAGGGGATAGAGTGTCATTCATATGAACAGCATTAGCTCAGAGTCCAGTCCAGTCCAGTCCTTACTATCTGCTTTCCCCATGGTTTGGCCTCAGTTCCCTCTTCTATGAAGATAAAGGGGTGACTCCAGGATCTCAGTGGCTCACCTTTCTAAGCAACTACTCTGTAACAGGCACTATTTCAACCATTTTACATTTATTAATTAACATAATCCTCACAACAATCCTATGCATTGGAAACTTATACTATCTGCTTTTTACAAGTGAAAAGTAACAGTGAGGTTAAGTAACTTGTCCAAGGTCACACAGCCAGTAAGTGCTAGAATTGGAATCTGAAGCCAAGCAGTCTGGTTAGAAAACTTAAAATGGACTGCATCAAGACTAAGTAACAGTTCAAACAGCCTGGGCTTTCGTCAGACCCTAAACCATAATCCTATGATACAGAGAAGCAGTAATAATAATTATATCTTTGTGATGTTCTAGGAGGCTGTAGAGATTGTTCCTACACCTGGTGGGAGGTTGAATGATATTCTGACTAAGATACCTGATCCTGGTAGCTCAGATCTCTTGCCATGGATCCCGTAAAAGTGTTGCTAGCTGTATATACACTGTAGAACACCAAGGTATGCGGGCCTTACCCTCCCACTTACTTGCCCTTGTCTGGCCCACCCCCCCATCACCCTACAGAGCCCTCCTGGGCCCTTGGGGCTGTGCTGTCTGCCAAGACTTCCCCAGAGAAGGAAACCATCCCTCCCAAACACCACCCATGCCTGCTTCATTTCCCTCTCTCCCCAGGCATGGCATAGGTGACATGAAAGCTTCTGTCTCCAGACCCTTGTCTTCAAGAGGAGTGCTGGCCTGTCAATGAGCGTGCCTGATTACCGTGGTAATCACCAGCGAATGGTGTGATTTTATAATACATTTCCATCTGAAATATGAACAGGTGTGCTGGGGAAATCAACATTTATCAACAAGAAGGTCTAGGGAGATTAATATTGAATTTAGGATTGCTCAAGGAAATGGATGGAAGGAAGGAAGGAGGGAAGGAAAGGAAGGAAGGAAGGAAGGAGAAATATCTTCCTTGCAGGGAAGGGAGGAAGGAAGGAAGGGAGGGAGGGAGGGAAAGAAGGAAGGAAGGAAGGAAGGAAGGAAGGAAGGAAAGGAAGGAAGGAAAGGAAGGAAGGGGAAATATCTTCCTTGCAAGGAAGGTACGGAGGGAGGGAAGGAAGGAAGCAGGGAAGGAAGGAAGGAAGGAAGGGGAAATATCTTCCTTGTAAGGAAGGAAGGGAGGGAGGGAAGGAAGGAAGCAAGGAAGGAAGCAGGGAAGGAAGGAAGGAAGCAGGGAAGGAAGGAAGGAAGGGAGGAAGGAAGGAGAAATATCTTCCTTGCAGGAAGGAAGGGAGGGAGGGAAGGAAGGAAGGAAGGAGAAATATCTTCCTTGAAGGGAAGGGAGGAAGGAAGGAAATAAGGAAGGAAGGGAGGGAGGGAGAGAAGGAGAAATATCTTCCTTGCAGTGAAGGGAGGAAGGAAGGGAGAGAGAGAGGGAGGGAGGGATATCTTCCTCGCAGGGAAGGAAGGAAGGAAGGAAGGAAGGAAGGAGAGAGAAATATCTTCTTTGCAGTCGAGGGCATTCCAGCCTGACTTCTGACCACTCCCCCAACAGATGCTCCTTTCCTGTCCCTCCCGAGATGGTCTCCCACCCTGGCTTCCAAGCTGGTCACTCACATTCCTCCCGGCTCTTCCCTTTTCTCTCTCCTTCCTGGTGCTTAACCACCTGTCTGATCCCACCAGCCCTGGGAAGCCCACCCAGCCCCCAGGAATCTCTGCCTCCTTGAGCACCTGAAGCCCCCACATTCCCCACATCCAGCATAGGAGAGTCTTTCTCCACAGCTGGCTGGAAGGCCCCCAAGTGACATGCATTCATCTGCTGTGTAACTCGGCCACCAGGCACAAGCCTTGCTCAGCCATGCAGGATCCCTTATTGGTTGGGGACTCTGGTCCCATCTACAGTCCTCAGAAAAGACAAGCCTCTGTTGAGCTAAGAACTTCTCTGTTTACTTAGGGCCCCAAGTGAAAACATCAGGCCAACCTCTGGGTGGCTCTAGAGCAGAGCGCCACAGCCAGATTGGTTTGTTCCTGCTGGAGAAATGGAATTATCTGCATTATGGTATTCCTTCCAGAAGTAAGGGCAGCAGAGGGCATCCAAGGAAACGGCAAGGCAGTTTGATCTTTAAGCCTCAGGGTCCCTGGCATTGTCCCCTCCACCCACTTCAAAATCAATGAATATGAGAAGCCACACTCCTGGGACCAGGAGGGGTCCTCCTGCTGCTCCATGGCCACCCTTGGTGGGGGAGAGGTAGGGCCCCAGAAGAGGCAGCCTTGCCCAGAGGGCCCTGGCACAATGGGACACATGATGGGCTCCACTGCTTTGTCCTGGATCTGTCAGTGTCTCAGACACAGAGCAGGCCAGGGTTTTTCTGTCATTACAAGCAGGAGAACAGAATGGACCTGATAGAGGCTTCCACATGAAAGGCCTTCGTCTTTACTTTCAAGTAGACAATGCATCAGAGAAGTTGCCAGACCCGCTCTGACGATGCGACAGGCATCAGCTAATATTTTGATTTTAATAGAATGAATAATAAAGAGCCCCAAGTGTCTCTCAGAACTAATTTTGAAGAACATATTCTGCCACATGTCCCTCTAGTTGGATCAGGCTCCTAAAGAGATCATAACAAAAGGTTTAAACCAAAAAAAGAAAGAAAGAAAGGTATTCCTCCACCAACTTTTCTCTCTTTTAATTTCCTTCTTGTAATGCTTCTCACAGAACAGTAACTTATGAAAAGATGAAATGAAGTTGGAACAAGAAGCAGCAGGCAGAAGAGGCCCGACGTGGTAGCCCTTGCTTTTGTTCTGCAGTGCGAATGGCTTCGCAGCAGATCCCCTCCCTGAGATGCCCTCCCTGAGATGCCCTCCCTGAGCATGGCAATGTGGGGCCTCCCGTGCAGACAAGTACCAAATACATTAAGGGAGAGGGCACTGCCTCCCTCCACAGGGGTCCGCATGAGTCAGGGGCATGGCAGGAAACAGGTGGCAAACTTCAGTTCATAGACAATTTGGAGAGTTGAGTTCAAAGGCCAGTGCCAGTGCAGGGAACTCTCAAGACCCAGTGCAGTACCCCAGGGCTGTGAACACTGGGGAGCTGTTACACCCAGGGGCACTAAAGGGGCAAGGAGAGGGAGGGGCTGGGCAAGGAGAGGGAGGGGCTGCTGGAAGTAGAGACAGTGAGGGTGGGGTGGAGGGGCCACCTTACCAGCGCTGTGACCTCTGGTCCAGGGATACAGCTGGTCTGAGGCCTCCCTGGAGAAAGGGATACAAGGCATTAAACACCCCAACTCTAAACCCCAAACTCCCTTCCTCCATTCTCCACCTAGGGCCCTACAGGCTGAGCTGACAGGAGGCCAGAGGCAAGGGAGCCCGTTGCTGTGTCTGCAGTGGTCGGCCTCCCAGGGCACAAGAAGAGCAGAGTAGGGTGGGAGGGACAAGTGGAAGACAACAGCACAGGCCTTGGCCCCAAGTTCTTGGACCCAAGAACTTGGACCCAGGTTCTCAACAGGCCAGGCCTGGCCTGAGGGGCGATTTCATGGCCTCCAAGAAAGTCCACAGCTCACAGACACACACACACAAACACACACATGCGTATACACACACACACGCACACACCCTCCTGTTGGCCAGGAATTATAGTTCCTTTTGCCAGGAACACAAGAATGATGGCACTGTCACAAAATGTTTCCCTGGAAGAGGAGAGATGGGGCCATAAATGAATCCACACTGAAATGCCACCTCAGGTCCCTTACTCAAAGAAGGAGCTGAAGGAGGGGACTAGAATAGTTCTAGCAAGGTGTCACAGGAGTCACCAGGAGGGGGCCTTGAAGAAGTGCCAGCCAAAAGGAAAGGCTTTTGCAGGTGAGGGCAAGTGGTCAAGGCAGAGAGCAGGAGGGCCTGAGTTCTAGAAGCTGAGGCCTGAGGGTGAAGCAGGAGGGCGAGGGGACCACTTTGCTGGTGGAAGCCACCCTCCAGCTGGCCCTGCTTGTTCTTGGCTCATTGTCCTGCTCCAGGCCAGAAATGGCTCTTGGAAATGTAGACAGCTCTCAGCTCTGTGCCCTAAAGGGGTTTATGCTGATGAAAACACTACCAGTGAAGTAATAGTTCCCGTAGATGTCCAGCACACCCTATGGGGGGCCTGGGCCAAGTTCTTGCAGGCATCATCTCTTTTAATTGTCCCAAGACCATGAGGTGGGCATGGCCCCACAGGAGGGAGCAGAGACGCGAGAGGTCAAGTGAATTCTCCAAGGCCACACACTGAACCCAGATGGGTTTGATTAGGAACTCTTCCCTGGCCTGGTTGCCTGCTGGCAGTCCCCTGGCTGAGGAGAGTCCACTCCTACAGAGAAGAAAGCATCTTTCAAATATTGGAACATACATTTAAATTTTTTATTTGGGAAAAATTTTAAATTACAGAGAAACTGCAAACAAAAATAATCCAAAGAATATCCTTGTATTCTTATATCTCAGTTTTACCTGCTGTTAACATTTTACAGCACTTGCTTAATCATTTGTGTTCTTTCTTACACACACACACACACACACACACACGTGTATTTCCTGAACCATTTGAAGGTAAGTTCACCCCTACATACTTCAGCATGTGTTTCCCAAGGATAGGTATATTCTCTGACATAATCATAGCATGGTTGACCAATACATTTAACATTTATACAACACTTTAATCTAATCTATTCTTTGTATCCCGATTTTGTCAGTTAACTTCATAATGTTCTCCCCAGCATTTCTCCCTCAAGTAGATCTCATCTAGGGTTGGATATTGCATTTAGTTGTGTCTCTTTATCTCCTTTAATCTGGAACCTTTTCACAGCCTTTCTTTGTCTTTTATGACATGGACATCTTTGAAGAATACAATGCCCCCACTTATTTGTAAGACAGTATATTCCTCATGTTGAATTTGTCTGATGTTTCCTCTTGATTAGAATCCAGGTTATGTATTCTTGGACAGAACCCTGCATAAGCCCTCTTGGTTCTTCTCAGGGCATCATCAGGAGGCCCTCATTGGTGATGTTAATTTTGATCCCTCAGTCCAGGCAGTGTCTGATTTCTCCATTATAGGATGATTTTTTTTTCTCCCTTGGAACTAGCAAGTGGTCTATGGGGAGACATTTTAAAACCATGCAGTACCCTGCTCCTCATCGGTCTCTCCCTAGATGTAGCACCCATTGATGACTTTTGGCCCATCCAGTCATTAACATGAGGTTGCACAATGATGCATTTCCAACTCCAGCACTGCCTCCATTCTTGCCAATGGGCCCTTTGCATTCTACTGTAAGCAACAGAATGTTTTTATTTATTATCTGCATAGAATGATGAACTCTGGTTTTTCCAATGGTTTAGTATTTCTCACCTATGATATTTTAATACACCACTATCCCTATTTTGAGTATGTTCTTACTTTCTGGTATGAGAAGAGATTTCCAGGCTTATCTTGCACCTACCCTGCACCAGCCCTGGCATCAGTAATTTCTCTGGGGGGCTCTGGTTCCTTTTAGCGAGGAATGGTATTAGACATCCAGATCTGGGTTTGCTCGTTGCTGGGTATATTTGCACCTTGGCCCTTTCAGGGGACAAAACACTAGGAAATACATGCATCCATACACCTATACATCCATGTACTATTCACCCATACACATGCACATACACTGACATATTTGTATTTTAGAAATTGTGAATCCATACCAATACCTCTGATTCCAATCCATTTCTACATGGTTGTTTCCTGCCTTCCCCATCTCATAATTACATGTCCTTCTTCAGCAGTGAAACCTCGGCTCCCCAAACTGTCAACAAAATTCACTCCTTTGCTCATCCTATATTACATCTAAAAATACTCTCAGAATTGTTTCACCCAAATCACTACAACCAACAAACCTTCCTCTCATCCCCACCTCACCATGCCATGTTCATAAATTACTAGGATTAGTCTTTCCTTCCTGATTTTTTCTGTCCTTCAGTGTGGTTATAGTATTTATTTGAACTACAGTTAGGTTCCTTTTTTTTCAGTTTGAGGGATTTTTTTCCTTCTCATTCTTATTAAATTAATTTTTAAAAATATGTAGGACATGAACATGCTTTCAGAAGTCAAATAGAAAGGTACAGTTGGAGATAGAAGGTTTAGTTGGAGATAGAAAGGTATAGTTGGAGATATACAGAAAGGTATAGTTGGAGATATGTCACTCTCCTCTGTAACCCATTGCTTCCTTGTAGGTAACCAATTTAATTGTTTTCTGCTTATGCATCTATTTCTTTGTGTAAAGAGAAGCAAAATTATATGTTGTCTTATTTCCCCTTCTTTCTCACAGAAAAGGTAGCACTATATATAGATAGATAGGTAGGTAGGTAAATACAGATTTAGATGTATTTACATTTTACTTTATTCATTCAGTAATATTTCCTGGCAGTCACTTCATATCAGCCCATAGAGGTCTTCCTCACTCTTTTTTACAGCTGCATAATACTCCATCGTGTGTATGTGTCATGGTTTATTCACTTGCTCTCTTACGGATGACCACTTAGGTAGCTTCTCATATTCTGCAATTACATAATGCTACAATGCTTGTGCATGTGTGTTTCATATGCTTGGGATTCTAAAAATGGGATTATCAAGTTGAAGAGGATGTAGTTTTGTTAGGCGTTGCCAGATTCCCCTCCATGGGGTTGTGTCAGTTGCATTCCTGTTTTCCCACGACCTTGCCAACAGACGTTATTGTCAAGTTTTGGAATTCTTGCCAATCTCACTGGTAAGAAATGTTATCTCATTATAATTTTAGTTTTCATTTTTTTATTATGAGTGAAGTTGAAAATTTTTCATATGTTTAATGATCATTTTTAATATTGCCTTTTGTGAATTGTCTTTATATCTTGTCCATTTGCTATTGGGTTTTTGGTTCTTTGTCCCTCAATTTTTAAGAATCTTTTATATACTAAGCCCTTTGTCTATGATATATGTGACAAATATTTTCTCCCAGTTTATTATTTGCCTGTGACTTTACTTATGGGATTTGCCATATAAATTTGTTTGTATAGTCAAATTATCCAATCTTTTCTTCTTACAGCCAGGTTATAGAAGAATTCACCCATGTGGAAACGTAATTTTTAATGGCTATACAGTGCTAAACCATAATTTTCATATAGATTCTAAAAGATGAATTGGAATTCCAGGTTGATGGGGTGGAGGATGAAGGAGGGCAGATGGGGAGCCAATTTGGAAGCTGGAGCAAGCCCTGTTGATTTTAGGATGGGGACAGGGGACAAGTGGTGTCTGCCCTGTAGTGATGGACATTCACACGAGGCATCAAGATCAGTCCCCGTGACACAGTCCAGTGACAGGACCTACCAGGAAGGGCTGTGGACTTTGGAGGAGGGAGAGGTCCTTTGGGTTGGGCATTGAGTCTCTGGGGCAGGGCCAGGACAAGGATGAGGCAAGTGAGGCACTCAGTGTAAAATTTAAGGAGGTGCTCACTCTCAGGAGCATGCAAGTGCAGGCCTGGCACCTGACAGTGAGTGCCTCCTTAAATGTGGTGCCCTAGGGCCTCACCTGCCTCCCACTACTGCCTACTCTTCCTTGGAGAGAAGGATTTGCCAGGCCTTGGAAAGATACAAGTTGAATGGATGGGAAGGGGGGACGTATCATAGGCCCTGAGACTGTGTGTGGGAGAAGCAGTCCATCCATGAGGGACTGGCCCAGTTAGGAGTGGTGCGGTGCTAGAAGGGTGGGCTGGGAGGAGTTTGGATTTTATCCTGAAGGTCCTGGGAAACCACTGCAGGACTTTAAGAAATTATGCCAAACTGGGGGAAATGGGGATGATAACAGCCACTTCCCAGAGTTAATATCAAGATTAAATGAGATAATCCACATAAACCTTTTCAGTTGGCGTGGGGCCTGATGTGGAGTGGATGCTTAATCATCATGAGTTTCTTGGACTTTGAGGGGATCTACTGATTTTCTTAATCAGGTTTTGGGTCTAACAGCAGAACTGTTCAAATCACAATGTAGGAATAGAAAATTAGCAAAACCTGAAGTAAACTAACTGTCCACTCCTGTCTGGCAACATCTTGGGAAGAGGAAGATGGCATGTTCAAGAACTAGAGGAAAGTCGGAGCTTTCAAGTTGCTCCAAGGCCTCCATTCTCAGAACAGAAACCAAGGCCTGGGAAGGCTCTGCAGTGAGTTACTCTGCAGTGAGTTCATGGCTGTGCCAGAGGCTGCTGTTCCACCCCACAGTCCCCTCCCACCACCCCCTAGACAGTGCCTGTGCTCCTCTGTCTCTGCAGGAGGCCTTCCCGACAGTCTGTGTCTCCTCCCTGAACTGTGCTGACCCTGAAAACAGAAAAAGCGAGAAGCAGACAGGACCAGGCGGCCCTTCCCACCCCTACTGTGGCAGGCTGGCCTGGGACAGAGCAGCAAGTCCAAGGCCCTCTTCGCCCCGGGCCAGCTCCCTGAGGGAGGGGCCGCCCAAGGAACTGAGGGCTATCATTGCCCTCGACTTGCCAGCCCAGTGAAGGCCATTCCCTGTGGCCCCGTGGGTCACGTCAGTCAAGTGTTTGGGAAAAATAAGTGTGCAACGATGTGGCGGGTGCGTCCTTCAGAGCTCGCTGGTCTCCCTCTCCCCCAGCTCCCACTGATGGAGGCCAGGAGGTCACCCGAATCTCCCAGACACACTCATGGAGACAGGGCACACAGACTCCGCTCCCAGCTCCCAACCCTTCTACCTGCTTCAGGCCTGCAGCTCCGGCTGAGAAACCTAACAGGTCCTGGGCAGATTCCCAGCCGCCAGCCCTCCGTGCCCCCCTGCCTGCTCCACCAAGCTGTGCAAATGGCTGCCTGACGGGCCATCATGACATTTAAGGGCACTGGGAAGCCCCTGATGCAGACCCATCTTCCCACCCATCTTCCCACTAGCTTAAAATCCATCCTCAATGCGTCCTTAGCCTCATCATGTCCTGTCTGTGGCCGAATCCACTGCCACCTCTTCCCAGATACCTTTCTCAAACTACAGAGGAACAGTGACCTTCTTCCTCTGCCTGCAGCCTACACAATAGGTTTCAGCTTTGGGTGCAGGCCTGGCCACGTCTGTTTCTTGTCCCAGGTAGCTGTGAACAAAACTGTCTGCCTCTTTCAGTATGAACCACCCAAGAGCTGGAGCTACTTCTTATTCGACTTTGAAATCCCCAAATGCGTGGACTGAGTGGCTGACATGAAAACAGAAAGACCACAGTCTTCAGAGACTGGAAGGATTAAGCTTGAAGTCTGGCCTGATACTTGCCAAGTGGCTTCAGGGAAGCCACTTAAATTGTCTGAGCCTCCATTTTCTCATCCATTCAATAGGATGATGGTATCTACCTTGCAGGGCTGTTGCCCCACATAAAGTAGTCAGAGTGCCCAGCCCAGGAGCTAGGACCCGGCAGGCACCTGTTGCTTCATTCACAGATGCCTACTGTGTGCCTGCTCTGGGCCAGCCTCCAGGGCAGCCATGGAGACAGCAAGCTAGGACTCAAGCACAGTTCCGGAAGCCTCTGCTGAGAGCCCTCTGTCTGGGTTGTGCTGGGGCTGGGGCTGCAGGAATGGGTACAGCATCCTTGCCCTCCAGGCATTAATGGTCATTCCCATCATGGGCACAGTGGATTTTCCAGGCTCCTTCCAGCCGCATAGTTGCTGAGATCAGCTCCTAGAATTTGGTGATGGATGATTCCTGGGATATTCTTCCTAGAGTGAAGGGCCTGGCCTAGGTAGGGGAAGTGAGGGCTGGAAGGAGAGAGGAATTCAGAAGAAAGAAGGCTGAGTGCCTGACCTCAAAGAGTGCCCAGTGTGGCATGCCCATTGCTCTCCAGGAGGGGGTGAGATGGCCAAAGCCAGCCTGGATTCCTCCTTTAGGGAAAATAGGTATCAGCCAGCTCGGGGAAGAAGCCACAAGCTGGGCTTTGTCCTCTTGTTTAACTTGGGGCCAGGCCTGTGAGCACTGGACCATGGGGCTCCAAGGCTCAGGCAGGGCCAGAGAAAGAGTTAAGTGAGACCTGGTGCCATCTTCTTCTACTGCCAAGGGAGTCTCTGAGTCCAGGTCCAGCAGATTGGGACCTACCAACCTTAGGTTCCAGATTCTAATGCCCCACTTTCAGGTAGGTGGCTGGTAAGAGACAGTTGAGTGTAGGCTATAGGCAGAACCCAGGGCACAGCTCCTTGTGGGATCAGAAAGTGAAGGGTCCCTGCCCTGTGGGGCAGGGGGAGGGCTAGTCCTGGCGAAGGCACCACACTCCCATGAAAGGCCTGGACAGCAACCACAGAGGCCTCTGCAGTCGTACAGGGGCGGGGGGTTCTCGGTCATCTGTCAGTGCAGAGGGGACAGGTGCAGAGGAGTGGGGTGGGCCTAGTGAGGTGAGTGAACTGAGGAAGGCTCTGGGAGAGGCACCTGCGGATCCCAGGCTTTGAATGACTTCATAGGTGTGGAGGGGATCTCCCAAGAGTACCTGCTTACTCTGTTAAGGTGTCAATGGCTCTTTTTCTCCTCCTGGCCTCCTCTAAAGGTCTGAGGACCAGTGGGAGGGCTGGCCCCATCCCCTAATCCAACATCCCAGCCATGTCTTCCTGAACATGTCTGAAAATGCTCATCCCTGAGGCTGCCCCGGGTTTGGTGAGCTCCTCTGGGTGGGAACTTTCTTTGTGTTCATGATGCCTCTCTGCCTCCCCTCAAATCCAGCATTTCTGCAGGTGGGTGGATCTCAGAGACCCCAGCTCTCACCTCAGTCTGCGCATCCTTCTCTGGAGAGGCTGCCAGGCCCCCCAAGAGCTTTGATGGATGAGTCCCTGTTCAGGTCCAGATGCCCCCTGCAGAATAGGAAGACTGGATACTAGTTAGCCCTTGGGGTGTGGGTAGAGGGCTTCTTTGGCACAGGCCTGGCAAGCAGGTGCCCATCATTCAGCACAGTAAGAATGCTGAGGCAGGGTCTTTGGTCCACTTGCTGGTGATATAGTGGAAGGCAGTTAAGCAGCTGGGAACCCCATCACCCCAATGCACAGGCCATGAGGGCACCCTTAAGGCGGATTTTGCTGGGGGAAGTTGGCCTTTGTGGGGAGTGCAGTTCCAGTGTGGCTTTCAGTGAATAGATAATGAAGTGACATTTTAATTGTGTTTCTGTTAGGTCAGGAGAGGTGAGGGGTGGGAGAGTAGATGGAGTCAGGGAAACACAGAGACCTTCTGTCCACTCTCCCTCATAACAGAGAGAACAGAGACTTTATCATCCAAAATGGGATACTTTTGTGCTTGCTTCAGCAGCACATATACTAGAATAGGAATGATACAGAGAAGATTAGCATAGCCCCTGTTCAAGGATGACACGCAAATTCGTGAAGCAGTCCATATCTTTAAGAAAAAAAAGGGACACTTTTGATAGTAAAAGTGGGCATTATTATAATCGTAAGAGAAAACAGATGTGAAATGGGACTTTCCCTGGAAAACACGAGACTTCATGAGCCAGTATGCTTGGCTGTGTTTTCTCCTCACCATTTGCCCTTGATAAAGAAGAAAGTGGACGGCACAGTGCTTGCCAGGTATTAATGGGTCATATGGCCCATGGCAGGACACTTCACCTTTCTGACCCTCGGCTCCCTCATCCATAGTTTCCTTCATTCATTCTGTAACTATTATTTTGTACCTTCCATGTGCAACACAGTGTGCCAGGTGCTGCGAGTTCAAAAGTGACGATGGCAGGGCCCCAGTGCTGTTAGCTTCCTGGGGTCCCTGACCTCTCCGGAGACACAGCTCTAGCCCATGAAGTCGTGTGATCTAGTTTGGGGAGCTGAAACCGTTAAGTAACAGAGGGTAAGGCTGTCTCTGAAATATGTCCAATCGAGTGGTAAGGACAATGGTAAGGCAAGGGGACTGGGAGGTGAGGAGTACTGTGCCCATTTTATGGAAGAGGAACCCAGGATGCAAAAAGATGGGACAATGCGTGCAGGAGCATGCAGTAGGAGGTAGAATCCTAACCCGCATTGCCTGAAAATAAAGTCAGTGCACTTTCTTACCTTTCTATTGTGTAGCCCTTGCCTGCTCCCCATGCCCCATGCAGCCATCTGGACAGCAGACCCTGTGGTACACACAGACCCCCTTGGGGACAGGGCAAGTGCCCCAGACCAGTTGCAACATTCACCAAGGGCTGCCAGGGGTGTCTTACCTCAGCCACTTCCCTTCTGTTTGCTCAGATTCCACAGCTGAGAAGTTGATCCAATAAATCTTCTGCTTCTAATCTTCCAGAGAGGTGAGGGTCAAGGAGAAAGGTGTGATAAGTGTTCTGAGCTGCTCTGAGAAGGGGGATAGGCATAAGAAGCCATGTTTATGCCTGATTCAAGAGACAGAAGACCAACATTATCCTTTACGCAACTTCCACGAAAATATAAACTAGAACATTGTCCCAAACATGGAAAATGATTTGCTGAGTCTTCCAGGACAGGTGATAAGCTTTCAAGTCCTCTAGCTCTTTAATCTAGTGTCCCTTACCTACAAGATCTGCCTTCCCCTATTTCTTCTTCAGCACCTAAGAGTTGGTGTTTACATTTTATTAATAAAAATCATTGGTGAGATTGAGCAACTTAAATCATGTTAGTGGACATTTATATTTCATGTTCTTCCTTATTGATGTATAGGAGCTCTTTGTATATCGTAGATTTAAACCTATGTCTGTAACTTATAATGCAAATATTTTCTCCCAGTCTGTTTTTAACTTGGATTGTGGTATTTCTGTAATCAAATCCACCACTTTTCCCCCTTATAACTTGTGGGGTTTGTTTCATGTTTAGAAAAACCTGCACATCAACCACATATTTGTCTAACAAAAATTTGCCAGTTTCCAGATCTGAAAACTTTGGTGCAGGGATCCCAGGAGGTTGCCTTGCAGCAAGTAAGCCTTTTCCAAGGACCTCTTTGCAGGGAGCCTCTGACCGAAAGGCCCAGGACAGCTTAATCAGCCGGGGCCTCACCCTGAACCCTCACACAGCACCTGGGCTCTTGCCAAGCTCTGCCCTTTGCTCCCCATAGGTTGGAGCCTGATAAGAAGCTCAGTGAAGCGAATATTGACTGTGGCACCCTCAGAGTGTGTTGTCCTGGTCACCAAGGCCAAATCAAAGCATGCGGACTTGTTTTTCCTTTTGATAGTCCTTTCCCCTCCCTTCTCTCTTCCCCACACTCTGAAAGGGATCTGAAACCCTACTAAAGCTGTTTTATGTGGGCAGGCACCTTTATCCGACTGTTGCTGCTCTTATGGAAAACTTTTCACAGAGCTGAATACAGAAAATGATCTTTTCAAACATACCGTTCTGTGTAATTTTATAAGCTCTGTAGTCATTGCTCTAGCATCTTCTCAAAGAAACCTTGAAACCCTGTGGCTGCTGTGTTATACAAGAAGCAAGAAACTCGGGTAACCAGAAAAGGACTATTAATCCTGTTTGGGCTCATCCTCACTAATTCATTGTTTCTGGCAAGGGGGAGAAAGGTTGCTTTGAAAAGCTTCTTGGAAGGACCCAGAGTCTACTGGCGCATGCGCGTGTGCACGCGCGCACACACACACACACACACACACACACACACACACCCTAGCAATGCAGTGGCCTGCATTTAACATTTCCAAATAGGTAACTCAAGTGTTAGGTCTGTGCTGAGTCTGGTTGCCTTTGATGTCCCCCATACCTTAGTGCCACAGGCTTTCAGGGTGCATTTCTTTGTTGGGGTGCAGGGCTGAGTAACAGTTAACGCCAAAGAGAAAAAGCAAGAGATGGGAGGCCCCAGCACAGGAGCAGCTGGAAGGAGGAAAGAGCTGGGCCAAAGGCTCAGAATGGCTGAGTTCTGGCGCCAAAGGGTGAAAAGGGCAGAGGAAATGGGTAGGCTGGGGCCTGTGGGAGGGGCAGGTTGGACTGGGAGGGGAAGTGAAGGCGGTTGTGAGAGATCACTTGTCCGTGGAAAGCTTTCAAAGTGGAGATTCAGGAGTGGGCGGGAACCCTGGAAGGGTGGAGGAAGGGTCTGGATATTGCCTCCGGCCAAGGAAGGACCGGACACAGGACTACCTCCGGATGGCCATTGTGCAGAGAGCAGGCACAGACAGCTTGGGTAGAAGGGCAGCACGAGGTTCTGAAGACCAGAGAAGGGCAGGGCTGAGCAGGCTCTGCTTTGTGCTTCCAGCTGAGGTTGAGGTCAGAGGAAGAGGCCTCTTCCTGGGGCTGGGGGCTGTGAGTGGGGAAACAGCCTCAAGAGCTTCCCCCCCGCCAGTAAGGACAACACAACTGAGCCACCTTCTAGCTTAGGAGGTGCCCAATAGGTGCCAGAGGCTTGTTCCAGTGTGGACAGCAGCTTCCAGGCACACTTCAGCAAAACCATCACCAAATGTGCCCAATATGGTCCATCTACGGCTCGCCCCTGGCTGCCTGTGGCAGTGTAGTGCCCAGGCCCCTGGACGCTTTGGGGGTCACTCCTTGGCCCGTCTCCCTGCTGGAAACTCCTTTTTCTTGCCCCCTAACATGCTGCTTCATTGGTCCTGTCCGTATCGCTGAGGACCAGGCCAGGTGCTTCTACCTGCTGGGGACCAGGGGACTCTGAGCTTCCACAGGACTGGCCCTCCCTGTGATGACATCACTCATGTTGGGACTCCCACCCCAACGGCATTCCTGGGAGGGAGGCAGGGAGAAACCGGGGGTCTGAGAAGCTGAGAAGTCCAGCTTACTGGGGAAAAGAGTTAACTCTGCAGACACAAAGGGCAACAAGATATTGTGTGATTCTTCTTCTATGAAGCATCCATGATAGGCAAATTCTTCCTACCCAGTGTTCTTATTTCTCCCAAAATAAACAAATAAATAAATAAATAGAAGAAGCAAATTCTTAGAGATGAAAAGTAGATTAGTGGTACCAAGGTTCAGAGGAGGGGAACGTTGGGAAGTTATTGCTTAACAGTTACAGAGTTGTTTGGGTTGATGAAAAAGTCTTGGAAATAGTGGTGATGGTTGTACAACACTGTGAATGTACTCAATGCCACGGAATTTCGCCTTAAAATGGTTAAAATAGCAACATTTATGTTACACATATATAAATATAAACATTTACCACAATTTAAAAAAAAATTATTCTCCTATGAAGAAGTAATCAAAGAGCTCAGTCAAAAAAATCTGGGAAAAACGTATTATGCAGTGTGCCAGACAGGCAGGCCATACTGTTAATAAGAATATCTGGTCATTTTAAAAAGAGGGAAAGATCAGCTTTGAATCCAGGCCCTACTAGCTCGGCATGCAGGCCTCTCCCCACCCTTTACCCAAGTTTCCTCATCTGTAAAATGAGGCTTACGTGGCGAGAATATGTGTGCTGGTCACAGAGCTGTGCAGACCCTGCAAAGAGGGGCTGTTGTGGTTACGATGTTCAAGTTCCCCATTCCTATTAAGCAGCTCAAGTTCTCAGAGCCAGGAAGGGGATTCTTGTTGGCTGGACTCCAGGGCTTTATTTTGAAGTTAACCTTGAGGGCATAGCATTTGGTAGTGGGCGGGGTGTGGAAGGAGCAGAGGTTGGGGGGCGGTGGCGGTGAGGGACAGGAGCTTTTGAAAGCTCATTGCACAACAGGAACAGAGGGAAAGGCTTTGTCTTCAAAGGTGTCCCAGCAGTTACAACAAGGACTAGAGCAGGTGCTGATGAGGCCGCAGTTTGGGAGTCTGATCCCTAACAAGGCCAGGTCCCCTCTCTCTGCCCAAGTTTGCTCTCTGAATACAGAGGAGGACTTGGGCCATAGAGTATGGGCAGCTCCGCAGGGCGATTCTTGCTCATCACTGGACACTCATTGTCTCTGAAGGACGGGCTACGTCGGAGTGTTGTCTTAGATTCGAATGCATGAGGAACTGGAATAATCAGTAACATTTCTCCCAGACAGAGCTGCTCTAAGCTGTGGGCCAACAGGAGGCTGGGAGCTCTCCTCTAAATTGCTTTGTGACCTTGGACAAGAACCCTCCCCTTCCTGGACTGCAAATTTCCTCCTCTGTAAAATGAAGGGTTGGTGAGTGTCCCTGTAATGCTGGGATTTTGTAACCATACTTGTTTGTGGGAATGTGTTCAAGCACAAGGTGATCTACCTCTTGATCAGCAACAGGATGTATAGAATTGTTTTGGCTTAAGATTTCCTAAGAAGTAATATAACCCTGCTCCCTTTGCCAGCTGGGTGACCTCAGTCAAGCTACTTGACCTTTCTGTGTCTCTCTATTTTCATTTGTAAAATAAGGACAACAACAATCCCAACTTGGTGGGATGTAGGGGGTGGGGGCTCGTGGTGAGGACTAAATGAGTTAATATGTCTAAAGTCATCTGAACAGTATCTAGTATACAGTAGGTGCTTAATGTCTGGAGCTCCTTCCAAGTGCACAGCACTTACAGTGGTTAAGTTATTCACACTCTAGGTTATGCTGAGCTTTCTGAGAGATCCAGAGAAGGCAGGGAGGCCCATTCTCTGCATTCAAGGGGCTTACTAGCCTTTACTTAGAGATGCAAAAAAAAGCGCTTATGAAACAACAGCCAACAAGAAAATGCATCATCCAAGTGCTGGAGGGGTCCTGGTGGGTTAAAGAAGGAGGATCACGAGGTAAGCACTTGATCTGAACCATGGGTAGACAGGGAGACAGAAGGGAAATCTAGCAGATGAGTATGTTTGTGTATACATATGTATGTGTGTGAGTATGAGTGGTGTTGTGACTGTGTGTATGGGTTAACATGAGAGTGTGTGTATGTGCATGTTTGCCAAAAGAGCATGAACAAAGGCTTACCCTGGAATGAGAAGTCTGAGTCTTCAGCTCCCCTAGGCAGCACCACATTTTGTGGTTGTGTTGCGGCCACATGCTCCTCTCCCGCTTGTTGCTGGGACCGGGAACATGCCTGCCTGTGAGTCCAGGAGCAAGCCCTTGTGCATAACCCGGGGTGTGATTAATTTAATTATTTCAAAAGCCCCTTTGGTATTTCATGAGGGTCATGCCCCTGGCTGTGGGCTTGAATACAACTGCAGCAGGTTTCAATAAAATCAATTAATTTAATTTGATTTGGTTTTATGTACTTGGAGTTGGTGCCTCTTGAACTCAGTATGAAAATTATTGCAGAATAAAAATGCATATTAGTACTCAGAGCCCACTGTCCTTGGACTCTTCGTGGAGCCTGCAGTGCTGATCACAAAGGCAAATCCCCTCTGACCTGGCAGGAGCCTCCGCCAACTGTCCACCTAGTTAACCCCCTCCAGCTCCAGACAGTGCTTATGGCAGCTCCTGGGCTGTTTGGAGTGTTCTTCTCACTTCCCAAAGCACTTTCTTATCTGGTAGTGAAGCTAAGGCATTTCCATTTTGCATTCGTGAAATGGACTCAAAGAGACTTTGGATGGCCTTGGTCACTAGCTTACTGGTTTTTTTGTTGTCCCTCTTAATGAAACTAATTGAAGCAATATGGTGCAGTGGATTGAAAGGCAGCTCTGCCTCTCAAGAGACACATGAATTTGGGCAAGTCCTTTCACTTCTCTGGGCTTTCTTTGTCTGTAAGAGGGCTGGACATCTGCTTGAAAGGCTGATTCCAGCTGTCAGAATCACACAATCAGTGGGACAGCTGGTCTTCCTGAGCTACTTTGGGGAGCCTGTCCCACTGTTAAGCCCCACTCCATTTCCATTTCATCCAAGAGGGCTCCCAGCCAGTTCATGGAATGGGTGATGGGATTGAAGATGGGCCCTGCACTCTCCAGGAGTGGCTTCTCCCCCACATTGCTACGGATCAGAGCAAATGTTGCTTTCAAGAAGGGAGGAGCTCAGGGGCCTAGAAAGCATCTGACCAGCCCACTATTTTACAGATGAGGGAACCCAGCTTCAGAGTCACACAGCCACTGTCCAGGGCCATGCTCATGCCCAGCCACATTCACAGTTATTATAAAGGGGGGAGATTTTGCTCAGGGCTCATTTTCCAACTGTCCTTTTCATTCTTTTCTCCTGTCAGGATGGGAGAGAGATGGCCAAGCCATCTTTGGGGCCTCTCCAATAAAGCAGATGCTGACATCAGTCATTCCAGCGCCCCTACATCCCTTCTCAGGCCCAGTAGCTGCCGCTTCACTGAGGACCAACGGGCCCCATTCGGAAACATCCCCCACCAGTGCCTGACATCCCACCCTTAGCAGTTTCATTCTCCTAGACAGGAGGGCCTGCCCTCCCTCAGCCCTTCCTACTGACTGCATGCTGAGCATGAACGTTCATCCTCCTCAGTGACATTTTTCTCCCATAGGTCTTACCTGCCCAGAGCTCTTCTGTAGCAGAAACTGAGCCTGTCCTCTCCATCCTGCGTCTCTTATTTACTGAGAGGCACTATTGTGTGCTGAGAACTGCCCTGGGCACTCCCTGTACATTATCTCATTGAATCCAGCATTGGCCCCGGAAGATGGGCATTACGGTCCCTATTTTCCTGTGGGGGAACTTCAGCTCAGAGAGGAGACAGAATTTTACAAGGTCACACACAGCTATGAAGTGACAGGGCCAGGATTCAACCCCACATCTAACTCCAAGACTCTTGGACCATACCATGTGATCTCCCTCGTGCATAGGAGGTGCTTAACAGATCCTTAATGACCATGTAGCCAATACATCCCTCTGCCAAACCCCAAATGTGGGGGAAGAGGTAATAATAGTAACAACTGTCTATGAAGTCCCTATTATGTGCCAGGCACCAAACCGCAGCACTCAGTGAGGTGAATACTATTACTATCTCAATTTTACAGATGCAACAACTGAGGCATAGAGAAGTCACTTGCCCAAGGTCACCCAGCAGGTAGGTGAGCTGGGCTTCAGTGCGGCCCTGCCTCTGAGGTGGAGTCCCTGCCTCCACTGTTGCTGGATCCTCCTTTAGCTCCCCGTGGCTCTGTTTCCGGTAGAAGGTAGAAGGCTGCAGGGAAGGAGGCTGGGGCCAGGGGTGGTGTTTGCGCCTCGGGGACGCCTGCAGCTGGCACTGCCCTCCACCCAGCTGATAACTACAGCCGGGTCTGGCACGAAGCCCTGCCTGGAGGTGGGCGGCCTGCGGCGGCGGGGGGTCTGGCTCTGCGTTCGCCCCTCTCAGCCCCGCCTCGCCCCCTGCGGGGTCAGTGCGGGTCCCGCCCGCCCGGGCAGGCGCCGGCCTCTCAGGCGGTAACCGGGTAACCGTGGGCAGGGGCGGTGCCGCGCCGGGCCGCGGCCTCCCGGGGAGGCGGGCGGGTGGGGAGGTCGAGCTGGAGCGATGTGAGAATGCGGAGGAGAGGCCCGGGAAACAGGCTGCGGCCGCGGGGAGGGGCGCCCGGGAGGAGGGCGATGGCTCCCGCAGGAGGAGAGAGAGGCCGCGGGGGCGCAGAGTGGAGGGAGAGGGCGGGGCGCCCGGGAAGGGGCGGGGATAGAGGAGGGGCCTCCGGAGCGGGGCGGGGCTGGGGCGGGGCGCCCGGGCCGGGCCGGGCCGGGCAGCCGAGTGAACGCTGCAGGAAGGGGGCTGCGGGCAGGCACGGAGTCCGGGGCGCTTGTGGCCGGGCGGAGCGGCTGTGGTTGCTTCATGTCCCGGATTCTGCTTTCTCAGAGGTCAGGCGAGTGGGGCCGGCAGGGAGAGAAAGGTGGGCGAACCAGTCTGAACAGGCCGGGCAACTGGAGGAGCGTGGGCCCGGCGAACTGGGGTGCTGCCCAGCACCCTCTACCCTCACCACGCTCGGGAATTTTTCGTGAATCCGCCCCGTTGGTTTTACAGTTTCCTCTCATCCCGGCCCCACCCTGTCTCCTGACCCGCCCTCCCTTCCTCCCCTCTCTGAGCTGGCTCTTCCAAGGGATCGGTTAGCCAAAGGGAGGCACCAGCTCTTTCCCTGGACTCTCCCACTCCCAGCCCTCCTGGAGAACTCAAATCTTGCACGTGCTCTTTCTCTTTCCCTGCCCCCGTCCCCCAGGCCCTCTGGGTCTTGGTGAAGGAGACCTTGAGTCAGCCCAGGAGGCCCTCCCTCCCCCACAGCCCCCTTTAGGGTCCCTTCTGGGTCCCCCCCACCTCCTCCAGCCCCAAGCACCCAGGGCCCACAAGCTGCCAGGCCTCTGCTGGCAGGCAGGGAAGACCCAGGCAACCTTAGAAGGGTGGGAACCACACCCTTCTCATGGCTGTGTGCGTTTTGCTTGAAGGTGTCTGCAATCAAAGACGACCCCCCACTGCTCCCCCGGCACTGGAAAAAAAAAAAAAAAAAACTTGTCTCAAATGGTGGAATTCCAGATGCAGGACCCCAGATTTGGGGGATAGGGAGCAGATATTTGGGACAGGGGAGGCCTTTCAGGGATCCCTCATATCACATCAAGAAGGCCACCTGGCCCCCCTCAGACTGCCACTGCCCTCTCAGGTGTCTCTCCCTGCGGCCAGTTCAACTTCTCACTCATCCCAAGGCTGTGAGTTCTTACATTTTCAGGTAGCAAACAGGTGCCCTTACTATGGCAAGGGGGAGATTGGTAGGTTGCTGAGCTTGTGTTTTCTACAAGCTTGGAGCTCTTTGATCAAGATTGCCACTATTTATACATCAGGGATGTTATTTAATAGATCCAGGATCTTTATTATTTAACCGGGATCTTTAACAGCTGGACCACAGGCATCCTCAGCCCAGTCCTGGGTTTAATAGATGAGGCCCTTGAGACCCAGAGCGGGAGATGACCTGCCCAAGATCATACTACTAGTTAGTGGCAGAGCTGGAACTCTGACTAGCCTCCCAGCTCCTCATCCCAGCGTGCCTGCTGTTATACTGTGCTTTAATTTTAGGGTAGCTCCATGTTAGGGACCTAGCATAGCACCTATGTGGCACAGAGTAGTTGCTCAGTAGATACCGGTGAGATGCATGAACAAGCCCTCAACAAGAGGACTGGATTAATGCATCTTTTGGAAGAAGTGAGGCTTCCACAGTGCTTGGGATTCTAGCTCCTTGTCACTGAGTGTGCTAGCGAAATGTTTCTCTAGGGTAGTTGGCCAGCAGTGACCCCCATCGGAGCCTGGCATCATCTTTGGTCACTTCAAGCAAGCCCAGTCATTGTGCGGGAGGAGACTGTGGGTCTGGAGGTGGGTCCGAGCATGAGCCAAATTGGCAACTCCAGATCAGAGCGATTAATGCTGTGACTCTTTTCCATTCATTACCCTCAACCAGTATCTGAACAGGTTGCAAAAGACCAAGGCATGTCTGTTCCTGCAGGGGTTCTTGTCATCCTGCGGCCCTGCCAGGCACTGTGTGAAGAGACCACAGCCCCACAGATCCAGAATCTCTGGGGGCTGGAGGCCCCCTGGGCTCTGGGCTGCCCAGCGCTCTGTGAACCTAATGTTCATGCCTCTGGGGTCCTGCCTGCTGGGCATTGACTACTATGGCATGTGGGATGGGGGCAGCACTTTGGTAAAAAGTAAAAGTAGGAGAAATTCAGGTCATTCAGGCTACTATTACCAATTTTAATAAAGTATTTGGAGAAGAAAGAGGGTAAAATGAATGATTAAAATAATATTTTGCATGTAGTAGAAGTTCAGGAACCTCACTGATTTGAAACTTAGGAGAGTTGAGCTTGGCTTTGGTAAAGTTGATCTTTGCACCATCTGTGGACACAGAGGTGATGAATGAATTAGTGTAGGCATGATTTGTAGTAGCAAGAAAGGAACATGCATCTGACTTTCTTGTGATGATGAATTTTGACCAGAAGCAATTCAGCTCCATTCATCTTGGTAAGCCTTTTTATGGGCCACCTTCCAAGTGCCAGGCCCTGTGCTAAATGTCCTGTAAGTATTACTTTATTGAATCCTCGTAAGATCCCTATGAGGTAGGAATTATCATTTTTCCCATTTTAAAGACAAGGAAACTGAGGTTGATTAAGTAGAAGACCACCGGGATTCACACTAGAGCAGTCTGACTCTAGGATCGGTGTGCTTAACCACCACATGTGCAGGTATTTTATGTGTTAGGACAAGGGGAATAGAAAAGGAAAAAATAAATAAATAAGCCATGACCCCTACCCTTCCAGAAGCTTCTGATCTCTTTGGGAAAAGAAAACACAGAATGTGGTTATGCTCCTTGAGGCCAGGAGTGGACTTGACTCTCTGCATCCCCTGTCGCCTCTGAGAAAGGGGCTGAGGAAGATGGAAGTGGAGCAGTTGGCCAGGCCTTCATCCTCTTCCCCTACACTGTATCTCCCCAGCCCCTACCCTCCTCTGGGGAGCTCACCCTGTGTGGGGAGGCCCAGGAATTTGCCTTCAGCTTCATGCTCCCCTGTAGCCTGTCCCTTCCCCCAGCGGCTTCATGCTCACCCCAGATTATCAGTAAAACCAGGTGCCTTCAAAACCTCGAGATGGATGGACAGGGCGGTGAGGTGAAGAAGGCCATGCCTGACACGCTTCACTTGCCATCCTCTGCTTTTGGAGTCTATCTTCTGTTTCCACCAGGGCTGAGCCAAGAACATAGAACACTCTACTTCACTGCCAAATCAATAATAAAAACGGAGTCTTGCAGAAGAGGGCCTAGGAACTAGGAGAAAGTAGGCCCACCCGAGAGCCATTCAGAATTCTGCAGCTCTGGCCCCAGAATGCTTCCTCCAAACTCACAGATGAGAGCCAAAAAGGTCTTTCAAGTTTATCACCCCCACCCCACCCCTCCAAGACCCTCATTTTGCTGAGGAGAACATTAAGGACCAGGGAGGGAGAAGTATTTGCCCTAGAACACACAGCCCCATAGAGGCAGGGCTGGGCTAGAAGCTAGACTCCTGGCTCCTAGACCCAGCTCCTGTGTGTGTGTCGGTGGCTTTGGGAAGCATCATTCCGACCCATGGTCATCCTGTAGCCTGCGAGGGCCAGAGTTATGAGAAAGGTAACTTGTTTCCCTGACATCTTCGCAGCCCTGCCCAAAAGCAAATCACCTGTCGTTCCTGATAGGCACCTTTGGCAGCCACCAAAACAAATCCACCAAAAGCAAAGAGAAAAAGGAGGAACAGGGCTGGGAGCCAGTGTTTGCCCCTGGTGGTAACCTGGGCATATTTAACTTCTCAGCTTGTCCAGACCAGATACCATTTTGTTCCTGCTTGGCACAGATTTATCCAGCCTGTGTGTTCCTTCTTGGCAAAGTCCTCAGAGAGAGAGGAAACAGAGATGGTCCCCAGGGCATCTAGGATGTTTGCCAAGTACCTGCTCCCCACCTCCCTCAAGCCCTATTCCCTCTTTCCATCCCCAAATGACCACCCTTAGTTGATATTGAGTGGGATTGAATTTCTCCCACAGGATGGGGCACACACGTGGTGTTTTGCCATTGTCCCATTTTGGTTTGGGAGTTGCAGAGGCAGGCACTAGGAGTTGATGTGTTTATTTTAGCATGCTTATGTGGCACCTGATATATATGCCAGCGGGTGTTCTAAGCACTTTACAGATATTAGCTCAGGTAATCCACTCAGCTTTTACAGATGAGGAAACTGAGGCAGAGAGAGACTAAAGCATTTGCCTCACGTCACACAGTGAGTGATAGCAGAGCCAGGATGCAGAGTCTGCCTTCGAGTCCCTGCTGTTAAGTGCTGTCTTTCTGCTGGGACTGCCAGGTTCTTGCCATTTTGACAAGTAATATAACCAACTGGGTCTCTGTTTCCTCCTCATAAAATGGAGAGAATAATATTAACTGTCGAGTGGTCACTTTGAGAAGTGTGAAGGGCTCCGCAGACAGAAGGACCACTTCTTATCTGATCATGTTCCCAGCTGGGGTTGGTTTGTCTCCGTTTCCTCATCCGCCCACAGTTAGCAGGCTCTGGCAGCTCTTATTGCCTTGTAGGACCAGTGAGTTCCCAAGGAGATTTCTGGACCCCTTTCCCCATGGCAACCTTCTCATGTTCAACCCCAAGCCAAACCTATTGTCTATATTATTCTATGTTATTTCTATGCTATTTATATTGCTATGTTATTTATATGATTCTTCTTGCTGTTAATGCTTTTATTTATTGAAAAGCTCTCCTCAGAGAGTACCCCCAGGTTATAGGCAAAAGCCACATAGAGGAAGCTGTCTAAGGTCACCCAGAGAACCCTGCTTGACCAGAGTTGGTGGCTCTACCCTCTCCCACCCTTTGAAATGGCAGCTTGCCTACCCTGGACCACTGGTTCACTCTCAGCTAAAATTCTGGCCTGTATTCAGAAGATGCCTTATTCCACCACCAACACTAAAGGTTGGGGAAAGCCTCTGAGTGACAGGCAGGGGCACTGCCTTTCAAACTGCAGCCAGAGAGACCCCTAATGGGGTCCACTCTCCATCCCCAATCCTGGTCTCTCCTCTCTCTTATCCAACATCACTCGCTCTCGGGGAAAAAAAAAAAGTGTTCTAAGGGGGACTTAAACTTTACTTAAATTTGACATTCCCTGCTGTTCCTTTCTGAGTACCTTTATTTTTCCCAGTTGAAGCAAGGAAAGAGAAAAAGGTATAATGATGGAAATGGACAGAATTTGAGTGCAGGAAGTGCCATGAGGCTTCCTATTGTTTGGGCAGTGTTTGATGTTCTTAAGAATGTATACAGAATTAACTTTGATCAACGATAGTAGCTTCAATCTGGTGGCTCCATCGGCCAATGGAAAGTGAGTAGTATTTTATACATGGCAAGGACACAGCCAAGAAAATGAAATGATCAGTTTTGTGTGTATCCCACTTTACTTTTCGAGTGCTTTCCTTCACAGACAAGCTCTAACTGAATCCTCACAAAGATCCTACAAGGCAGGATTTGCCCATTAGACAGACTGGAAAACTGATGCCTCAAAAGAAAAGGGGCGCATTGTGGGTTAGTGAAGACACCTAAAGAACAAAAAAGCGGAGCTCCATGGGACTGTTGTATTTCACCCTCCTCTTGGCTGCCAGCATCTTAGTACTAAGTCTATCGCCATGCCGTGTCACGTGGGCAGGTCTTCTTGGCATTCATCTTGAACATGACCCAAATCCTGGCTCCATCTTCCCTCTTACTTTTCCTTTGCCCCATTTTTCTTCCTTATTTTTTATGTATGTTTACCTTGCCCTGTAGGCGCATTTGTAAGCTGGCTCAAATCCTTTTGGGAACAAGGTGGGTTATAAATGCACACGTTCCTACACAGGATGTTGTTAGTCATTTCATAAGGTCTCTTGTGGAGGAGATTAGCCAATAGCTTCTTTTGTAACCTTAGGCACACCCTCCTTCCATAAGGGTCAAGTGAGAGTATGGGTCTATAGGGTCTGTGAGGGGCCCAGCAACTTTGACAGGCTGAGTATTCTTCTATTTCCAACCCGGTTAGAGTCACACAGTACAGTTTGAGATAAAGTAAGATCTAAAAATCTGGTTTTTCTAGTCTAACCCTAGATTGGTTTGCACTAAACTAGTGGTAGTTCTCAGCCTGCCCAGAGGAGTGAAATATAGAATGCAGGCACATCCCCTTCCTGCAATGAGATGACCACACCACACAAATGTCATAGCACTGAGAAGGAAATCGTTTACATTTCAAAGAAATAAAACCCTATATAACATGTAAAGAATATTAGAGTTGGCCGGGCGCGGTGGCTCACGCCTGTAATCCCAGCACTTTGGGAGGCTGAGGCGGGCAGATCATGAGGTCAGGAGATTGCGACCATCCTGGCTAATGCGGTGAAACCCCGTCTCTACTAAAAAAAAAAAAATACAAAAAATTAGCCGGGTGTAGTGGCGGGCACCTGTAGTCCCAGCTACTCGGGAGGCTGAGGCAGGAGAATGGCGTGAACCCGGGGGGCGGAGCTTGCAGTGAGCCAAGATTGCACCACTGCACTCCAGCCTGGGCGATAGAGTGAGACTCTGTCTCAAAAAAAAAAAAAAAAAAAAAAAAAAAGAATATTACAGTTACAGGGAATCCTCATTTATTTGGCTACCTCTTGTATCTGGGACAGAGCCAAGCACCCGAGAGAAAAATAAAACAATTTTTGTTTGGAACATAGGACAAATGTTCCTGTGACAAAAGAGGTCAGAGAATACATACCCCAGCACACTTCCTTGGGGCCCATGTCACATGGGGCCTATTTGCTCCTATTTCATGCACAATTTTAACATTTAGTTTTCTAGTTTCCAAGCCTACATGGGACCAGATGGCAAATGAGAATATAGGGTAAGGGACTGCTAATGAGAATTCAGTTATGCACCAGCTCTTCCCACATTTGGTGGCTCTAGGAGGCAGCACTGGGTGAGGATTGGCATTGCTGGTGAGAGTTTCTCTGGGTTCCTATTATGCAGACTTGACTTCTTCAGATCTTTTAAACAATTCCCATAAAGAGACTAGGACTTGAGCATTTAGCAGTGGCAATATAGCTCAGAGTGTGACTCATTTAATCAGAGGACACAGATGCCAGCCAGGGGCACTTGCAGGTGAGACTTCAAATGAGGCAGTGGGAAAGGTTGGGATGGAGGGTGAGGGCGAGTGCATTATGGGATGATGCTCACTATAAAATGGCTAGTGAAGAACACAGGGTAAAAAAACTGCCTTTATAATAGAGTCCTAGACACATCAAGTTTTCCATAAGGTGTCTATATTGCTTTCAAGACTTAAGAAGCACAAAGTTTTATTTTCTAAAATGAAAGGAAATGCCAGACCCAAAGGGACTGTTAAGTCGGGAGAGGGAACCCTTAAAGAATTGAACAGGGCAGATTTTGGAGACTGCCATGAAAGAACGGCAGCTATAGGCTTGGTCTTGCTTTTGGTATACAGTCAATGGCTACAATCCTCTGGGGTTCCCCTGCTCTCCCTGGTTACAGCTCGGGCCTTGTCCTGTGCCAGAGAACAGTCCCAGGGCTGTGCCCCTGCCTGCAGAGCACTCCTCCCCCGCTCAGGTATCCCTAAGGCTCTGGATCATCTGTGAGAGCTGGGGTCTATCCTCAGACTGCTTCCTCCTGCCTTGATTGACCTCCTGGCCATTCAGATCCTTGATTGACCTCCTGGCCATTCAGATCGATTCCTGACCCCTGGTCACGCCTGTCTGTCAGGACCCCAGGTGACAGGGTCGCAAGCCCAGAATTGTGCCCAGCCCTAACCCCTGCTTGCTTACTGGGTACATGGGCAGTGTGTTCTGCTGCCAGAGGCCTCTCAGACTCTGCATCCAGCTGTGGCCTTTGGACTTGACATAGCTTTCAGAGACCTCCCTTTCCGAGTTTCCCAGCCATGACCCTGAGCCACAGCCATCACCCTGTCCACTAGTCACTTCCTGACCCTTTCCTCAGAGCTGGCTGTTCCTACAGCCTCCTAGGCCCTGGGGCTTCCAGAACCAAGTTCAAAACCCTGAGAGGGGAAGGACTGAGGGAACCACCATTTTCACAGAGTGTGTGTATTCCCATATTTACTCGAACCTGTCAAGAACATTTCATGAGGCCAGGAGCTTTGACCTCAAAGAACACAGCCAAATTCCAAAAAGATATAGTCATACCTCTGAGTGTATCCTGGAGTGTGTGGCTCAGGGTGGACCAATTCACAGTCCTATGGCCAGTGGCCAGTGCCCCTCTTTTGTAAGACTTTTGAAATTGTAGCAATATTTTTGGATCATTCATCAACATCTTGGTACTGCCTGACATATATAGCCCATGTTTCATCCATGTTTTCTTTTCTTCCCTTCTTCCTTGCTTCCCTTTTTCCCTTTGGACCATGGCAGGAAGCTCCCTGGGTCTTTCTCATGCCCTAATCATCATGCAGACCCCAACAAGGAAGGTTGTACCTTGTACCTTTGTGCCCTGAATTACCCAGGGAGAGGCAGAGAAACAGAAAGAGAGTGGGTGCAATCTAGCTCCTCTCCCTCTATTAGCTGACCTCAGGCAGATCCTCTAAACTTCCTTGTACCTCAGTACCCCATCTGTAAAATGGGCATGCTAATCCTCACCCTAAAAGCTTGTGGTAATGGTGAAATTAAGAAAATGACTATAAAGCCTTTTATATGTTGCCTGGCTCATATTAGATGCTCAGTAACATCTAATGAACAATTAGCCTGGATAATTTCAACTGTATGTGCCTCCCTATGCCTTTAAAGGCAAAGGGAAGAGGAGAGTTTTGATATTCAGAGTCCAGCCCTTTTGTGGAAGACAAAGATGGGGTTGATTCTGACATCCCAACATCACTGCTCTCAAAGGGCATATCTTGCCCAGGCACCAGAAGCCCCAGCTGGGAACCCACCCTGCCTGGCTTCGGGTACCCATTGTTCCACTCAACAGCTGTGTGCTTTGGGGACAGTGACTTAACATCCCTGGGCCTGCATTTCCTCCCTTGTGAAATGGAAGTTATAGTGCTGTCCAAACCACCAGATGAGAAGTAAACAAGATAATACTTGCAAAGCGCTTAGCACAGTGCCTGACACCCACTAAGTGCTCAATAAGGGCTCATCGTGATTATTTTCAAGTGTGTGTCCCATCTTATGCAAGAGACAGCTCTGGAAAAGTTGCGAAACCAAATCCCGTTTTCCCACTAACTGACTTCATCACTGCACCAAGACTTTATCTTTGCCTCTGATCATCTGTGGAGGGCAGTGACTCTGAACACCTCAGCACCAGGCTTCCTGCCTCCTCCCAGCTCCATGATCTCCTTCTCATGCAATGGAAAAATAAGAAATGTAGGTGGCATGAATAATGATTCTTTATGATACCTATTTGTTAAATGTAGATTTGTTTGTTCTATTCATGTATCAATCATCTGTTCTATCTATCATCTGTCCATCAATCATCTATCTGAGAAATGCCACCTATGATTATTTTATCTTTCCCTACCATAGGTAAAACAATATATAATTCATACAACGAACAAATTATAGTTCTAGTCAACAACCTGCCTTTCACCTGGATTTTTTTTTTAACATTTTAGAGGTCATAAACTTTCTTGAAAATTTGATGAATACTAATGGGCTGTCTCCCAGAAAAAGGATCATACTTACATACTTGTACAGTTTTGCATATGGTTTAGCTGGGGATTTAAGGATTCTCTGAAGCCCACCAGAGACACTGTTAAGGACCCTGTGGAAGCCAGAGCCCAGCTCTCCTATGTAAACACCCTGTGTCCCAGTAGTAGCACATGGCTGATTAGGTGTGCACTGAAGCCCTCCCCACCATATTCAGACTCCTAAGACTGGCAGGCCAACTCACCCCCTTGCCCACTGTCAACTGGTCCCACCCATCCTCCTACAGTGTCCTCCCTCCTGTGACAGGGCTGGCTGGCCTGTGTCCCTCCCCTTGGCTGTCACTCACCTTTGTCCCACTGCTTCCCCACCCGCATATCTACATCTGACCTACAGTGCGAGTATGGAATGACATCTGACTGATCAGAGCAGGCCCAGGGAGGATGTGGAGCTCGAGCAGAGAGAAGAGAGGCCCAGTTGTCAAGGCAGAGAAACCACGAAAAGCATGGAAACGTGAGCTCCTAGTTCAGGGGGTGAAGTCACAGCTGGCAGGGAGATTGGAACAGAGAGAGAATGTGTTTCAAGCTTGATTTTTCCCTCCTGTCTGATTGGAGATTGAAGAACTCAGCAGTGGCAAAACGCCCTGGCCCATGAACAAGAACTCCCTGGGTTCTGGTCTTAGTTCTGGCATTGACTAGGTGTGTAGCTCTGGGCAGGTCACAGGTCGCTTCGACAATCCAGCCTCCGTTTCCTTATCTTTAGAGTGAGGAGACTGAAATGCTGGCAGCGCTGTGGTGAGACGGACTCTTTTGAACAGTGCAGGTGTCAGCCTAAGTGGAAAATGCAATTTAGTGCTATATGTTAGGCACCATGAACATGTTCATACCCCCTTTCATCCTTCTAAGAATCTCATCTAAGGCAGTCATTCAAAATATGAGGGCAGTATGTCTAAGGATGCTCATCCTAATGTTAGCTATAATACGGAAAAGGTCCCGGTGTCCCAGAGTAGAGGAGCGGTTAAGTATGTCATGCCGTGTCCACTGGTGACATTTTATGCAGCTATTAAAAGGAATCACTGTGGTGAACATGCTTCAGATGCAATCCAGCAGTTGAAAACCTCCTCCTGCTCCCATCCTCCAGCCACAACACACCTGAAGGAGGGCACTGATTCTCAACCAGGGGCCACTAACCAGCAAGGCCACACCGATCAGTTACCAGTTGTCACTGCTTCTTCCATATCGGCAGCATGCATCCTTAGAGATCTGTGAAAAATGCAGATTTGGAGTTCAGATTCTGACTCAGTGGCTCTGAGCTGGGGCCCAGGAGTCTGCATTGTAAGCATCTGTCCAGGAGATTCTGGCAGAGGATTTGAAATCCACGTACTGAGAAATGCCACCATGCTTCAGTCCTTGCACAGCATGTCCTTAGATGGCACAATCCAGGCTGTTGCACCCCTTCTTTTCATCAGTGAGATGTAAAGTCTTTATCAGGGACTTCAAATTTGCATTTGTCCTAGAACTCACTGCTAGGTAAATCTGCTAACTATGCGAGACAGAGAGCTACTTATTCTCTGCTTTGAGATTCCCGGAAACAGCATCTACAGCCTTGGACAAGGCCATAGTCTGTTTTACCCCTATTAGCTTAACAGGTCCTACCTTCTGCCTTGCTTTGGTTTCTCCTACTGTATTTTTTTTTTTTTTTTTTTTGAGATGGAGTCTCGCTCTGTCTCCCAGGCTGGAGTGCGGTGGCACAATCTCGGCTCACTGCAACCTCCGCCTCCCGGGTTAAAGCGATTCTCTTACCTCAGCTTCCTGAGTAGCTGGGATTACAGGAGCATGCCACAAGACCCAGCTAATTTTTGTGTTTTTAGTAGAGACAGAGTTTTGCCATGTTGGCCAGGCTGGTCACGAACTCCTGACCTAAGGTGATTTGCCCACCTCGGTCTCCCAAAGTGCTGGGATTACAGGCATGAGCCACTGCGCCCAGCTTCTCTTACTGCATTTGAAATCCAAAAATATTCTGAGCCACCTTATGCAGTTTCCCAAGATTTAAAGTGACTTTTACAGGCAGTGAATGTGGCCTGAGTTCAGATCCTGGCTCTGAGCTGCCATTCTATGAAAAGAGAATAATAATATACTGACTTCATAGAACTGTTGGTAAGGATTAAAAGAAATTATGCTTGCAGGCCAGGCACCGTGGCTCATGCCTGTAATCCCAGCACTTTGGGAGGCTGAGGCGGGTGGATCACTTGAGGTCAGGAGTTCAAAACCAGCCTGACCAACATGGTGAAACCCCGTCTCTACTAAAGATATAAAAATTAGTCGTGTGTGGTGGCGCGTGCCTGTAATCCTAGCTACTCAGGAGGCTGAGGCAAGAGAATCACTGGAACCCGGAAGGTGGAGGTTGCAGTGAGCCGAGATTACACCATTGCATTCCAGCCTAGGCAACAGAGTGAGACTCCATCTCAAAAAAAAAAAAAAAAGAAGAAGAAGAAGAAAGAAATGATGCATGCAAAGTTCTTAGCACAATGCTTGCCACCATTATGATTATTTTCCTATTCTTGGGGGTAAACAGTGGGTCTTTTCTTTGATGTGGTCTTTGCAGGAGGCCAAGCTCGTTGTTTTGATCTATGTAGGGGCCGTTTGGTTCTGCCCTGTTCCCCCATCCATCCTACAAGCCTAACCTTGGCCTACTGGCAAGACAGATGGTCCTTGTCTTACTGGCCTTGCAGTGGGGTGAAGGTCATTGTTCTGACCCACTACCCTGGCGATTTGTCTTGGCCCACATTGCTAGATGGGGAAGGGCTGTGGGTTGGCTCAGCCTTACGCACTGTCTCCTGGCAGTGGCATGCTGACTAGCATTAGGGGTGAGGCCAACCTCTGCCTCAGTATGCTGGAGCCAGCTAGAGAAGATGCTTTCCCGGAGGGTGTCAGAGCCCTGTTTGGTGTTGAAACAACACAGAAACTGCTGTGCTCACCCCTTCCCCATCTAGCAGTCAGCCACCCAGCCCAGCTTCTGGTCCTTCTACTCACTGTGACTCCTCACACATTACAACCACATGAGCATGCATGCATACACACACGCGTGCACACACACGTGCGCACACACACATGCACACACTCGCACACACGTGCGTGCACACACACGCGCGCACACACACAGGCCTGCCCTCATCTTCCCCATCCCTGTTACTACCCTTCCTCCTCCTGGTTAAATAAGCAGCAAAGGGAAAAGTGGGCACTGACAAAATGTGTAAGCTGGCAGGACCTAATCTAATATACAGGTGGATAACAAAACCTCATAGCCAATGAACAGGACAGGAATCTGATAACTCACAAGAGTGTGCTATAGTTTTCTGCTGAAATTTCTAAAAAATTTCTCTTCACAGCCACTCCTCTTTTGGATCAAAGGTAATCAAAGTAAGATGATTCTTCTTTACAAAATAAGGCGGGTCTCAT
The DNA here is from genome assembly GCF_000001405.40 of Homo sapiens. NCBI lineage: Eukaryota > Metazoa > Chordata > Mammalia > Primates > Hominidae > Homo > Homo sapiens. The sequence continues at coordinate 48,148,829 of NC_000018.10, read as the reverse complement.
TACCTTTGGCCTGATTACTTACATAAGTGCAGCAAGAATGGTAATCGATCACATAGGCCTTTTTAAATTTGCTTTGCTGAAACTTTTCGTAAGGAATCTCAGATTGTACCTTTGAAAGCTACGAAGCCAAGGCAAGAATTCGTCACCAGATTTTGCCTATAGCACCTACAGATTTTGGGTAGATCTTCTCTTCCTGAAGTTCCCAAAATATCCTAAGCCTCCTGGACCTGGCAGGAAGTGACCTTCTTTACTCATCTGTAATGCTGAGGACACTGTAAGCCAGGTACCAGGCTGGCTTTCCCTAGAAGATATTGTAGACTGGGTCCATCAAGTCTACTTCAGTTCCTTAAGACTGTCTGGTCATATCTGATGCATCATTTTCAAATATGACATTCCAGTCAAAGCCTTGGTTGTATAACCAGTATTTCCCATCATGTCCTGTTATAAGGAGGACAGATTCTTATTGAACTTGTGTGAATAAATATATTCCATGAAGATGAGAACATTCAATAAGAATTTCTGGCCAGGCGTGGTGGCTCACGCCTGTAATCCCAACACTTTGGGAGGCTGAGGCAGGCAGATCATCTGAGGTCAGGCGTTCGAGACCAGACTGGCTAGCATAGTAAAACCCCATCTCTACTGAAAAATGCAAAAAAAAAAAAAAAAAAAATTAGCCGTGGTGGCAGGTGCCTGTAATCCCAGCTACTTGGGAGGCTGAGGCAGGAGAATCACTTGAACTCGGGAGGTGGAGGTTGTGATGTGCTGAGATCGTGCCATTGCACTCCAGCCCAGGCGACAGAACAAAACTCCGTCCCCCAACTCCCACACCCCTCAAAAAAAGAATTTTTGAATTCTGGAGGGGTTAGGCAGAGAGAAAAAGATAAATGCTTCATTTCTGTTTTAAAAAAGCATAATCAGCCAGGCACGGCGGCTCACGCCTGTAACTCCAGCACTTTGGGAGGCCGAGGTGGGTGGATCACCTGAGGTCAGGAGTTTGAGACCAGCCTGGCCAACATGGTGAAACCCCATCTCTACTAATAATACAACAATTAGCCAGGCGTGGTGGCACGTCTGTAATCCCAGCTACTCCAGAGGCTGAGGCAGGAGAATGGCTTGAACCCGGGAGGCAGAGGTTGCAGTGAGCCGAGATCGCACCACTGCACTCCAGCCTGGGCGACAGAGTGAGACTCCTTCTCAAAAAAAAAAAAAATAGTATAATGTAAATGTTGTGAGTTCACAGATAGCTTAAGAGAAAAGGAAAAGAGGTTCCTCAAAGCTGGTAATAATATTCCAAACAATAGTCATCCTTCATCAGTTCATTCAGTCCCATGTGATTAACTCTTGCTCTGCATGGTCTTGGGTCAGCAGTTTTAAGAACCTATCAGCTTCTCCACCAGAGATTTGGAAATCCAGATTACGTTCAGTGGTATAGTTTAAAAATTACCGAAGCAGGGCTGGGTGCGGTAGCTCACGCGTGTAATCCCAGCACTCCGAAAGGCCGAGGCAGGCAGATCACTTCAGGTCAGGAGTTCGAGACCAGCCTGGCCAACATGATGAAACCCTCTTTCTACTAAAAACACAAAAATTAGCCAGACATGGTGGTATGTGCCTATAATCCTATCCACTTGGGATGCTGAGGCACGAGAATCACTTGAACCCAGGAGGCGGAGGTTGCAGTGAGCCGAGATGGCATCACTGCACTCCAGCCTGGGTGACAAGAGTGAGACTGTGTCTCAAAAACAATAAATTAATAAAAATAAAAATTACTGAAGCAACTCCATCAGAAGCCTGTACCCCAGACTACCTGGCATAGTCCCTGATTGTTGAAGACAAAGTAATCTGGTGTGTAGTTGGTGGAAAACACTTGCAGAAAACAATCAGAATAAAACAAAAACTATCAATGGATGATAACTTAAAATGGCCATAGTTAATCTGATGAGAGTGTGTTTGACAAGGAAATTTGGTGACTTCTGTGGCACATGGTGTTTTAAACAATAACCAAAATTATGACTGATGACATTATACTAGGACATATCAACAGCAAGTGTGCTGAAAATTTTCTTGGAAGTTTATACAATTTCTGAAATATACAAATAACATTTAACATTAACATAAGCCTAATTTTTTTAATATCTCCTTTTACAAGGTGAAAGAAAATTTTTTTTGAGATTTCCCAGACTGGAAAATCTAAAAATCAGTTCTAGATCAAGATTTCGTTTAGAGTGTGAAGTAGGCAATTGCGAATTGTCTGTCACATGCCGGGATTATCTAGCAGGCTAGCAAATTTTATGAATATATCATTTTGCATTTTTTATAGGTATGTGTTGTTTCATAGTACAGTTCTTCAGGTGGCAAAAAAAAGTTTATTAACATACCCAAACATATATAGCCTCTCTGTACCATATAAAAATAAGTAGCCAAAATTATATAAACTTAAGCTTAGTAATTAATGTTTCAGTAGTTTATTTAGAAATGGTCTAGTAATTAATATCTATTGCTTAATTTAGCATAGGTCTAATGTTGCAAATTACAAAAAATTTTGGAAACAATTATTAGTCAGATATTATAAAACATAATTATTATTGAAATGTCCATTTATAAAACTTTTATTCCACTTAAATTAATACACATGTTCTTAACACATATGCTTGGATTGTTTATCAAAATTTCACAATACACTAGACAAAGCTAGCCATCATCTCAAGTTATTTCCCTGTTAACTATTTTTACAACACATGCATTTTAGGCAAGTATCTAAACAAAAAATCACAAAAGCAAAAAACCTAGGAAAAAATTAAATACAAAATGTATAATCGTATTATACTCAATGCTGATAACTCAAAAGATATAGCTGGTTTTATTAAACCAGCAATATTAAATTATTCTTACTTTCCAATGGTTTACCTAAATCACATGAACTTGAAAAACATTTGGATTAGTTTCTATATTTCTGAGATTTTAAGGAATATTTAAGCCAATTTGAATAGCAGTCTTGTAAAAGATTTTATAAATTAATTTTGTAATGCTATCCAGAGGTAGAAAAATATCACGTATACATACATACATGCACACATAAACATATAGACGGACACAAATAGAGACCATCTATTTCACCTTTTATTCTGAAATTTTAGCCATGAGTTACGTAAACAGGGTAATACAAAGCTCACTGGTCTATATCTATATCATCATTGGCTCTCGTCATTGCCCCACTTCCTCTTCTTATCTGAATTGCATTTTGACAGATGGGACAAGTTAAGGTTACCTGCTCAATAAGACAGCAAAAGCTTTTTACCAATATTTGTGGAGGAGACTTTTAAGATTTTCTTTTGCCCTGATATGCAGTTGCTTAGCAGGGATTCCCTGAGTCCCTTGAGACCCGCAATCAGGGCAGGGGTCTAAAGTTCAAATTACTGTAGGGAGTTGAGGGGCTGAAGTGTCAATGGTGGGCAGAGAGATGGCAAAGGAGACATGCTGAAGGGTCCAGGGAGCTGAAGGGAAGATGAAGGTGGTAAGAGGAGGAGAAAGGAGCAAAAGCAATGGGAAGGGACAGGCCTTTGAGGGGCCAGTTGAAAGTCATTGAAGTTCTAGGTTACCCAGTAAATTATGCCAACAAGAAAGGAAGCAGACAGAGTTTGTGCCATTATTGTGGGACATATAGTCAGCAGGGCTTCCAGAAGACGGTTTCCAGTCCACTGAGAAGTTCCCACGTTATTAACTAATGACTTCTCCCCAACAAAGATGCCCAAGACTGCAACCCAGTCTCGGTTTGCCTGAGTCTCTAACCCAGATTCTAGAGCAGAGGCCTCCCCAAAGAACCAGGAATGCCTCCTCTTGAGGGTCAGGGAATGAATCTCTACTGAAAAAGAGCCCAGAAGACGTCCATCCAGGAAGATTCTTTCTCAAATAAGTACCTTTCAACCTAAGAAACCTGGGACTGTAACCCAGCCTCAGAGAGCACACTCAGAATCTTAAGAATGAAAATGTGTCCTTCAGTGGACTATCATCTGGAGCACTGGGTTTCATCAGGAGTAGAACTCTCCCATGGACTCCCCAATCCCTCAATCGGGAGTGAAGACAAAGGCTTCAAAGACACACACTTGGAGTCCTGAGTGAGAGGTCAGGGGTGCAGTGATAAATCTGAGACTGTCCAAGTCACAGCAACATAACTACTAAAAAAATTTGGCCTGGTGTAGTGGCTCACACCTGTCATCCCAGTATTTTGGGAGGCTGAGGCGAGCAGATGGCTTGAGTTCAGGAGTTTGCCACCAACCTGGGTAACATAACAAAACCCTGTCTCTACCAAAAAAATACAAAAATTAGCCAGGCATGGTGGTGTGCACCTGTAGTCCCAGCTACTTGGGAGGCTGAGGTGGGAGGATTACTTGAGTCTGGGAGGTTGAGGCTGCAATGAGCCCTGTTTGTGCCACTGCACTCCAGCCTGGGTGACAAAGTGAGACCCTGTCTAAAAAAAATAAAATAAAGGAAATGTTTTGTTTATGTAGTTGTTACATGGTAAAGAAAACTAAGAAAAAAAAAATTTTTTTTTTTGAGAAGGTGTCTTGCTCTGTCGCCCAGGCTAGAGTGCAGTGGTGCAATCTTGGCTCACTGCAACCTCCGCCTCCCGGCTTCAAGTGATTCTTCTGCCTCAGCCTCCCGAGTAGCTGGGATTACAGGCAGGCACCACCACGTCCAGCTAATTTTTGTACTTTTAGTAAAGATGGGGCTTTCACCATGTTGGCCAGGCTGGTCTCGAACTCCTGACCTGAAGTGATCCGCCCACCTCGGCCTCCCAAAGTGCTAAGATTACAGGTGTGAGCCACCGCTCCTGGCCTAAAGACTATTCAGGACTACTGCAATAGGGGTACTCCCGCTTGTCCTTGTTATATTCAGAGTTGGGCCGGACTGCAATAGGGGAGAGGGATCCGGGTTCAGCACCAAATACAAAGACAAGTACGGATTTATAGCCAAGGTGCAGAGGGTGGTGAGTGGATGGAAAATTACCAAGAGGAGACATCAAAGGTAGGGGGATCCTCGCTGAACTGACTTAACAGGATTCTTGCAGAAGGCAGGCCAACAGGTCAAGATGATTAGATATCAAGGGATGGGGGATTCTTGCTAACCGGACTTAGCAGCATTTTTGTTAAAACTGGACTAGGCAGGCCAAAGACAGGGCCCAAGGACAAGAGGGGGCTCAGAGGAACCTGTCTGAGGTTTATTGAAGGAGAGAGTCTTTGTCAGCTCTTAGGAGCTGACAAAGGGAATGTGGGTCATGATGACAGTTTGCAGCTAATGTAGCCAGACCTCAGCTCTTGAGGCTGCCTAGACCCTCAGGGATCCTGGCTTGCACACAGTAAGTGGTAATTTAATATAAGGTGAATTAGTTGTTTGTCCTAGGGTGAGGTTCTTAGTGCATTTTTTTCTTAGTTTTCTGTGCATAAATGTTCTCTTAAAAACAGAAAGTGTCTTTAGAAGCACAGAATTAAATCTTTCCCCTGCTTTGGAGGTAAGTGCCGGTGACCCTGCTGGAGGAAGAAAAAAGCACTCCCCTGGGAGGCAGATGGCCAAGGTTCCACTGCAGCAGCTCCACCTGTGCTCCCAGTGTGACCTCAGGCAAGTCACCTCCCCACCCTCAACCCCACTTCCTCACTGTATATGGGAGCTATAATGCTGCTCCTGGCCCCTGAGGGTGGGGAACAAATGAGATGAGAGGCTGCTGGAGATGGAAAAGTGGTTTGCCTAAGGATGGGGCTGAATGATCTGGACTCACCCACCTGAGTTCATGGTAGATGTTTATCTGTTTATTATCTTTCCCCTGCTAGAAGAAGGTCAGCTCCATAAGGGTGGAGACCACGTGGATTGTTCACCACTTTATAGCCAAAGCCTGGAGTGGTGTGGGGCACAGAATAGGTAGTACATACCTGTGAAGGGAAGGAAGGGAGAGAGGAGCAAAAGGAGGAGGAAGGGAGAAGGAAGGTGAACAGGAAGGAAGAGTCAAGAAGGGAGAGAGGGAGGAGTGAAGGAAGGAGGGAGGAAGGAAGACAAGAGGGAATCTGCCTCCCCTAGCTAGTGGTGCCACCCCCTTTCCTGCCACTATCCCACCTTGGCCAAATTCTGACCAAGCCCTCCTCCTCTGGGATCCATGGTGACAGGCCCAGCCACCCCAACTCCTCCCCACAAGCCAGGCTTAGCTGAAGCTCCTGCCTGGCACCCTCCCCTCCTCCCACAGTGGGTGCCTGATGGTGTTACCTGATACAGTCTGGGAGGAGGGTGAGGCCCTGGCAGCCCTGGGGCCCTCAGGCTGTGAGCAGAGGTCTGGGACCCCGCACAGCCTACTGTGCAGCCAGCCAGGCTAGGAGTCCTGCCCTGCACTCCAGCCTGGCAGGGTACTTTCCCACAGAGAGAACAACCCAGCACCCTGTGCTTGGCCCACACCTCCCCCTCGGAGGTTCCTGAGGGCCCCAGACAAGCACCGGCTGGTCTCCCAGTGCTCCTAAATGGGAGGCAGGCTCTGCTGGCCCCCAATCCTCCCTCTGGGGCTACAGCTCCTTGCCCTTGCCTTCCAGCCCCTGCAGGACAGGGCAGCCAAAGGCCAGTAAGCCCAAAGGACTCCATTTCTCTGGATCACCATTATGTTCTGGAAGAAGTGGAGGAGTTTGATGGAGTTTGGCAAATGGCCGATAGGTTCCAAATGGCTGGGTTGCCCCCCTAACACACAGTGGCAGAAATGTATGTAGCCTTGGCAACTAACAGATTTGGGTAAACTCGGTGACCATATAAAGGGCTGTTAAAGTGTAGCTTAGCTTCAGTTCGTGGCTCCCTGTCTGTTCTCAATGCTAAACGGCAATGCATTATTATTTCAAATTGGCATTTAATACATTTCAATAAAATCTGATCTGTGGATGAAAGTGATAGAGCCATGCCATTACAATCCACAGGTGCTAATATGCAAACAGTGGAGTTCAGAACGGTGAGGTCATAGCCTGTGATTGGACAGGAAGCCAGAGGGGCCACGAAGGAAGAGGCTTGGCATGTCCCTCCTCCCTTGAGCTGGTTCCATTTTCTTTCAGTTTTCCTCAAAATTTAATTAAACATTTGTTAAGCATCCAAGAAGTACAAGGAGGAATGACAAGTGTAGCCTGTGTTAAATGCGGTGTGAAATGTTCACTCCAGCGAGAGAAAGACTGACCCGCTGCCCACGCCACCGTGACACCATAAATATTAGCCTACCTAGTGTGATGAGATTATGGGTTACTTTCCCCCCCGCCCAGTTCACGAATTTTCTCTACAATGGAAGAATTTCATCAAGACAAGATCCAGTCCTTCTGTTTCCCAGATCTAGGATTCTCTCAATAAACACCTGTACCACACATACCTGCCTGGGGCCAGTGACATACCAGGCACGATACAGTAAGAAAAGATGCATGGGTCCTTGCCATCAAGTAGCCAACATTCTAGTGGGAGGGACAGTCAAATAAAAAAATCAATGCGAGCATGAATCCTCTGATCAAGGGTCTGAAATAGATAATGGGGCACAAGATCCTAATTTATCTATGTGGTCAGGAAAGGCCTCTCTGAGGAGGTGACATTCCTGCAAGACCCAAAGTTGGGGGAGCATTTCAGGCTGGGAAATTTGCATAAGCCAAGTCCCACAGCAGGAAGGAGAAGGAACAGTGGGGGGGGTGGTGCGGGGGGGATGCCTATCTGTGATTGCAGTATGGGGTGCAGGGAGTTTGGCGAGAGAAGGGCCTTGAGGGCTATGGTGAATAGTCTAAAGTGCATGTGAGTGCCCTATGACAGGACCAGATGCCTGTTTTAAGTGGATTGCTTTGGCAGTCGTGTGGCGTTGGGCCGAAGGAGCAGAACAGGAATGGGGCAGAGAGACCAGTTAGGAGGTGCCTGTAGAAGTCAAGGTGAGAGGGGATAGAGGCTCCGCCAAGGGCAGCAGTGGCAGAGGTGGCAGGAAGAGGGCAGGTTCGAGCTCTATTTTGGAGACAGACTTGCTGATGGATGGTTTGGCTGGGGGCGCGGGTGGGGGCCAGGAAGGACAGGGAGGCAGCAAGCGTGGCGCTGAGTTTCTGGCTTGAGTATCACTCATTCCCATGTCTGCACATCCTCTAGGATGACTTGCTTCAGCACTCTAGCAAAGGCCAACCTCCCTCTCAGCCTCCCCCTGCCTAACAATACCCTCTTGGGTTCAGGAAGAGTCATTACCCTGCTTGTTCAGATGGATAAACTGAGGCATGCATCAGCAAACCACACTGCCCCTTAGGGAACCAATTGTATGAACCAAAGAGCCAGAGCTTGAACCCCAGGTTGCCTTGAGTCACCAGAGTCACAAAGATGCAGTGTGATGTCCAATTTTATCATATGTCAGGCGGTGTGACCTTAAACAAGTTGTAAAACTTCTCTGAGCTCCAGTTTCCTTATCAGTAAGATGGAGGAAATAACAAGATCTACCCCACAGCGTGGTTGCATAGAGTGAGGGCATAGGCCCTCAGTCAATATTAGTATACTCTTTGCAGATCACAGAGCTCATACATGTGTCTGCCTCTTTATGCACGTGTGTGCAGACACTCTGTATCTGCGTGTGCTTGTGGGCACAAAGCTGTTTGTGTGCCTACATTACAACCCCAGCAGATGACTAGGCCCTGCTGAGGTTTCAAGTTAAGACAGTAGCATGTTTGCTTATGTGCTTCTGTTTAGCTTTCTGAGCCATGCTCGGTGGTTGAAGTAGGAGCTTTCGTCCTCACTGGAACATGAGTGAGTTGTTGAGTTTGGAGCCAGCTGTGAAAGTCAGGGCAGGCTTGCCGTGTGAAGCCAGCGGGCTTCCACGTGCTCTGGCTGACCTGAACCGGGAAGGCGGGGAGCCAGAGGTGGGGGCTGAGAAGGGCTAGGGCTGGAGGAAGGGAGCTGAGGAGGAGGAGGAGGCCAAAGAGGGCCTAGGAAGGAATCCAGGCCCAAAAGGAAATGCACACTCAGATCTGGAGTCTGGTGCATCCAGAGCCCCTTCTGTGGGTGGCTTTGGGAGCCTCCCCTTGCCCTCTCTCCCCACCCACTTCACTAAGACTGCTTTATGTTCCTGTTCCCAGGAGGCAGCTGGCACCGAGGGAGGCTGGAGGGGTGGTGGGGCGGGGCTCCCCACTTTGTGCCCAGAGCCATTCTGAAGGGTGTGTCCCAGCAGGGCACACACACACAGTGATTAGGGGGAGGGAGGAGTGGCATTCACTGTCCACTGCAGGACCCAGCCGGTGGGCTGGACAGCAGCCAGCTCTCCCCAGGCTCTTGGCTGCAATATCACTGGCCCTGGCACCACCCATAGCCTACCCAGACACTCCTTCCAGTCCGGGGACTGGAACCCTGGCTAGGAGGAGCCGCCTGGGGGTAAGCTGGGCTGGGCACCTCAACTCTGTGCACCCCTCCCTACAGCTTCCCTCCCACATCCCGCTCCAGCTGGGTTTGAAAAGGTGCTCCCATCCTTCCTCCTCTCCAAACAAGGCTCTGCCCTGCACTCTCTCCTTTCAGCCAGAAGCTGCACCCATAAACTGGCTCTACCTCATAGACCCCCTCCTGTTTTCTTAACTACTGAGTGAACCCTCTGAACCAGGCCAGCTGCTGGCTTTCCCCAGTGACTCCCCCTCCTGCCTCCACTCCCGCACCTGACATGCCCTCCTCTCCTGCTCCCTGCAGCACCATCTTCCAGGCCTGCCCAGCCCCACTCCTCCTGTAGCCCTGTCCCTGTGAGCCTGCCTTACTAACTGCTCTGCAAAAGCACTGCCCTGTTCCTTATGCACCCACAGGGTGCTGGATGCACCTTGCCCCACTCTCCAGTCCGCCTGTGCTTTATCTGCCCCACAAGAAGAGAGGCTCCGAGGTTGGCACCCCACTGCACCCACCCCACCTCCACCCAGGCCGCTGAGGCAAACCCTTTACGGGCACACAGCAAACACTTCTGGATTCATACTGATTCCATCCAGGTCATGTGTTGGCACCTTTACCTCCTGGGGTCTGGGAGTGGAGTGTGGAGTTAATGCTTCATTGGATATTTAACTAGTGCCTTTGTGGACAAAGGGATTTGACTTCTCAGTCTTTGTCTTGGGTGTTCCGGGAGTACCTGGTTTTTGATAAAAAGCTATGGAGTCATCCAATCTTGGAAACTGTCCACCTGCTCTGATGAAGCACCCCTGCTTCTTCCCTTCAGCACCCAATTCCCTGACCTAGCAGCCTCTCCCCACCACATCCTGGCTGCCCAGCCTCTCTCTCCCCTCACGCAGCAGTCCACAGCCCTCTTTCCACAGCATGGAGGGTTTGACAGATGCATTCTAGTCTATTGTGGAAATGCCTGCTCCCCTGCCTGCAGCGGTGGGTATTTACAGTTTTAGAGGGAACCACAGAGAGAGACCCGACCTTTCCTGCCTTCCTGACACAAGTTTCCCTGCCTCTCTGGGGCAGGCTCCCTGCAGGGCATACCCCGAGAAGGAATGAATCTCTAACATTGGAATTTCAGGCAAGGGGCACCTGTTGGAGGAGATAGTTTTGTCTGAACCATCTTTCTGGGGCTCTGCAAAGCACAGCCTCATCCCTGGACCTTCATGGCCAATGCACCTTTGAGATTTACTTCTGGTTTCAGGATCCTTTAAGGCTCATGGCCTGCCGGAGAAGAGTGGCAGAGGCCATGGAAGGCCAAGCACCTCGTTGGACTCTTGTTTTGTGCTTATTTTCCATGGCACCGGGGTAAGATGATCAACAGGAAAGATTCACTCCCCTGGCGCTTCCCCCATTTCTGAGAACAGTCAGCAGAGGTATCAAGGCATTAAATGGTTATTTCCTCCAGGTGACCAGTCAGTTCCAGGGTAAAAGAGGCCTGACAGCACCCAGCTGGCCAGAGCCTCCCAGGTGGCAGTTTTCAAGAAGGCTCGAAGGAGAGGTTTGTGTGAGGTTTGAAGGAAAGGCCTGGGAGAGGGTGTTTGGCCACACCTCTGTGATTGGTGGCTGGCCCACCCCAGTGTGGACTGCCGGAATCTCCAGTTGGCATTTCTGAGTCAGCCTGCGTGATATGTCTGTTTGTTCGAGGGGAAGGGGTGTCTGTGGGTCCCACCCACAAGGTCTCATGATCTCCAACGGAGGAGGGAGCTGCAGTGCTGTGGTTACTTCCTGCACTCCCTCTTTTTTTTGTTACTTAAAGGATTGCTGTTTAGTGTTTGATTTGGTTAAGTTACACTCACGACCCTGTAAGGAGAAAACATATAATTCTAGTAATTTTATTGGGCTTAGGTTTCAGGCAAATGGAAATAAATTGCCTCTAAAAAGACAGACACGCTGAATTGAATAAAACAATAATAATAAAAAGCCTCCCTTGCTTTGAGATAAGTGGTAAGTCATTTTGTGAAGTACTAGAGAAGGAGAGTGGGGGGAAACCCACAAAAAACAAAACGGAGGAACCCGGAAGAAAAGAGGGGAAAAGAAAAGCTCCTCCACCGCCCTTGCCTTTATTTCTGCTTTACCTTTTCCAAAGATCTTAATTTGGTGTCATAAAGTGAAGCGTAACGCGCGAGTGGTGAGATCGTCCTGTCCTGCGCTTAACAGTACAGGTGGACCAAAGGGGCTCCCGGCCAAATACTTCTGGTTGGAGGGTGGGGAGGGAGTGCTCTCTCAAAACCACTCCTGGAATGGCTTAACTCGCCCAGCACGAATCAATGACAACCTCCCGCCGGCTGCGGCAGGCTCCCGCGAGCAGCGCGGCCGCGTGGATTCCCAGCCCGGGACCCTGGCGGCGCTCAGGACACGGCCCGGGCACGAGCGCGGCGTCCCCGGGGCGGCCAGGTGGGTCTGCGGCGGCCTCGGCCCGCCTCTGGGCTAGGATCGGGGCTCTGGGGAGCCCAGCGGCCGGGCCGTGGGGAGGGGGTGGGGGAGGAAGCCCTTCCGGGCGGCCGGGAGAGCGCTGCGGGCATTCTCGCTACGCGCTGCGGGGACCCTGTGGCCGGGTGGCCGCGGGGCGGCTCTGGCTGGCGCGGGTGGCGGCGTCCGCAAAGCGTTCAACTCCCCCAGCCTCGCCGGAGCTCCTGCGGGGCGTGGGGCCACGCACCTCTTCCGAAATAGGAGAGAGGATCTGGAACTCTGCAGAGAGCAACTCTCGCCACTGCCCCATTGCCGCCGGCCCACGCCAGCGGGCTCCTTTGGGGCGAGGGGCCAGCCGAAGGAACGTAAGGGCACTCCGAGAGGGAGTTGCGGGTGTACCTTGGTAGTTTAAATTGTCTCCCCCAAGAATGCTTGGTCCTCCTGAGAGTCAGATGCAAAACTTGGGGACGGGAGGGAGGGGGGACAAAAGCCATGGCAACTTGGCAAAAGTCGAGGGCCGGCGATACGGGCAGAAATTAAAGGAGCGATTGGCAGAAGTCCAGCTAGGCGCGCGGCGGGAGCCCTGTCAGGTCCCTGGGCTCAAATCGCGCGCTGAGCTGGGTGGGTGGGGGGCTCTTCCCTGGACTCCAACCTGGGGGTGAGTGGATGGGGAGCACTCCCACCCGAGCAGGCGAGTCGAGCTATAGTCTCTCAGCTCCGGAGACGGCCCGGTGTGGGTGGCGCAAAAGGACTGACCCCGTGCGTCCCCACTCCCGCGGGCGCCCGGGCCGGCGTCACCCACTGGAGCGCCTGAGTTCCTGCAGGCGGGCGCAGCGGCCGCGGGGCTGGCCTGGGAAGGACGATGGAGAGAGCTTCCCCCTAACCCAGCACCCACGCCCCCCTGCCCGCCGCCCACCCCGCGCGGAGCATCCAGCGTCGGGTCCCCCACGCCGTGCTCTGTGGTGAGGGCTCCAGGGTCGCTCCTTTCTGTTCCTGGCTTCCGTTGTCCTGGCTGTGTCTGTGCCGGCAGGCGGGTGGGCAGCGGGCGGCTGCCTTCTTTCTTTTAATAGCTGGTACCCAGCTTCGCGCAGAAGGAAGCCCCACTCCAGCGACTTATTGGTCGGCTAGTGGCAGACCACTTCCAGTTCTTCTAAATGCGGAATTTTGAAAATAGAAAGGAAGTGATTGAAACAATCGAGCAGTTTCTCCAGATGAGATAGAAGATTTTTTGGAAGGGGGAGGGGCGCGCTGGCTTGGAGGTGGTAAAGGCTCTGCCAGGTTCAAGTTTCAGCTCCACTCCCTCCGTTCCCCTTCTTTCACCCAGTTAAATCCTCTCTGGGCTTAGAAAGGCTCAGGAACCCCCGCTGGGTGAAACTCCAGGAAAGAAAAGTAGCCCCAGTGCCGGTCCTCCCCCCTTAAGGCACAACCTGGGCTGCATAGAAAAAGAACCCACTCTCCCAAAAAAGACTCATATTAGGCCACATCAGATATGAATCATTAGCCCCACTTTGCAGATGGGGAAACTGAGGCCCAAATGGGTTAAATACATTGTCCAGGTAGTAGCAGAGGCAGGATTGAAAGCCACTCATTGTACCCCACGTCTTTTAGAATCTTACACTTTAACTGCAGAGACAGGAATCGCCTTGGTATAATTATAGTACAACAGAAAATAGTATGTGTTACACTTAATATTAACTTTTTTTAATGTCATTTTCTTTTTAAACAATCAGTCATTTATTCAACGCTATTGTATTGTTTACTGTATGTGTCCAGGTACCATGCTAAGTGCTGGGCATACATCAGTAACTGAAATCAGACGAGATCTCTGGCCTCTGTCAATGGGAATAGTAATAGTAATAGTAATAGTGCAACCCTCAAAGGGTTGGATGAAGTGAGATGGAGCCTGGGAAGGAGCCTGGGAAGCATTGCTGTTGAGAAGCAGCAGCAGGAGGCCTGGATGAAGAGGAGGAGAGGGAGAAGGAAGGAGAGGAAAGAGCGGGGAAGTTAGAATGACTGGAGTCTCCATGCTGCAGTCACCAGGACTTGTCCCTGGTTCAAGGGGATGCAGTGGAATGCACACAGCACAGTCAGCCTCTGCCCCAAGTGCCCAGGAAGCTGTTTGAGCCCCTGCTGTTCAGATTATTCATTTAGGGTTTACAGTTGTGGGTTTCGAAGAGTCTGCACTTTTGGCACATGCCAGCTGGAGATGACAAGAAGAGGCCCAAACAGTCTCTGAGAGTACTGGCATCTCTCTCTGGATCAGTGCTGGCCGGGCTGAGAACTGTCCCAGGGTGTCACCCTGCTGATGCATCTGCCCACTTCCTCAGTGGCCAGGATGGCATTTTCATAGGACTCGAGTTTAGCTTCAAGCGCCTGCCCTTACCTTTGGGGAGGGAAGCTTGTCTACACTCACAGGACTTGTTGGTAGCAAAGCCAAGACTAGAACCCAAGTCTCTAGACCGTACATGGTTCACAGAGCAGCTCACTTTGGCCTTCCGGGGCGGTTTTAGGACTCAACTGAAAGACCCTTCATCCACTTACATCTCCACTTACAATGCCATTTCCTGAGAATCCTGTCCTCCTTCGTTTTAGCTGACCAGACATATCTGTCCTAATAGAATGGTGTTGGATGGATGTTTGAGACAGAGCAGCCATAAATAATCTGGGGCGTTTGGCCTGTTAACTCTCCTTCCATCCTGAATGGTGTAATAGGTTTAAGATAACTACCTCTAAAATTAACTATCACTTTTGTGAGGAAGGTGAACTGATAAATCTTGCCTTGAAACTATTACCCATCTGAGTGATGCTCTGGGACTTTCTTTCCCCAGAATTGTTACCGACTTCTGCTAGAAGAATAGTTTTTTTCTACTTCCTTTTCTTAAAAAAAAAAAAAAAAAAAAATCCTGGGTTTGAGGTCACAAGATCATATTGCATACTACCTTGATGTCGTGCTGCCAGAATAAAGGCATTTTCCCCCAATATTGAGATTATCAGCTTGATAAGGGCCGTGAGCACCCAGCTGGCTATCCCAGTGTTTACAGCAATTACACAGGTGTATAATTGCATGGGGATGTTTGTTTGCTCAGCCCTTGCTCAGCCAGGCAGCCCTACAGGTTGGGCCAGGGAGAGAGCTGTTCAGTTTATTTTCCTTTGGCTGGGAACTGTGGAGATGAATAGAGGGAGGGGAATCGGGTTGAGAGATTGTTGCCAAGAGCAATTTGGAGTCTCCTTCATATTAGTCAGAGATTGTGTTTTTCCTTTCTAAAGCCTCCTGCTTCATAGTAACTTCCACGGAGGATTTATTTTCCATCTTGTGTGTGTGTGCTTGTTAATTTTTGTTTGATTTTTAACTTGCTGCACTTCTCATGACTTAGCAAAAAAAAAAAAAAATAGCGTGGGGAATGTGTGATGACACAGGCCCTTTATATCATACATTCTGCATGTTATTGCTTAATAAATTTGAATACTGATAGACCCTGAGGTATCATGATGGAGTGAAATGAGTAATTCCTTTGAAGGGAGAGTTTATCTTCAGTGGATGACTTTCAAAATTGCAGCATAATTTCACTTTCCCACTGTACATCTTGATCCTGTGTTTAGATAAATAGAAATGCTTGCTCTCTTCTGTCATTTTCCCTTTTGTTCCATTTGGAAGGCCCCCTCCATCTAGGCCTTGCTTGGAAGGGGATCAGCTAGAGTGGGCCTCCTTCCACTTCATCCGCACCCATGCACCTCCCTCCTCCATGCCAGAGGCCAGCTAGTGAGAAGGAGGTTCCCCCCATGGGATAAGAGCTGCCCCACAATGGTAGCTTGGCTTGTGTGTGCATGGAACACAGAACAGGAAAGCTTGCATGACCACAGGCTGCCCCTCCTAGGCCAGGAACCCCGGAGCAAGCTGTAATTCATCAGTCAATAACTGAGTCCATCCACTGAACAAATTGAGTGGAGCAACTCTGAGACTCCAAACTTGAAAAATTACCTAATAATACGGCACATGATCTATGTCGGCTTTTCCAAATTAGATGCAAACCAGATGCAAATGTACATGTGGCCCTCCCAAATGATATCATATAACTGGACTTGGCCTTCAGGAAAATCTGTGCTGCCTACACATATGCGTTGTACACATACCTGCAGGGCTATTGCTTTCTTGGCTGTGGAGTCTGGCTGACAATTCTGTTAAATTGTTTCTGGAGACAACAGGTTGGTCCGTTGGTCTTTCTGGAGCCACTGGAAGAGGTCACTGGAGAGATGACAGTGGTCTCAGCTCCTGTTGACACTTGCCATCCATAAGCCCTAGGGAAATCTAGCAGAGGCTGCCTCTATTAAGCAGAACTTAAACAACAGAAACTTTTCTAATGTTTGTTTTGTTTCTGTTTTTCTTAATAAAACAGTCAATAAAATTTATTGAGATATAATTCACATAGCATATAATCCACCCATTTAAAGTGTAAATTCAATGGTTTTTAGCATATTTGCAGGGCTGTGTAACCATTATCATAATCAGTTTTATAGTATCTTGATTACTCCAAAGGAAATACTGTACCCATTAGCAGTCACTGCCCATTTCACCCCAAGCCGTCCTAGGTTACCAATAATCTACCTTTTGTCTCTATAGATCTGCCTATTCTGGACCTTTCGTATAAATAGAATCAGATAATATGTGGTCTTTTGTGACTAGTGTCTTTCAACTAACCTAACACTTTTGAGTCGTTAGCTTTGTAGCATGCATCAGTACTTCATTTCTCTTTATTGCTGAACAATATTCCTTGTATAGATACACCATATTTTATTTACCCATTCATAATTATATTTACCCATAATGGGTAAATCCATTTACCCGTGATGGATATATAGGTTGTTTCCATATTTGGCTTCTGTAAATAATGCTGTTTTGAACAATCATTTGCAAGTTTTTGTGTGGACCTAGGTTTTCATTTCTTTGGGGTATATACCTAGGAGTGGAATTGCTGGGTCATATGGTAACTTGATAGTTACCCTTTGGGAAACTACCAGAATGTTTTTTTACAGTGGCTGTACCATTAGACATTCCCACCAGCAGGTATGTGATGGTTCCAGTTTCTCCATATCCCCACCAACACTTGTTGATAATATGGCCTTTTTATTGTAGCCGTCCTATCTTTAAGGGTTTATATGCTCAAGGGAGCAGTAGCCAGGAAATATTCTGGGATCAGCTCAGCCATGCTTGCTTTCTATAGGTATAGTGAGAGCCATTCAGACCTCTTGAGCATCCTGCACACCCTGGTGTTTCCTTTGCATGTCCCAGAGCTCTATACTGAGCTTTCCCTCTATGTCCCTATAAGACAGTCACTTTGTATGGCTGAGTACTCTATTTCATGCTGATATTTCAGCTCCACAGTGAAATCATTTTATCCCAGTTTTATGCCTATGGGACTGAATAGGATAACTAACACTCTTAACAAAGACAAATTTGAGCCAACTGGCATGGGGGAACTCACCTAGTTTGAAGACTACCAAACATTACACACAAAAAAAAAAACAACTATCCTTTCATTAGAACATCCTAAGTCCTGGTCATTAGCCATTCTGTGGCATCATGTTCAGTGTAGCCAAACCTGAGGACCAGAAGTGAATTCCAGTGCTTCTTGGAAGTTATCGTAATGGAATTTGGCTTGTATGACCCAAGAGCAGCCTGGACTATGCTCTGCTATGAATGGACTCTTCACCATCAAATGGTGCTTAGTCCAGCAGTTCCTAAACCTGATTACATGTTGCAATCACCTATAAAGTCCTTTAAAAGATTTCAGGCCAGGTGCCATGGCTCACGCCTGTAATCCCAGCACTTTGGGACGCGGAGGCGGGCGGATCACTTAAGGTCAGGAGTTCGAGACCTGCCTGACCAATATGGTGAAACCCCATCTCTACTAAACATAGAAAAATTAGCTAGGCGTGGTGGCACGCACCTGTAATCCCAGCTACTAGGGAGGCGGAGGCAGGAGAATCGCTTGAACCCAGGAGGTGGGAGTTGCAGTGAGCTGAGATGGGACCACTGCACTCCAGTCTAGGTGACAGAGCAAGACTCCATCTCAAAAAAGTAAAAAATAAAAATAAATAAAAGATTATAGATGCCCATGCCTACCCAAGAAGTACTGAAGTTGAATCTCAAGGGAGGCCACCGGGTGCTTGGAGGTGATTGTGGTGAAGTCTGAGAACACTTTTTAACCTCTCTTTGCCTCAATTTCCTGACTTGAAATGGGGAGTTGGATGGATTACGCTGGTGTTCTCCACAGAGATTCACACAGCTGGCTCAAGCAAAACAGATCTGTGTGGATCTGGTTCTGCACAAAATTTTATTTATAAAAGGGGGCTTCTGCTGCTGAAAATGATTCAGAGAGCCTTTAAGTAGATGGTTTCTGAAGTTCAGCTTTGACCATTCTGAGTGTTGAGGACAATTTTCCCAACTTCTCGGAGGAGGATTAGCAGAGTCATACAAATGGCCGTTACTTGGTAAGACAGTCACGCTCTTCAAGGGCAAGGACCAGATCACCCGTGTTGTTGCCCTGGCTAGCTGTGTGCACAACTGTGATATGGTAGGATTGACCTAGCATCACTTTCTTCTCCCTCCCCACTCAGGGTCATCCCTGCCCACTTCCCTTAAAGCCCCCAGAGCTTTGCTCCTCTTCTTCTATTATTATTTCTAATAGCGGCCCAGAATGTCACTCATTCAACCAACTTTTCCCAAATACCTCCTGTAAATGACAAAGTGACTAAAGCTCCATTTCTGTCCTCAAATAATGCACCAGCACATTTTAAGCAGAGAAGCAGCCTGAGGTTAATCTCTAGAGGTACAATTTCAGGGCTCCTTGATTGGGATGAAGGAGGATTTTGGAGAGGCCTGCATTCACAGCACGTAGGTAAGGCGACTCCACCCCTAACCCTGTCTGCAAGCTCTGCTCCCTTACCCTCCCCTACTGGGGCTCTGCCATCAGCAGGCTGCTCAGAAAATGCTTCTGTCATCCCTGGTCTCAGCCAGAGACCGCCCTCCTCCTGACTCCCACCTGCTAGGGAGCAGGGAGGCAGAGGAGGGAAAGGGAGGGCCGGTTTATTCGGAGATCTGAGCTCCACACTCCAGACCTTGGCTTCCACCCCATAACCCTGACTGGACAATTCACAGGACAGCTGTGCTGTAGGGACTGAAATAATCACAGTTTATTAAAGCTGTCAGGGGGTGGGGAGGTGGGGTGGAGGAGGGACCAAGGGTTGCATTTCTGCCTTTCAACGAGAGAGAGGCCAGGTGAGGAAACTTGAGGCCAGGCCTCCATGCAGTGCCGTGCCCGGAGCCTCTCCCTCCCTTCCGGGCAAATGCACACACCAGTGACATTAGAGACACTGCTTTGGGGTGTTTTGAGAGTTTTTTGTTTTTCATTTTTTTAATAGAAGGAAAAACCTTGAAGTTTCACTTGAATAGGGATTAATGTCTCTGTGGCCTGGACCTGCAGAGGAGTAGAAATTCTAGAAGGGTGGAAGTTGCAATTAAAGGAAACAGGTCTGATCTGCCTCCGACTGATCAGGGAGGGCTCCTCAGTTGGCAGCTTTGAAAGGAACATGTTTGGGGTAGTTTTCTGGGCATTGCTATGTGGTTTTTTTTTTTTTTTTTTGGACTTTCTCTGGGTGTGTGTGTGTCCTCAGTTAATACATAAACATTGGTTCTAACCAGGAGATGGGGACATTGGGAAGTTATGAAGCCACCCTGAGTGTGTCTTTGACCTTTGGTTTTTCACCACTCTCCTTTGGCAGTTTTTTTGGAGGGCAGTGAAACGGGCGTTTGCAGCACACGTTTTTTCCCCTGGTATCTTCATGCTTTTCCTACACTGCTCAAATTCCTCTCCCCACCCGCTGAGACCCGCCCATCCAGGAATCTGTGTTCCGAAATCATCCCATCTAAGCTCTCAGCACCCTTTCAAACCCCTCACCTCATCCCCTCGTTCTGATGACCAAACCTAGTTATTAGGAAAATCCAGTTCTTTGCACGAATTCACATTAAGGTGTGGAAGAGACACTCACTACCACATGGTCCCCTTCTCAGGGTGTCTGTATTTGAAAGAGAGGGCTTACCTGCGCACACTTCTTTCTTTAAAAAAAAAAATTTATTTCAATAGCTTTTAGGGTACAAGTGGTTTTTGGTTACACGGCTGAATTATATAGTGGTGAAATCTGAGACTTTAGTGCACTCCTCACCCAAGTAGTATACATCGTACACAATATGTAGTTTTTTTTGTCCCTCACCCCCTTTCTACTCTCCCCCTTCTGAGTCTCCAGTGTCCATTATACCACTCTGTATGCCTTTGCGTACCCATCGCTTAGCTCCCAGTTACAAGTGAGAACATACAGAATTTGGTTTTCCATTCCTGAGTTACTTCACTTAGAATAACGGCTTCCAGCCCCATCCAAGTTGCTACAAAAGACATTATTTTGTTCCTTTTTGTGGCTGAGTAGTACTCCATGGTGTATGTATGCCACATTTTCTTTATCCACTCATTGGTCGATGGGCACTTAGGTTGGTTCCATATCTTTACAATTGTGAACCGGCCAGCAGACATTTCTAATGATGGGACTCAGGCATAAGGAAAAAGCAAAGTCAGGCACTCTGGGCAGTGCATGGGGCCAGTTGTTTATTTGGGGAAGGGGACTTCCTAGACCACTTTAATCGTGCCACATTTCTAGCCACTTGTGTGGCCGGTGCATGAGAACAGCCTGGCAGGCGGCTAAATGGAGAGGAGGATGAAGGGCCAGAGTGAGGGCACCTTGCGGGGAGCAGTCGGTTCGGGGCATTGCAGGGAGAACCAGGAGCTTCCCAAAGGTCAAGCTGAACTGGACAGCCCAGAGGCTGATGTTCAGGCAGGCAGGAGTGATTTCCTGTAGGCCTGTGGAGCTCTTCATGGTAACAGTAGGTATGACCCAGGGAAGGTTGGAGAACAAATGGAGCGAACATAAAGATGGAGCTTACGGGGTCCTCCAGATGACTCAGGCCTTGGGGAGGAGGCCCCTTGGCTGGGCTGGGCAGCCTCTGGCCGGCCCTTGTGGACACGCAGCTGTGGAGTTCTCAAATCTGCTGCCTCTTTCTCCCTCCCTTCTCCCGCCACTGCTCCCTGCCGAGGGGACAGCTTCTCTCCATGTTCCCTCCCATCCCTCCTCTCCCACTCCTGTGGCGCACCCTCTGAGTGAACCTGGCTCCAACTCTTGGAAGCTTTTCCAATAACACAGTGGTGAACTCTCTGCAGCCCCAGGCAGAGGAGAGGAGCTGAGCGTCGGCCAACCCCAAAGCCCACGCTGGGATGAAAGGTCGAGTGAGCCTCACGTGGGGAGAACCGAGGGGAGAACAGTGGGGCCCTGGGAGGAGAAATGCTGGCCCACAAGGCCTTCCTCACAACCAGTGGGGGCCATCGAAGGCGATGCCTCATCAGCAAAGACAAAGCAGCACCTACTGTGTGCGGACCCCATGCTGACCCCTGTAGGACACCCATGCAGGTCTTTGGCCCCTTCCTTCTAAAGAGTTGTCATCCATTTAGCCAGGTAAGACCAGAACTAAAAATGAAGCAAGATTCTGTAGAATCAGGCATGACATTCAGCTGAGTGGTACAAGAGAGACAGTGCTGTTCAGTGTCAGAGCAGGGGGAGGAGGTCTCGACCAAGGGCTCAGGGGAGCCTTCAGGGAGGTGCTCTGAGCTGGGACTGATGATGAAGCAGTATGGCACAGCCTCTTAGCACATAGGCTCTGGAATCAGGGCCTGGTTCAAGTCTTACCTCTGTCATCTGCAGGCTCCGTGGCCTTGGACTAGTTACTTAACCTCTCTGTGCTACAGTTTCCCCATTTGCAAAATGGGGATGGAGCCTCCTAGGGTTGATGTGAAGACTGAATGAGGAAAGCCATCAGTGCCTGGCCTGTTGTGCACACTCCATAAGTGGTGGCCTTCACCATTTACACAGAACCTTCACTGAGCCACGCGCATCTTCCTTCATTGCTCTTGCCCTTGAACCTTGAAGGTTCTCTTTTCCCTCCCCCTTTCCTCCTCCCTCTCCCATCTCTATTTCTTTTGCTCCCCCTTCTTCCCTGCCCTAAGGCTGCAGATGGTCACTCTGACCTGGGCCCAGGCGGAAAGGTAGAAGTCATTTTCTCTGTTTCCTGAGGCCAGCAAGACTTTAGATCCTCCACACAAATGCTCAGCCTTACAAGGGACTCCAAGAGGATTGCCCCTACCAGGTTGAAGAACTCCACAAACTCAGCATAGAGCTCTGGTCCTCCCCCCTTTCTCCCAGCACACACCTCTCCTCAGAGGGATTGATGAAACCCAAAGCAATGGAAGTGTCACATGCCATTCAAATAACAAGCCTGGTTCATCACAATGGCCCCACTGCAAGCAGGTGTCCCCATGTAACAAGAAGCCAATGAGGGCATCTCCCCCGGGGAGCTAGAATGGGCTGAAATTTTTGAGACCAGCTAAGCAACACACTGTGGAAGTCAGGACAGGCTGGAGTCCACAATCAGTTCCAGGTGATTGGATTCAAGAGCCACTGGGGGTCACACTGTCTAGGGCTGTCCTCAGAGCGCCGCTCTCATAAGGACAGAGGAGAGTGGTGCCCAGGGCTGTCTTCAAGCCCCAGGGTATCAGAGGGTATATTAAAGACACAGGTGTTCTGATGTGATTAATAAGACCCTTCTTAGACCTGTCTATGACAAAATCCTGGTCTGCTCTTAGACTAAATCACTTACCAATGATAGTGAAGAATTATCTCATAATGGATTTTTTAAAGTAATTATTACCAGAGACTGAGAACAGGTAATAATAATGGGGAAAGTCAGCCTGAGAGGTAATAAAGGAAAATAGAAAATACCTGTATGTAAATTTTTGAAATGATATCCTTTGAAGAAATCAAATGATATAAAAAATGATGTATCCCTGAAGCATAGTCCTGGCCAAATGTGCAGTACTCCCTGGGAGCCTGACTGCACGGTGCGCAGTGCTTCTCTACTGACCCTGCCGCCAGCATGCCAGCTCCCCTCCTCTTGGCAGGGCCCTTCCAGGATCACTTGCCCAAAGCACACTAGGTAAAGAGAGTTGCACGATGATATCTTGCATTCTTAGAATGCGTGGCTAGCGACCTCAGTGCAGCCACACCACACCAGACTTTATCTGCTGTACAGTGTCTCCTGGGGCTGCCCAGGCAGGGTTCCTGCCCTGGATCACCTTGTCTACTGGAGCCACCTAATGAGGGGCAAGGCAGACAATGTTAGGACATCAGAAGCCCTCCTGGTCTAAAAGTTCTTCCCTGGTGGATGGTGGACCCAGAATAAGGATCTGCCTGACCCCAAGACCAACTCCACAGTGCTTCACTGCGTCTCCAGCCATCATATTGTTATGGCCAGCACCTCTGTTATCCTTCCCCTGTCTGCTGTGGTCTGGGGAACAGGGTTAGCCGAATCCTGAAACAAGTTGCCATTTACACCATGGCACAGAGGGCTGTCCATGCACCCCATTAAGGGGGTTCCCTAGCAAGGCAGCCAGCCACCAGTAGCTCAAGCGTGCAAAAACAGATGTCTGTAAGCAGCCAGAGGGAGATGCACCTTTCAGGGCTGGGGCCACCTTCTTCCTACGGACACTATCTAGTCCAGAATTCCATTCAGGAGTGAGATCCCTTACACGGCTTCCACAGCAGGAAGCCCTTACTGGATAAGAATCCACTTAGATCTGGGTTCCCACCTCAGTTCACCCACTTTCTAATTGAGTCACTGTGGACTACTTGGAACTTCTGAGTCCCAGGTTGTTTATCTGTTCAGTGGGATAATCATAGCTGTCCTCTGAGCTGATGAGAAGATCAAAAAGATAAATTATGCGATATATCTAGCACACAGTAGCTGTAATTTTGAAAGTAGTTTTTGACTCAGAGCTCCCATGCAGCAAACCTCTGCCCCTCCCCTGCTTCCCAGTGGCCCCTGCATTCTGCCTGTGACCGTGGCGTTTCTCCTGCCACGGCTGATGAAAGCTGAGGGTGTGGCTCAGCAGTTGCTGCTCCTGCCTTGACCTGGCCCTAGACTCCATCCTGGCTGTCCCAACTGGCCACCGCTGCTGTCCTCAGAGCAGAGAGGTGGAGAGAGGGGAAAACTGCAAGGGGCTTTCTCCCAACCAGTGTTAAAATTCTGCCTGTCCATTCCCAAAAGCTGTCCTTGCTTTCCTGCTTTCTCACCCACCCCTGCTCCTTGAGGAACTGGAGCCCCCTGGGCTGGCTCAGATAGCACTTCACAGACACCAAACCAAAAATGCCAGCCAGCATCCTATCAGGATTCCTGGGTCTCAGCTACCTGAGGGTGAGTGCTCAGCCTTAATCCCATGGTGCTGGAACTGTTCAGCCCACCATCTCCAAACCCCTGCAGGTGCCCAGAGACCCTAGTAATCCTCACAGAACAGCAGGGGGCAATGCAGATTCACCCCACCCCCTTCCAGCTGGCTCCTCTGTAGTAATAATGAACTTAATATACGATAAACAATAACTGAGTAGTAAAAGCATGTGCAAAAGATAATTAGTAACAAAACACCATGGTTCTCAAAGGTGGTTGGTTGCATTTTGCTTGGCTCTAAGGACTGTGGTGCAGATTCTATTCCAGCATGTGCTGTTGACTTCCAGGAAAGGTACCTGCTACTCAGTGTCTCCTAATACATTCACATGAGGGACCCATTCCCACCGCCTGCCATCCCAGGCTTGCCTGAGGGTTGCAGTCAGGCAGACAGACTGCGGGCTTTGTTCGGCTTTTTCATCATCTCCAGAGAATCCGACATTTCTAGGTAGAGGTCACCATGCCCCAAAGTAACTGATGCCAATTAAAGGGGCCCAGCCTGCCTGGAGAGTTGGGGAGATAGTACCCAGCCTATGATCCCCAGGTCATGGGGTTAACTTGACAACTCAAATGATTCCTCACAGAGAGCTTTGCCTTAATTGGCATATTTCCTGGCTGGCTGAGCCCTGCAGGAAAGAAACCATCTCACTGTCCCCAGGCTACATCACCTCTTGTCCATCAGGGACCCCAGAGCTGAACATCGAACATAAAATATGAGAGAAACAACCCTTCACATTAACAAAAAAAAATCGTAATATACATGTTTATGTTTACAATCTCATTAATAAAAATATACACGATCATTTCTAAGGAGAGCTCTTTTATAAGGATGCATCCTGCAGCACTTACTTCTATATTCACCATTCTTATACTGCTCAGAGCCTGAACTACAAAATTAACCCTGAATGTTGCCATATGACTGACTTTTCAGTATTGTTTTCCCTGTTTGAAAGGCTGGGTTCTCTGGGCAGCCGACCAGGAAGCAGTTTAACATGCAGGATGTTTGTTAGGAGTGTTCAGGGGATCAACTCCTGCAAGAGGCAGGGGGAGGGAGGGAGTTGCTGCAGCAATGCCAGCCCTACCACTTATGCCAACCCCACAGGGACCTCTGGGGCTGAAAGGGCCTCTTCAAGTTTGTCCCAGCTTGGGCCAAAACGCCCAGGCCTCTGACGCCCTGCATAGTCGCTGAATGTGCGGTTCTTGGAAGGCGTGACTTTGGGCCAGGTGGCTCTCTGCAACCCTGAAGGGGCTGTCCTGAGCTGAGGGCTGAATGCTGACCTTGCTCCCAGCAGCTGGGGTCCCCATCTGGGTGGCTCATCTCTGTGCCCTCTGCAGCCTGGATGTGACTCATTTTTCTCATTCGTTTGTAAACTTCCTAGAGGGAGGAAGTATATCCTATATTGCTTTCTCTGTCCCCCTTTCAACCCCTATCATGTGATCACTTGATGGGTGATCACAAAGCAATCAGTGATCCACATGGAGGTACAGCCATAGGCATCAGGCTTGCTTGCTCTCTGTGTCTGGGGGCAGCTCACCCAGGTACCCACAGCTGCCAGGAGAGAGATGCTACAGCCCAGGGTGTCAGGCCCCTCCAGACAGAGCCCCAAGGACAAGTTCGACCAGCCCCATAGATCCGCATCCCCTCCTGCAAGGAGTCAGAGTCCAAGAGGGAATATTTCAACTTTCTTGTGTGTGTTGGGAGTGGGGGGCGGTTAGAGTGCATGCAGTACATAAGCAGCTCCCATCTGGTCTGTTCATTCACTCATCTGCTCATTCATTCGTTTGCTGAGCAGCTACAATGGTGCTAATAGAGTGGAGGCTCAGGTGTGAGCAGTTCTTCTTCCTCCTGGGTTGGACTGAATGTACAGCAGGACAAGAATCCCGGAAGCCCAAAGTAGCTAGTTCATTCACTGGGAAGGCCACTCCCCACCACCTGAACTCCAACCCTTGCATTTTGCTGCCCATTTCGGATACTTCACCAGAGCCTGTTGTAACATATTAAGTCAGTAATCACAGGGATTACTGTGATCCCAGCCCTCACCAGCCTCAGCTGCTCTGGGCCTTCTCAGAAGAATTGGCTGCAACCATCTGGCACCATGAATTTAATGGTGCCTCTTGCTTGGAGGCCTCTTATACAGGGAGCTTGCACGTGGGCAGGACAGCATGATAGTCTCTGCCCTCCACCTCCCTCATACCCTACTGCAGCACCTGTGTGCCTATAAAATAAAGATGAAACAACTACATTTTCATAACAAAAGAGAAAAAAATGACCAACAATCAGCCAAAGGTAGGAAAATGGTAATATCAATTGTCGACCATCCATTCAGTTGAATATTATACGCCATTAAAATAACAGATCCAGACACTGTACAGCACCATGGACTGGGTTCTGAGGCCCTGAAGAACTGTGCTGCCCACACCTCTGTGCCTACACTGGGCTGTGCTGGCATTGCTGTTGGTCCAAGAAGATCTCAGTTTCCATAGCCTCTGAGAGTTTTGGTCACAGCAACATGAACAGCCCGATCTAGATGGCTCCAAGCTCAGCTGGCTCGGCTGCAGGAGCCTGGCACCTCCTCCCCAGACCTGCAGGAAACCTTCTGTTATGCTGTAAGTCACCAGGGACTGCAGCATGTCACTGGGCCCCAGGCACAGGTCAGCTCAGGCCTTAATGCTGTATCCTCCACATCCATGGGTCTCTGCTGCTGCTTGGTGAGAACACTGTCTCCCCTAAAGCCATCCTGAGCCCTCAGGACACCAGAGCCACTCTGTGCCCAGCACAGCCTTTTCCCTCTCCCTGTACCCACATTGTCATCAGGGCCCAGGTCCCCCGCAGTGCTCAGCCTCTCTCCTAAGCCCTTATTTTACAGATGGAAACCTGCCTCTCAGGCCAGGTGATGGCTCACACCATCAGTCTTGCCATCTCCTACCTGTACCCAGCCTCTCATTCAATCCAAAAGCCTTCATGTGAATTGCTGCCCATCAGTTTCACATGCTGCTAAATCCAGAATCCCATTTGCCCTAGGGAGACACCCTCATAGAGCCACTGTTACTGCAGGTATGTACCAATGGGAGGCATCTCATCCAGGCTCAGAGGGAGCTAAGAAGTGGATACAGGGTCAGTAAAGTGTGGGGGCTGGGAGTAGTTCTAATGTGTACATCGCTTAAATTTGCCTTTAATATTTTGGTACAGTAAGTGCATTTTTTTAAAAAAAAAAAAAAGAGTATTAAGCCAACTTGAAAAGATTTGTAGAAGTTTTGAGACACACAAGAGCAGCTGGGACAGCATCCCATCCCTGGGCTCTGATGACAGTGGAGGGACACAAGCTAACTGTGAGTTGCAGTCACATGATGTCTGACAGTTGCTTATACAATGGTTTTGCCACCAGATGGGTATTCCACCTCCTCTTCCTCCCCTACCCACAATTCCTGGGTTATGGCCTGCTGATGGCCTGGATCTCTGTCTTCGAGGGACAGCTTTCTTTCAGCTGGAGTAGAAGCCTGGGAAGAACAGTGCTCATGGGCATGGCTCTGCAGGGAGCGCAGGAGTAGGTGTGAGAAGTGGCTGCTTTCCCCAAGACCAGGGGCAGCTCTGGGGACTTGTGCCTGCCCTGGAGTCCTGGCAGAGACTCCTGAGGCACCCACTTACTCTCTTGGTACCTCCCAAAATCAGTCGGCCTCCTGCAGCCATGCTTCTGTCCTTCAGGGCTGGTGTTCCAGGGATGTAAGTGTGCAAACTGACCTTGCTCCTTCCCAGCATCCTCTGCAGGCAAGCCAGGCAAGGCCTGGAGCTCTGATTGTGTGAATGATGCCAAAGGAGCCGCTTCATTTAGTCTCCAAGTGAATGGGGTTGTGCAGACCTACTTGCTGGGGGCAGGTTAGAGTCTCTTTGCTTCCCACTTTCCCTCCTCCCCCAGTGTCCATTAGTTCCTAGACACATCCCTGTCCTGCTAGCACTAGTTCCTACACATATCCCTGACCTAACCACTTCTTTTTTATTTTTATTTTTTTTTAAGACGGAGTCTCACTCTGTCACCAGGCTGGAGTGCAGTGGCGTGATCTCGGCTCACTGCAACCTCCACCTCCAAGGTTCAAGTGATTCTTCTGATTCAACTGGGACTACAGGCACCCACCACCATGCCCAATTTTTGTATTGTTGGTAGAGATAAGGTTTTGCCATGTGGGCTAGGCTGGTCTTGAACTCCTGACCTCAAGTGATCCGCCCGCCTCAGCCTCCCAAAGTGCTGGGATTACAGGCGTGAGCCACCGTGCCTAGCCATTACCTGACCACTTCTTTCGCCTCCATGGCTGCCTCTGAGGTCCAGTGCCCTCAGCTCCCACCTCATCTCCTGTCACCCTGCTTCTGCTCGGAGCCTTCCCACACAGTTTCTCCCCCAGAGTCATCTTTTAAACCATAAGTAAGATCTGTCAGTCTGCTGCTTCCAACTCCTCAATGGTTCCCCCTTGTAATTAGATTGGATTTCAAATTCCTTACTGTGGCCCAAGGTCTTGCTAGTCAGAGGGCTGTACCCAGAGAGCAGCAGCTTGGGCCCCACCTGGAAATGTAGCATCTCAGACCCCACCCTAGACTGACTGAATCAAAATCCCTGGGGTTGTGTGCACATGACGGTTCGAGAAACGCCAGCCTAAGGGACCCTCTTCAGTCTGTCCAGCTTATCCCTTCAACCTCATGCCAACCAACACACTCCAGACTCAAAGTGCCTTCTCTCAACCCCCGCTATTGAAGTACCTGACCCCAAGCCAGTTACAAGTTCATTCCTGTTTCATTTTCTCTGGAGGGCTGCCATCAATGAGATTGTTATTTATGTTGGTATGTCCTCACCAAAGTGTCTGCCAGGCCTATCACAGTCCTGGAGCTCAGGGGAGACCCAAGCAAACCAACACACATTTGCCAGGCACCCAGGATGGACCTAAGCAAGCTGTCTGGGCCCACCAGGAGTTCCTGGTTGGGCCAGGAGGACCTGCCTGTTACACATGAACTATGATTCAAAACGTAGACATATAGTCTTCAATTAATAATAACATTTAAAAAAGACAAAAAGTAGGTATACATTTTGAATGAGAATACAAATGAGAAATGCCCCCATTCCTCCAAGTGCACTTTGTTGGAAAATGAGAAGGAAAGGGAGGTGCCTGGTGGTTTCAGGGGAAGGAATGTGTGGAACGCAGGTCTTCCATGAGCATGGGGCTGGCAGTAGGAACAAAGACTCGCTTGCACTGGGCTTGCGCCTGCGCTGGGGTTGCGCCTGCACTGGCTTGATGTTCTGGCTCCTTCTCACCTGGTGGAAACAATTTATCAGTCTCAAAGATTAAGAAGATCAGGTGCCATTGTTTTACATCTCATCAACCTGGATGCAAACAAAGTAATGGGAGAAATAATACCCTTTAGTGTAGAGTCATGGTTCTCAAAAGTGTGTCCCTGAACCAACAGCATCAGCATCACCTGGGAATTTGCTGGAAATGCAGAGTCTTGGGACCCACCGTGAACCTACTGAATCAGAAACCCTGAGGATGGGACACAGTGATCTTTGTTTTAACAAGCCGTGCAGGTGATTCTGATGAACACTGAAGTTTGAGATTGATAAATTTTTTTTAGTTATAAAATAATTTATTATAGAAAATTTAGGAAATCATAAAGGTAAAAGAAGATTAAAGCATCAGTAATTCTACCACTCAGAATAAGCTCCTTAGGAATCCACATCAGGCAGAAAGACAAAAAAGAAAGAAAGAACTCCAATTGATATTGTTAATGTTTTGATGTAGCTTCGCAACCTTGCAAAAAATATGTATAATTTTCTTCACTTTATAAAATTGAGGTTATTCTGGACATTGTGCTACTTTTATCACTTAGCACTTTATCTGAGCATTTCCTAATCACTCATAGAAAGTCTCATTTTAATTTAGGTCGCATACTATTCACTCACGCTAATGTACCACATTAGCTATATATTGGGTAATTTTCTATTTCCCCTAATATAAATGGCACTAGAGTGAATATTCTGGCTCAGGAACACTGATTGTTTTCTTAGGATAAGAAAGAGGAAGAACAAGTCAAAGACTAAATATTTCAGGTTTCTTAATGAACTTTTTACTATTAAAGTTTTAAAACATATGTATGTATTTATAACACATATGGCCAAAAAGTTAATATATTAACCCTATAAAAACAGCTTTTGTATCCTTAAAAGAAAGGCATGCATCTCAGTGGCACAAAAGGGGAAAAGGAAATGACAGCTCAGAAATACATGATTACCTGTGGCAAATGATCAGTTCACATATAAGAAAAGGTTGATCAGGCTAGCGGCAGTGGCTCACGCCTGTAATCCCAGCACTTTGGGAGGCTGAGGCAGGCGGATCACTTGAGGTCAGGAGTTTGAGACCAGCCTGGCCAATGTGGCGAAACCTCCTCTCTGCTAAAAATACAAAAATTAGCCAAGCGTCATGGTGTGCACCTGTAGTCCCAGCTACTTGGGAGGCTGAGGCAGGGGAATCGCTTGAACCGGGGAGGTGGAGATTGCAGTGAGTCAAGATTACGCCACTGCACTCCAGCCCGGGCAACCGAGTGAGACTCTGCCTCAGTAAAAAAAAAAAAAAAAAAAGAAGAAGAAGAAGAAAAGATTGATCATGATTGTTAATGAAAATACTGAAGTTAAAAGCTCCAAGATGCCTTTTTTTTTAACTCATCAATTTCACGAAGCTTTGTACAAAAATTAGAATAGCCAGGGCTGGCAAGTAAAGGTACAGTGAAGTGGATATGCCCACCCATCTCTTCTGGAAGGAATAGAAATTGGTGCTGTCTATCTGGGGAGCTGTTTGGTATGTTTTACTAAAGATTCGTTCTGCTTGAGTAGCTCATTAGACACCATAAAGGCTCATCCCAGAGCAATGTTCTGTGAGATGGAACACGTGTTTTGTTGTACAGTAAAAAGAGTTACCTCTGGCTGAGGGCATAGGATGCTCCAGGCCCTGTTTTAAGTGCTTTACTAGTGTTAACTTACTGAACCCTTACAACCATCCAGTGAAGGTCTGTTTATTATTCCCATTCTATAGATGAAAAAAGGAGGCCAGAGAGGTCAAGTAACCTGCCTAAGGTCACATAGCAGGAAAGTAGCTGAGCTAGTACTTCAACCCGTGGTCTCTCTCTGACACCCATGCTCTAACCTCTGTGGCAGGCTGCCTCTCAGTATGGCAGGAACTGAGACAGTGAGATTAAGTGAACCTCCTGAGCCATCCAAGACTTCCACTTGTCTCTCAGTTCAGCATTTATTCACGCCTCTCCATTAACTCCCATCTGCCCACCTCGGCTGTAGATTCTAGTCTATCCTGCCTCCAAAACACTTTTCATTTTGAGGCATCTAAATTTCAGATAATGATAGGAAAAACACATCGTTAATAAAGAACAGAAACCTTGCTTTGTCCACGGAGGGACTGGTATGTTCTGGTATATCCAGTTTTGCTTGAAAATATGTGTGGTTTCTTTGGTTGTTGGGTCCTTGGGGGTGGGCAGCAGGTGCCAACATTCACAGCTCTAACCACGCCCAGCCCAGCTGCATTGCTGGAACCTCCGGAGAGGTAAAAATGAAGTCCATTCTCAGATCATAGCTTGCTGTTTAGATGCCCAGGTGTATGCTAAGTGCCGTGGGAGCTAGGAAAGAATTATAACATAGAGCCCCTGCCCTTGAGGAATATGATGCCCTTATGCACAGGGCAGACCTATACTCATAGCGTGACAGGAGAACTAGTTGGCCTGCCTAATGCAGGCCCTGTGCTTTCTCCATTTGGTCTCAAGCCTTCTGGTGGGGTTAACCAGGAAGGGCCTCCTAGAGGAGGTCTGCCCTGAACTGGGCCTTGGAGGATTTCAACAGCAATAGATGAGGAATGACAGAGAGGGCCCAGGGCCAGGCAAGCAGTGGCCAGGACAGCCAGCAGAGCTGAGGAGGCCCCCCAAGCAGTTGGCAGGAATATAAGAGAGCCGTGGGTGCAGAGGGAGGGTGCAAGCAGGCCAGGGTAGCGGTAGGAAAGCCGGCAACTGGCGGACCCCCGTGCGATTGGCTTAGAGACTAGAGATGGCAGTGACAGAAAGCAGCAAGCTCAGCAGAGACTGCCCTGAGGACTGGAGAGAGAAGGTGGCCTCCAGCATTTGGTGTGGATGCATGGGATGGCTCTCCAAATGCCATCGCTGGTAGGTCCTGGGAAGAGGCTGCTAATTAATATTGATACATTCATCTATTCATTGAGCAAGCACACATGGAGCTGGCACTATTTACCAGGGACTGTATTAGTGACTGGAGTCCAAAGATAAGTTACATTTCATTGCCACCCCAAGAAGCTTGCAGACCAGCGGGAGAGGCAGCCTGGGACATGCACAGGGCGTCTGGGCTCGAGCCTCGCCTTCAGCACAGTGAGGAGTCTCCCACTGGCAGGGACATAGGGCACCAGGGAGCATTTGTGCCACTGTCCTTGGGGGTGGGGGACGGTGTAGAGGAATGGATTAACTTTCTTTTTCTTATATTTTTCTTTTTTTTTAATGCAGCACTTGATACATGCAAAAGAGTATCTGTAGCATGTATATATAGGCGCGAAGGATAATAACATAAACTCCTGTGAACCCCTCTCTCAGTTTAAGAAATAGAACCAAAAGTGCTAAATAGTGACTCAAAGTACTTCGAGGCCCTTGGTCTCCCTCCTCCATGGTATGCCCCGCCCTTTCTTCCAGAGCTGTCACTATCCTGAATTATGTGAGCAGATTCCTCGGCTTCTTCCTGATGGTCTTACCACTTATGTAGGACTAAAAACTGTTGTGGTTCCCCAGAAAGTAAAACACAGAATTGCCATGTGACCCAGCAATTCCACCCCTATGTATATTTCACTCCTAGATATATACCCCAAAGGATTGAAAACGGGCATTCAAACAGATACTAGTATACGAATGTTCATCGCAGCATTATTCCCGATAGCCAAAAGGTAGAAACAACTCAAGTGGCCAGTAACAGATGAACCAATAAGCAAGATGCAGGTGTGTGTGTGTGTGTTTGTGTGTGTGTGTGTAAAGGTCACTCATAAGGCCGGGCACGGTGGCTCACGCCTGTAATCCCAGCACTTTGGGAGGCTGAGGCGGGCGGATCTCGAGGTCAGGAGATCGAGACCACGGTGAAACCCCGTCTCTACTAAAAATACAAAAAAAATTAGCTAGGTGCGGTGGCGGGTGCCTGTAGTCCCAGCTGCTCTGGAGGCTGAGGCAGGAGAATGGCATGAACCCAGGAGGCGGAGCCTGCAGTGAGCCAAGATCGTGCCACTGCACTCCAGCTTGGGCGACAGAGCAAGACTCCGTCTAAAAAAAAAAAAAGAAAAGTTCTGATACATGCTTAACATGGAACAACCTTGAAAACCCTGTACTAAGTGAAAGAAGCCAGTCACAAAAGAACAAATATGGTATGATTCTATTTATATGAAATATCTACAATAAGCAAATTCATAGAGATAAAGTAGGTTAGAGGTTACCAGGGGCTGGATGGAAAGGGAAATGGGGGAATTATTGCTTAATGAATAGTTTCTGTTTGGGGTGATAAAAAAGTTTTGGGAATAGATCATAGCAATGATTGCACAACACTGTGGATTTAATTAATGCCACAGAATTATATATTTAAATGTGGTTAAAATGGCAAATTTTATGTTATATACATATTTTCCCAAAAAATAAAAAACGGAAAAAAATTGTTAGTTATTTTGACAGTATTTGAACTTTACATAAATGAAGTCAAACTGGGTTCACTCTTCTGCAGCTTGCTTTTCTACCTCAATGCTAGGTTTCTACGATTCATCCACCTTGAAGCAGGTGGCTGTAGTCCATTCCTTTTCACCACTGAATAGTATTCCATGATCCCAATGAATATACTGTGATGTACTTACCCATTTTTGGGGTCAGTAATATTGGAGATGTCTGCATGTTTTCTTTCTTTGCACATTTTCTTTTCTTCTGCTTCTGAGAACTTTTTTTTTTTAGACAGAGTTTTTCTCTGTTGCCCAGGCTGGAGTGCAGTGATGCTATCTTGGCTCACTGCAACTTGGACCTCCCAGGTTCAAGCAATTCTTCTGCCTCAGCCTCCCGAGTAGCTGGGATTACAGGCACCCACCACTGTGTCCAGCTAATTTTTGTATTTTTAGCAGAGATGGCTCTCACCATGTTGGCCAGGTTGGTCTCAAACTCCTGATCTCAAATGATCCACCCACCTCAGCCTCCCAAAGTGCTGGGATTACAGGCGTGAGCCACTGTGCCTGGCTGAGAACATTCTTTTACGTGTCTCCTGGAGCTCATGTCCGAGAGTGGGATTGCTGGGTCAGAGGGTGTGCATGTGTCCAACTTCATAAAATAATGTCACATTATGTTCCCAGGGCTGGTAGCCATTTTCACTCTCCCACCCATCCATCAGTTCCCAGTGTCCCCACATCCTCACCTATAGTGTGGATATTTTCTTGAGTTCCATGCCTGCCTTGTACTTGTGGCTGTCTGTAAATGGAGTCCAAACCCCCCATGAAGATGACCACGGTGGAGGGCAGAAGTACTGCCTCTAGAGCACCAGTGGCTCCCAGGACCTCAAAAGTGAAAGGGCCTTTCATGGGACACCACCACCCTCCTATTTCAGACAAGTAGATGGAGACACAGAGTGAATGGGGATTTGGCCAGCATTTTACAGCCGGCCCCAGGCTCCTGGTGCAGCGGTGTTTTCACAGCCACCTTGTGCACTAGTGTGTAGCCTGCTTCCTGGAGTGCACCCTGCCGATGGTGGGACAGGCGTACGCCTCGCACAGAGAGCAAGCAGGGTTGTTGTCACTGATAATAGCTGGGACTCTCCTGACTCTGCCATCAGCCGGAAAGCTCCTTGAGATGGAATCTGTGTGGAGGGCTCAGCCTGAGGATAAAATGAGTTCATCGTTTGCACATGTTTCATTCTTAAGACCCTGGAAGAAATACAAGACCTGTGGATTTTCTTGGCTTTCCCCTGGACTTGGAGTGGAATGAAAATGGCCACACCCTAGGCCAGGAGGTAGCCCCAGATGAGGGTAAGTGGCCTGGGCCAGCCGGGGCACCTCCTGCCCCTGGCCTCTTGCCAGCCCTTTTAATAGAGTAAGTTCCAGGGGAGGGGCTCCAGGCCAGCCTGATTCAGAAACCAATTTAACTCCAATTATCCTTTTTTGAGTTCATCTTCCTTTTCTCTCTTTTTGTCTTTCCCAGTAACTAACCATGATGGTTTTTCCTTGTGATGGGGGTAGTTTCACTTGTTCATGTACATCCATAACCATACAAGAAAGACAGACCAGGGGGTATTATCTCCATTTAGCAGATGAGATAACTGAGGCTTAGAAGGGATTACTGCAGTTAGTTGGTGTCATGGATGAATCTACTGGCCAGCAGGTTCAGGGACTTACCCCTTTGTCCTGCTCCTGTCCACAACAAAATGCCCATTTTCATGGCAACAGGAAGGACATCCTCAAAGATTCCTCAAGAAATATCACCCCATCGACTTACCAGTCTTGTGTGGGCAGATTTTCCTGTGATAGGTAATCAAAGTTGGGTTCTCCACACCATATGTGTTGGGCCTGGTGTTGTCTACACGGGCAAACTTGTGTTACTTTTCTCTGATGCACTGAATCTATTTTAACCACTAAGCATTTGAGAGACCACACAGTTATTGAATTTAAACCCTTTATCACTGAAATACTCATTTCATAAAAAAAAATTTAAACAAGAAGAGAGGGACGTAATCCCACTGCTTGGAATGCGATCCTCAATCCTCTGTTAGGTAGTCTTAGTATTTTCTTCACCTGTTCTCTCAGTATATACAAACATAGCCCATGGATTTACCGCACATATACTTTGTAACCATTTTTTCTCAACCATCTATGATGGAAAAAGCCCACATAATTTTAAACTTTTTTAAAACGGTAAAAGTAGGCCGGGCATGGTGGCTCACACCTATAATGCCAGCACTTTGGGAGGCCAAGTCGTTCAAGAGTTCAAGAGTTCAGGAGTTCAAGACTAGCCTGGCCAACATGGTGAAACCCCATCTCTACTAAAAATATAAAAATCTGCTGGGCATGGTAGCGCGTGCCTGGAGTCCCAGCTACTCAGGAGGCTGAGGCAGGAGAATCGCTTGAACCCAGGAGGGCAGGGGTTGTGGTGAGCTGAGATCGCACCACTGTACTCCGTCCTGGGCGACAGAGCGAGACTCCATCTCAAAAAAAGAAATGGTAAAAGTAAATCATGTTCATTATAAAGAGAAAAGAAGGAAGGATGGGTGGGAGGGAGGGAGAGAGAGAAGGCAAAAAAAAAAAAAAAAAAGAAAAAAATTAAACTGGAATTCTCCCACTAAGTTTTGTTACTATAAATATATATTACTCCACACATTTTTCTATGAACATATATTTTATTAAACAAATTGGGATCATTCTGTACAACTATTTGTACACATCACAACGTAGCATATTTCCATATCAGTAAAATACTTATCTATATTTTTGTAATGGCCACAAGTCATTTCATAGTATAAATGTACAATTTCATACTTTATTTAACTAGTATCCTTTTTTGTTGGACATTTAAAGTCATTTCCACAATATAATCATACTGAGATTAATATTATTTAACAAACCATTTTACATACTTAACTATTTATTAGGATAAACAATGAGAAGTAGAATTGCTGGCTGGAAGAGAATGTACGTAATAATTTCAGGGTCCGAAATTGCTAACTTGCCTGCCAAAAACTGTGTTTATGTTTTCTCCCTTTTTTTGCTCACTGGCTGGCTATGCCTTAGTTTCATATAAGATATATAGATGTTTTGGTTTCTGTTTTGAGAAGGTTGGTCTTTAATAATGAGTGAGTGCAGACACCCGTCCACACGAAAACCCCAGTACCAGGCCACTGACTTGGCAAAGCTGCCTCTGGGCCCCTCATCACATCTCTCCCATCCCAGGTGAAAACAGAGCATGCCTCCCACACCTCCCTCCTGCCGACCCCCAGCCAGGGCTCTGGTCTTCTCTCCTCTGCCTCCCTCCCCTGGATAACTGTGACAGGTTCAGAACAGTCCTGGGGAGTAGCTCACCTTGGGTTACCAAATATTGAGGAAATGGGGGGAAAATGACATAGAAGGAGTCTCTTAAAGTTTCATCACTGACTTTTTAATTTTGAAATCCATTGTTCACTTCATAAACCTTACATGAATTCGTTGCACTCCTTGGAAAAAATTAAAGCATAAGAACAAAGTCCCTGCTGACATTCCCCTAATCCAAGCATTCCTTTTCTTATTGAATTTGGGCTTGTTTTTTATTCCGACTCAAATCAACAAACGTTGCTTGAGCCCCCATTCTAGGGTCCATAAGAGGAGCTGAGGACGAGAGCATGAGAAAGGATGGGGTGGGGAGGTGGAGGTGACACACCCAGAAACCCACCATCAGTTTCGGGTCAGGGCACAAATTGGGAAGAGTCTTCTCTCACCGCAATGCTTGGTGACCCAGCAGCTGCCAGAATGCGCCCAGCAGCTGGAGGCTGGTTTGCTCCCCAGACAGTCCAGGCGGTCCTTGGCCTGGCTCTCTTTGTTAGAGAGTTATCATATGAAGCCCAGATCGAACTTCCACATGACCTACTCATTGATTGTAACTCTGTCCACTGGAGCAAAGGAATAAGCCTGATTTCTCTTCCACCTGAGAGCCCCTTCAGGTTGCTCATAGCTAGACTATGCCCTCCCCCAAGAACGTGGTTCCAGTCACCGCCTCATCCTGAACCCCCTCCTGGGGCCCTTCTTTTCCAGCAACCCTCCCATGACAGGGCCAGCTGGTGCAGGTGGACCCGGTCTCCACACCAGGCAGTGGCTGCTGGTGCCCTCAGGTCTGGGCAGAAGGAAGGGCTGCTTGGCGAGATGTAGCAATTCTCCCCATCGCCCTGGAGAAGCAACATTCAGAACCGTGTATTCTAGGAAGGCCAAATGATGAAGCAAATTAAATCTCAGGGGTTCTGATGGGAAAAGGAGTGATTAAGAATCATAATTAATAATTTGACGCCAACAACGAGCCTGACAGCGAGGAACCGCCTAGCACAATTGTTTCATGGTTTTTGCCTTATTATCAGCCTCATAACTTAAGCTTTCCTCTAGATGCACTAATTAGGTAATTAGCTCCCTAAAGATCATGCCTCTTAAGAATGCAGAGCAGGCTGGCTAAGAGGTGCCCAGGAAGAAGCGGCTTTTAGAGTGCGGCTCTTTGAACCAGGTGGGGGGGTAGGGCAGGGCCAGAGTATGGACAGCAAACACAGATGTGGTCAGGGAGTGGCACGGCGTCCTTACTGAGGGTGTGCCACCCTCGGATCAGTGTGGTATGGACTGTGGTGGGGCCCAAAGACTAGAAAATACACAAAATGATTGTTCCATCTGTGAGAAGACAATACTGTGCCTTGTCTGGGCACAATGGGTGATGACAATGGTCATAATCATCATCACCATAAATTCAATAAAGCGCATACAGAGTAGGAAAGAATGCTGAGCTGAATGTAAGGATCCTGGGTCTCTACCACTCCCTATCTGCCTATGGGCCTGTGGTTAAGTCACTCCACCTCTCTATGCCTCAGTCTCAGACCACCTTTGCTGCTAGTTAGGCCCATGGAACGTCCAGGAAATGGGAAGAAACCAGGCTTTCTGCACCTGGGAGTGCTAGAGAGAAGTGTTTGGGGGGAGGGTGGCTGCAGTGGTGCACTTGTTAACACCATGTCTGCATAAGAAGGCACCTTTTTGTCTTTTTTGAAAATAGAGCATTTGTTTTCCCTTTTTAATAAATACCTTTTGTAGTGCATGCTCTTTGTTGGGCATATAGGAAATGCACCTCCGCAGCCCTTGCCCCCTCCCTCCTCTGCAGGCCCTGCCTCAGCTCCCTCCCTTGTCACTCGGCTGTCTTTCCTCCCCCTTGTCTTACCACGCATGCACTGTTTTGTGTGTGTGTGGTTGTTGCAACACCTTCCTGATAATATTGTTCACAAATTTTCTATCTCACTTTTTTGCTCATCTTCGTAAGCATTTTCAAGTTAGAAACCATCCATAAGCACTATTTTTAAGGGCAAAAGTCATGTGTCATGTCTGGATCTTTCCAGTTCTAGAAAGATCTGAAAGGGAAAGGGCAGAAGTCATGTGTGACGTCTAGATCTTTCCAGTTCTAGAAAGATATGAAAGGGAAAGGGCAGAAGTCATGTGCCATGTCTAGATCTTTCCAGTTCTAGAAAGGGAAAGGGCTCTAGAGAGGCACAAACTCCAGGTATTCAAAATTGGGAACCCGAAGGCAGGGGCAGGGCTGGCCTGGATGGGGGTCTTTCCACTCAGGGTCTGCAGTGCTTGCATTCCCTTCGATGTGTTCTCCCTTGGGCCTCATTAGGCCTGTGACAGCCGCCACCAGCCTGGGTTCTTAGCAACACCCCAAGGCCATTGCTAGGGACCGCAACCCCCACCCTCACCCCACAACTGGGAGCTGTGTGGTCTTGCTTCTCTCTTCCTTCTCTAAGCTCTCCTCCTCTAGGAAGTCTCCCTGCTTCAGCATCCTCTGAAAAATGTCTCCTGCCAGGGCTTTGTTCATAGCTCAGAGCCCCCCTTCCTTACCCCCAAGTGCTCCACTCTCCCCACTTTTTCATACAGTTTCAAGGACATTTAACAACTTTACTAATGCACAGATTCCATATAAAGGAGCAAGTTCCCAATCATTGAGAAGATAAAAGGTGACACAAGGCCTGGAATAGGACAGAAGAGGTGGAGGTCCTAAGCCCCAAGCCCCAGAAGGCCCGTCCCACACAGTAAGAGCTGGATAAACATGGCTTAGAAAAACAGTGCCAGCCAAGCAGAATGGCTCATGCCTGTAATTCCAATACTTTGAGAGGCTGAGGTGGGAGGATCGCTTGAAGCCAGGAGATCAGCCTGGGCAACAAAGCAAGACCCTGTCTCTACAGGAATACAAAAAATAAGAAAATTAGCTGGGCATAATGGTACATGCCTGTAGTCCTAACTATCTGGGAGGCTGAGGTAGGAGGATCACTTGAGCCCAGGAGTTTAGAGGCTGCAGTGAGCTACGATTGTGCCACTGCACTCCAGCCTGGGCAACAGAGTGAGACCCTATCTCAAAAACAAGGTAGGGGCAGGGAAGCCTCTGTTTCCCCAGGGTGTTTGTCTGGCGGTTGGTTCTGAGCCCTCTGGAGTACTTCCTGCCTGTGGTCGCTGCTGATCCTCCCACTCGCCTCCCCGCCCTCGCCACACGTTCATTTAACTTGCCGAAGCTCATTCTTGGTCGACCCTGGTATAGAGAAGAGAGGGCACCAGGCAAGGAGCCTGGGAACCCGAGGTCTGGCCCAGTGCTTACAGACTCACTGTGGGCAAGTCCTGTCCCATCCATGAGTCTCAGTTTCCTCCCTGTAAAATAGGGCCATTAGAATAGACGAGCCTTGGGGTCCTTCCAGCTGCCTGAATCTCCCCTCTCCTGGTTCTCTTGGGAGACCAGCCTCAGACGCCATGTGAAGGAATGACTTTCTAATGGAATTTCACGTGCCCTGACAGATAGTTAGGGGAAAGATTTTATCTTCATGAGGGGAGAAAGAAAGGGTGTCATTTGGCTGGGCATAAAATCAATCCCTGGGAACCTCTGGCTTCTTTTGAGAGCAAGGAAGGATAAGGGGCTAAGGAAATCATGGCTCTGCAGCTACTCTCCAGATAGCACTGGTTCTGGGTAACCTGCCCTCACTTCACTGGGCACCTGTGGAGTTCTCCTAGGCGCCATCTCAGCACTTGAGACAAGCTCGTGCCTGAGCTCCAGGGGTGACCCCAGATTGTTATTTGACCCCACAGCGGGGAAGGGTACGCTGTCCAGGGAGGTTCCCATGTGTTGTCTGGGAGCACCAGAGTGGGCTGCAAGGAGGCCGGCCCTGCCCCGCCCACTACCGGGTTCTCCTCCCAGAGGCCACCTCTGGCCTCCATCCAAGCCTTCTTATCTCCACTTTCTTATCACCAGAAACATCTCCAGGTTCCTTTTCCCTCCAGGCTGCCTGGAGATGTCGGTGACCTCCAGGAATCTTCTTTCCAGCCTGCTGTGTGCCTGGCAGTGCTGTGTTAGTGCCTGTCCCCTGGCTGGTCCCAGCCCTCCTCCCTCTCCTCTTCCTCTTCTTCCCTCTTTCTTCTTCCTGGGCCCTTCTCCCACCTCTCCTCTCCCCTCCTCCTTCTGGACCCTGCTTTTTCAGCCCTTTTCCCATTGCCTTTCACCCTCCTCCCATCCCTCCTCACTCCTCCTCAATCTTCCTCTACCCCTGCTCTCCGCCTCCCTTCCTCCTGAACCTTCCTAACCCCTCCTCCACCTTCTCCCCTCCTTCTCAATCCTCCTCCCTCCTGACCTCCCTTCCTCCCTCTCCTGACGGTTCTGCCCTTCTCTCCAATGCCCCTCCCCACATTCTCCACCTCCCCTCTCTCTTCCCCTCTCTCCTCCCCTCTCTCCTTTCCTCCCTCCTTCCCTCCCTCTGTCCTATCCCTGTGGTAAACTCCGCATCCTGATATTTAAACCTCCACTCGTTTCCTGGTTCAGCTGAGGCTCTCATTCCAATTATATCACCTTCATCCTTGCAAACAGACAATTCTGGGCAGCCTGAGCTTGCTGAGCCTGGTATATAGAACCTCCTTTCCCCCTCTCCCAGCCCCTTCCCTGCAGTTTGCAGATGGGAAGCCAAAGAGGTCCCATCCCCACCCCATTCCCCACCCCGCTGCAGAACCCCCTTCTTCCCTGGTTCTTTCCAATGCTAAGATGGTTTTATTGCAAGCTGGTGGTTCTCTCTGAATTGAGCCAAATACCCATGTTCACAGTTTGCCTGGGGGTTATTTTTTTAGCAGCTTTATTGAGGCATGACTGATGTAGAATGAACCTCCCATATTTAGAGTGTAGTTTGATAGGTTTTGACACTTGTAGATACTCATAAAACCATTTCAACAATTAGATAGTGAACAAATACAGCACCCCTCAAGTTACCTCCTGCCCCTCCTCTGACTCCCCACCCATAACATGGGGAATAGTTTTAAATACACTTCTCCTTTTGAGTTTTTGTTTTTTTGCTTGTACCATCTTCTCTACCAACTTTCATTCATTATAATAGGGTTTGGGTCCTTTGTTTTGCTTTACAGCTGCCCCTAGCCTGTATACATGTCTTGGATTCTTTCAGTTAAATATTGCCTTTTTCTTTTTTTTTTTTTCTTGCCACTTTTGGAAATGCACATTCCCCTAGGAGGAGGCAAACATTAAGTCTATACTACTGGGGCTGAAGGAGCTTGTCAGGGGCTTGCTGAAGATGAGATGCTGGAAAGAGGAGGGGGTTCATGCAGAAGGAAGGAGAATGCTAGCAGGGAAGAGCTGAAGCTAGAATTGTTCAATCCCTCCCCGTGTGGTGCGGGGACAGCCACCAAGGCCAGGGTGGAGTTTGGGGAGCAGGCAGCTTCCTGCAGTCTGCACTCTGCCTGCCTGGCATTAACACATTAGGATTGCCATTTAGTGAAATGTTTCCCATTTCTCTGTAGTCTGGTTCAGGTCATAGGACGTGTTATCAGGATTTTTAGTAGTAGTAGCATTATTTGGTTCTAAAACATGAGACCATAGAAAGACTAGTCTGACAGTATTCTTAATGCAGTGCACCTTTTTAAATTAGCATTTGGAGTTGTATATTGAGACACAAGATGTCAGGCAATGGTATGCTGGAGCCAGGTATTGCGAGTGCAATAGCAATAGCAAGTTGTTAAATTTCAGTTTTGTGAACCGGGAGTATTTACACCATGGAATTTAGCACATTCTACACACCAGGCAGGGCTTTCCCTCTCTCAGCAGCAACTCTCCCCACACCCATCTACCTTTTTTTTGTTTTGTTTTTGAGACTTAGTTGTTAGGTTTTCACCAGCACACCACTGAGCAGGACTAGAAGAAACCTCTGAGATCACCAGAGGCAATGCCATGCCCCTCACTCCCTGGAGCAGTACCCCCTCCAGGGGCATTTGGAAAGTATATTGAATAGGGGGCATGTTTGGAATTGTCCCACCACTGGGAGGCACTACTGGTATTAATCATGTCAGGGCCATGGATGATAAATGTCCTACAAGGCCTGGTACGATCCCATATGCCCCAAGATTATTGCACCTGAGGTGCAATAGTGCCTCTGTTGAGAAGCACTGAGATTCTTTACCAAGCTCTGGGCATTGTAAATGAGGTTCAGAGAGTCTGATTCAATTCAGTCAAAGTAT
Organism: Homo sapiens; assembly: GCF_000001405.40. Lineage (NCBI taxonomy): Eukaryota > Metazoa > Chordata > Mammalia > Primates > Hominidae > Homo > Homo sapiens. The sequence goes on along the minus strand of NC_000018.10, from coordinate 48,105,310 downwards.
ATCAGGCATGAAGAGGAATGACACTTAGCTCTGCCTTCCCATGGGCCTGAAATCACTTTGCTATTTGAAGGTCTGCAGTGGGCACAGGAACCAAGGTTGCCCATATTCTAAATCCTGTTCCTGACTCTTCTCACATTGGCAGAATTGGGGGTCATGGGGTGGCTTGTCTTCTGAGGAGAGGACAGAAACGAAAGGACTGGAGCATACATCCTTTGCAAACACTCTGGACAAGGTTTAACCCCGTGGGGGCAGCTATCCTGTTGAAAGACATCCCCTGCAGAACCACAGAGGCGGGGATCAGTATGTTTCCAATGGTGAGCACTGTGGGAGTTTGCCTGTAGCAGAGGTCAGTGCGGCATTATCCTGAAACAGCTGGGTGTGGGCCCTTCTGATATAAGACCCACACCCAGCCACCTGGCGCTTCAGGGCTTGCCTGCCCAGGGCCTGGGAGGCACTGCACGATGGCCCCACACACTGCTGGCTTGACTCCTTGTTCTTTGTACCCCCACATGTCCTGCTTGGGGGATGGACCACCCAGTGAAACCTGGAGCTTGCTACCTGATGGGAGAGTCTGGCTTAGGAGGGCATTTCGGTCTCCCTGTTGCTTGCTTCTTTTGCATCCTCATAGCAAAGAAAAAGAAAGAGAACAGCATCTTCTATTACAGCTAACGATTACCAAATGCCTTCTATATGCCTTTTACATGCCAGGCACTGGCTGGGATGGATGGATGGATACATACATATGTACATACATACATACATACATACAACTTTACTGAGATGTAATTCACAGAATGTCTTAGTCCATTTGCATTGCTATAAAGGAATACCTGAAGCTAGACAATTTATAAAGAAAAGAGGTTGATTTAGCTCATAGTTCTACAAGCTGTGCAAGGAGCATGGTGCCATCATCTGCTTCTGGGGAGAGTCTCAGGAAACTTCCACTCATGGTGGAAGAGGAAGGGGAGCTGGCATCACATCATGAGAGGAAGGAAGCAGGAGAGAGAGAGGAGAGGAAGGTACCAGGCTCTTTTTAACAATCAGATCTTGAGGAAACTAATAGATTGAGAACTCACTCATTACCTGGAGGACAGCACTAAGCCGTTCATAAGGGATCTGTCCCCTGACCCAAATGTCTCATACCAAACCCCACTTCTAACATTGGAGGTCATATTTCCACATGAGATTTGGACGGGCCAGATATCCAAACTATATCACATACCATGCAACCCACTCATTAAAAGTGTGCCATTCAAAGTTTTTAGTATATTCGGAGTTTGCAACCATCCCCACAACCATTTTTAGGACATATTCATCACCTTGAAAAGAAACCCCATACCCATTAGCAGTTACTCCCCCATTTCCCTCTAACCTGCACCCTCGACCCCTGGCAACGATTAATCTACTTTATGTCTCTATAGATTGGCCTATTCTGGATATTTCATAAAAGTTGAATCATATAATATGTGGTCCTTGGTGGCTGGCCTCTTTCACTTAGCATAATGATTTCAGGGTTCCTCCATGTTGTAGCATGGAACAGTGCTTCATTCCTTCTTATTGCCAAATAATATCCCAATGTATGGATCTACCATATTTTGTTTATCCATTCACCAGTTGATGGATATTTGAGTTGTTTCTACTTTGGGGCTCTCACAAATAATGCTGCTATAAACATTTGTGCACAGGTTTTTATGGGGATGTAAGTTTTCATTTCTCTTGGGTGTGCACCTAGGAGTGAGATTGCTAGGTCATTCTACCTTACATATCTTTTTATCCATTTTTCCCCAAGTTGCCAAAGCAGCTGTCTTTGTCCCTGAAAGGTAAAGAAATTTTTGTTGCTGGGGATGGATTCAAACCCATGTTGTGTAACTCCCTCCTATGCCTCCGTCTTTGTCCTACTCTAGGTTAGAATCTTCTGGATCCTGGAGGGGCCAATAGTAACTTGTCCCTAAGCCTTCTTTTCTCTCAATTGAACAATCCGTGATACTTTTGTCTTTGCCAGAGCCCTTGGTTGTTGTTTTTCCCCGAATCTTTGTCTTCCTGGTGGGATCAAACCTGACGTCTCATTTTTCTTACTGGGAATGTGCTTTTCTGACCTTTGCGTGTCTTAGGCTGGTCTGTGACCCCCTAGCACCCCATCACTTTTTTCAGATAGATAGATAGATAGATAGATAGATAGATAGATAGATAGATAGATAATATAAAATATATAATATATATAAGATATATATAATATAAAATATATATATACAAGATATATATATAATATAAAATATATATATATAATATATCCACACCTTCCCTGTCTTATATTTGTCTTTCCTGCCTCTCTTCTTTATAAATGTCATCAGTTGAATTGAATTCTGATAAAATTGAAAACCAAACAACAGGGCTGTGAATGCAGACTCCCTTTTTGAAAGGCTGGCTTCCCTTCTCCACATGTATTTTTGCAAATCTAGTGAGGGTTGTTGACTACACCTGTATGAGATATAAATGCAATGTAGCCACAGGCCCTCACATGTATTCCCTTCCTGCCTTCATCCTCCACCTTGAGCCATTGCTCTCCTTGGATGCAAACCTCTGTCTATTTAGGGCAACCTCATCACATCTCCTGGTTTTGATAACCACTCTCCATTTTGTCTGGCATAAAATAGTTACCATGGGTTACTCTTTCATAGTTCAGCATGCCCTGTCTACTTTCTCCAAGAGGACTAGGTTAGTTACTTTTTTTTTTTTTTTTTTTTTTGAGGGAGGATCTCACTCTGTCACCCAGCCTGGAGTGCAATGGAGCAATTGCAGCTCACTACAACTTCAAACTTGTGGGCTCAAGTGATCTTCCCACCTCAGCCTTTTGAGTAGCTAGAACTACAGGTGTGCACTACCATACTAGGCTATTTTTTTAACTTTTTGTAAATACAAAGGTCTAGCTATGTTGCCCAGGCTGGTCTCAAACTCTTGGCCTTAAGCGATCCTGTTACCTTGGCCTCCCAAAGTTCTGGAACTACAGCTGCGAGCCACTGCACCCTGCCGTTAGGTTAGCTAATTCTTTCAGCCAGTGTTTACTGAGCATCTCCCAGGCTAGTGTGGTTGTGCCTGTACTATTAATGCATGGCATTTTGATGATGACATGACAGTAACTGTGATGATGACCAATTCCTGTTGCTACCTATGCTTTTTTAGAATTAGCAGCTGATTTTAGGATGACCTCCTTCAGCGCCTCAATGTCAGAAGTTGTCAGTGTGAGAAGCTTTTTTTAGCAGTTTGTTTTTAAAACCTATTTTTTTAAGACTAACCTCTTGTTCTTTTTTTCTGTTTTCAAAATAAAGAGTACATGTTGGCATGTCTACTTATTTAAGAAGGATCTCTTGGTATTAGACAGGCAGCTTGGTTACCTGGGATTTCCATGGCCAGAGATGTCAGTCATGCAGAGAGAGCGAACCAGCCACCCTGGTCTGGTGGGAGTCTTGTCCGCACATTTACATTTGCCAAGTCATGTAGGGCACACTGAATTTAGAATGAATGAGAGACCAGATGGTTAGACCTCCAATATAATGCTGAGTCCATACCGGTTGGTAACACTTACAAGCTCTGCAACTTCAAACAAGTTACTTAACCTTTGCCTCAGTTTCCTCATCTGTAAACTAGGCATAATAGTATCTACTTGATGGGGATGCTGTGAGTGTTAAATGAAAAGTATGTCTAAACTGCTTAGAACAGTGCCTGGCACAGTGTGAGTGTTTTATAACAGCTGCTTAGAAAATCAAAGCCTCACTGAGCACTGGAAACGTGGTCAGTCCCAGTCAAGATGAGCTATAAGATGTGGTGTGAAAAAAGCAATATCAAATGTCTCACTAATCATTTTTAAAATGTTGATTACATATTGAGATGATAATATTTTGGAATACTGATTTAAACATATAGGTTGTTTAAATCCACCTGTTTACTTTGACTATTAAGTGTGACTGCTGGAACATTTACAATTATGCGTGTGGCTCACATTCTATTTCTTTTGGATGGTACTGGTCTGGATCAATAAAAAGGAGCATACAATGATTGGCAAAATCTTGAGCATTCAGCCTGAGAACGCCAAGGGTAGAATCAGGTGACACACAGGCAGGCAGCTCTGAGAATGCTTGTAGGAGGCCAGAGGAAGGAGGAAGATGGTTGGGTGCCTGGTGAAGGGAGGGTTCCGGAGAGGCCAGGGACTGGGCTGGGCCTGTGGGCTGGCTCCTTCCCCAGGGAGCAAGGAGGAGTCAGAGAGGGCTGAGGACAAGGCTACTGTGCCCAGTAGTGTGGCGACAGATCAGAAAGCTGTGTAGTGATGCACGAGGAGCCCAGAACAGCCTACAACCTGCCTTCCCCGTTCCCCACTAGGGCACAGTGTTTCCAGCCCCCCCACCAGTCCCCTACCGCCCCTACAGGCAGGGCCCTCCTCCCTCTTAGGTTCCCAGAGAGGCTCATCTGCATCCCCCTTCCCAGGCTCCGGCTTGATTTGCGACCTTGTTTTCCAAAGGCAAGCCTGCCTCCCCCTCCCCCATTCCCCAGGGGGTTGCTTCAGCCTCCATTACCAAACCCTGTGACAAGAAATGCGGCCCCCTTATTAAAATAATGTAATGTCTAACTAAAATAGAAACCCCGGATAACAGTTTTTGATGTTTTAATGACTGGGCTCATTAGACAGACTTCCCACTTAAAGTGTCTGTCTAGCAATTAAGGCTAAAAAAATCATAAATGATGACCACACCTTTTGTGGCTTAATGGTTACTCTGAAGGCTGGTCTTATTATCTCGGCGATACAGTCTGTGATAAAAAAGAATTTAAGATACTCTCCCAAGATTTATTTCCCCATTAGCAAGCTGGAGGAGGAAGGTTAAGAGTACTCTTAAGGTCAGAACTGGAAAGGGAGCGGGAGAATAATAAGATGCCTAGAATTTTCCTCTGGCAGAACCAGCCTCCTCTTCACCCCGTGGGGAGGTCCTGCTCACCGAGGGGCTTAACTTTTGCCTGTCACAGGCAAGTCTGTGAATCGTTACTCCAAGTGACCTCAAGCAGTTTATTTAGTTAATTGTCAAGCACGCGGGCTGAACTGTAGAATCATCTGCTTCCACTAAATTATTTCCAATTCTAATCTGCTGATGATACAGGAAAGTAGAAAAGGGAGCACTTGATGAGAACAACCTGGGAGAATGCATCCAACTCCCCCAAACCAAATGTCCAGGAGAGGGGGCGTTGACAGAGAAGAGTGAAGGAAAGCACAACCCAGTCATCTGCTGCTGCCAGAGAAGTGGGAGTGTGGGTGCCCCACTCCAGGAGTGGCTCTGGACTCAGCCTGCTAAGGAGGTCGCTGTTAAGGCTGCAGTCCAGCAGGTTAAAGGAGACACAGCTCATTTAAAAGGGAACTGTGTTCAGAAATACGTCTGGGGGAGGCACTTTGAGCCTTTTATTAGGTTTGTCTTAAGTGAGAAATGGTATTTGGACAACTGAGGCCGTTAACAGAGCCTCTGTACCTGTCCTGGTGGGTGGGGAAAGGCTGCCAGCCGCCTGGGGATGGATGGGTGATAACCCACCTCCTTGTCTGAGGGGCCAATTGAGAACCAGCTGGGACCGCCTGACCCCCATTGCCCACCTCAGCCAGCAGGAGCGATTGGTGGGGGCTGCACCCTGCCAGTTCATTGTCAGGAGTCACACTTAAGTACCAAACTTGCACAGTCCCTCTCCCTGCAACCTCTCACACGCCTTTGGTAGAGCAGGTGGGCCTGGAGGTTCCAAAGGTATGCATGAGGGAGGGGGTGCTGGGTGGTTGCAGAGTTTAATCTAAAGCCAAGGTGAGAGTGGAAGCCCACTTAAATACTAGCTAGATATTGGGGAAAGCCCGCAGAGTCAGTGGTAAGCTACTGGAAATGTGCTGTTTCAGTAACTTTCAGCACTTGCCTATTATATACTAAGCATCTTTTCTGTGCCAGACATTGTGCTAGGATAAATTGTCTGAAAGATGAGACAACATGCGTCACATTTTCTTTCCTTTGGAGAACACTGATGCCCCTTCCTAAAACCACTTATCAGAGTGGTGTTATTTACCACTAGGGCCTGCCTTGCAATTAATAAAGCACTTTATAGGCACTCACTTATTCCTGGCAACAGTTCTTTGCAGAGGACAACTATTGTGAATCCTATTTTATTGATAAGGCAGCTGAGGCAGTAATAGTGTAATACTTAGAATTTGGGGGATGCAAATGAGAATCAACCCATGTCAACTGGCTCAAGCAAAATAGAATGTGTATTGGCTACTTAATGCAATGATCAGTGGATAGGGTCAGACTCAGGTGCCACTGCCTCCGCTCAGCAAACTCAGGACTCAGGTTTCTTTGTCTCCTGGCTTTGCTCTCCACATTGATTGGCTTCATTTACCTGTTTACAAAGTGGCAAGATGGCAGCAACAGGAATAGCCTCATGGCCTCTCCAATTTCAGTGCCGCAGGAAAAAGAGAACATCTCTTGCTGGTTGTGTAAGGTCAAACCTTAGGATTAGCTGTGCTTGAGCCTGATTGGCTGTCCTATGTCACATGTCCATCCCTGAGCCAATCCCTGTAATCAGAGAATGGAACTCATTGGTTGGTTTATGCCCGATCACAGGCTTCATCCCAGGAACCAGATATGAAATCCTTCCCATACCACAGGGACCCGGATGGGAGCGGAGAATCCACAGAAGGAAATTAGGCGGGTAGAATGGATTCGAGGAAGCCAAAGCACAATAACATTCAGTAGAGAGGGTGCACTGGTGACAAAGCCAGTCCTGGAAACCGAGACCATCTGAGTCACTTGGCTGTTTCCCCAAGCCACACAGGGAACTGGGAGGCAGAGGAAGAACAAGCATCCTAGCTCTAGCCACGGCCAACTTTTGGCTTTGTTTAGTATCCCTTCTAGAGCATCCTAAACAACAGCACTGAGAAAGGCCTCTGAGACCCAGAGTCAGCCGGGTAAAATGTGATTAGGAAGACACCAAGAATGCTGGATCCATCCCCATACAGTGACCTGGTCCATAGAAGCTGCTGGCGTCTCCCTCACACCTGGAGTGCATCCTGTACATCTCTGCCTGGGGAAATCCACTCATTGTTCAAGTCCATGTTCAAAAGGCCCCGTCAGAGTGAATCACTCCCTCTCATGTTCTCCTTATTGTACTCTTTTGAACTCTCACCCATCACAAATGTTAGGCTAGCCAATAGTTTGTGGGGGTTTTGTTTCTTTGTTTTTGCCAATAGATTTTTAGTTTGTCTGCTAACTTGGCTCAATTGGTAGTGACTGCCAGGTGATGGATTCTGAGTCTTAGCAGAAAGACTGCTGTCATTGATTAGTGATGCCTGCTGAGAGAGGCTGGGTGGTAACACAGGTATTGTATTAGTGAAGATGCTTTTGTAAGTAAAAAAAAAAAAAAGATGCTTGTAAGTAAAGACAGCCAACTCAAGGTAGCTTAAGCTGAAAATACCATTTATTATGAGGATACAAAGGTTTGTTACAGGTCTTAAAAGCAGAAAATGTGCTACAGCCAGACCTTGTGAGAGACTGGAGCCGGGAAAGCTATGGGCAACCAACTAGGTCCTCAGTGGTTGTCTATCCACGCTGGGCGCCGTAGCTCGCGCCTGTAATCCCAGCACTTTGGGAGGCCAAGGCGGGTAGATTACCTGAGGTCAGGAATCAGAGACCAGCCTGGCCAACGTGGTGAAACCCCGTGTCTACTAAAAATACAAAAATTAGCTGGGCATGGTGGCACACGCCTGTAGTCCCAGCTACTCAGGAGGCTGGAGCAGGAGAATGCCTTGAACCCAGGAGGCAGAGGTTGCAGTGAACCGAGATCGCGCCACCGCACTCCAGCCTGGGCGACAGAGCAAGACTCTGTCTCAATAATAATAATAATAATAATAATAATAATAACAACAACAATAATAAAAGTTGTCTTTCCTGCTGGGACCATATGCTCTCTCATCTTGACTTCTCTCTATACAACTGATTACCCACTTCCTATCTACAGACAAGCTCTCTTTGATTTTCCTTGCACAGGGTGGAAGATGGTCACGCAAGATCCATATTCATATGACCATCAGTCACATGTAGAGAAGGTCTCAGCTAGCCTAGCTTAAGTCAGTTACCTACCGCTGATCCAATCAACTATGTTCAGTGAGTGGGATTCCTTTATAACTAGGGGAACCCTATGTGAGAAGAGAGGAAACAGTTTTCAGGAAAAGAAGATCATCAAGGGCTGGACAGACCCTCTAAAAGGAAGCTCCTTTCTAATTATTCCATGTATCTGCGACCATACCTTGATAGTAGTAGCAGTGGCCATAGGAATAATAGCAGTAGCAATAGTGGTGATGATGGTGCCAGGAGCAAAGACAGATAAATTGAAAAAACTCAGACTTCCCTTTCGGGACTTGCAATCTAGGAGGGGAAAATGACTTAGACCCAACACAAACTTTGATAACTGTTGAAAAAGAAGTTCCTGGTAGGGACAGGATCATTGAGTCAAATCAGCCCACCACACTCCTTTGCTCTCTCTTCACCATTTCTTTCAGATTCCACACAAGATGGGACAATGCTTATTCATAAGCTTCATGATCACGTGGAGATTCAGACTTATGACCGAAAGTGAGAGCATCTTTTCACCTGTCCCCTCCCCCTGTGACTCCCACCCCTCCACAGCAGTGGAGTAGTTGCCCCAGCAACAGCTTGGAGCAGAGCACATTAGTTCGATATCCAGCCGGCCCTCTGCCCTCTCTCTTTGCCATCTCCCTGTCAAACGTTGTCACATCCTGGTAATTATTTTAAAAGAAAAGAAAAACTATAAGGATAAAGTCATACTGGAGCACAGGAAGCAATCAGTGGCCACCCTGATGTCATCAGGATGCCCATTTCCTTTCCCGCTAAGTGCCCTGCCCAGAAAGCGCATTAAGAATCATAGAATGGTGCCCTGAGCATTTCAGAGCTTTCATAAAAAGTCACAGCTCAGCTTGTGACCGTCTTGAAGGGATCAGGCCTGTGATTCCGTTTTCTTCCTCTCTTGCTTGCATTCACACTCTCTTAAAAAGCCCCAATGCCTATTTTTTGGTTTTCTAATCAGATGCTTGCAATTGGCACTTTTCCCTTTTTCCTTTTCCTGCTAAAATAACATAACTGTGTTTACTTGCCTGAACTAAAGGAAACTTCTATAAAAGAGCTGGGCGGGTATTCAGAGGACCAAGAACCTGAGCCCCCGATAACGGCAGAGCTGCAGGTGCAATAGCTCAGTGACAGAAATTTCCAGGAGAAAGGGCAGCTTTGAGGAGAGGTTGGTGACAGCCGTCACTGCCTGCTTGCAGCCTCCTTGCCTGATTGAAATATGGCTTCCCATACGTTACTGGGTTCCACATAAGAGGTTACCAGCTGTTTATCAGTTCACAAGCCAGGGGATTTTGCCCATCTGGCTACTCAGGGGAATCAAGGGTAGGAGACGGCCATCTGTCCCTCAGCCGTGGGTTACAGGAGAACCCTTCAACAAGACCGTCATTCATCCATTCTCTCACCCAATAACCATTTTTATTTTATTTTATTTTATTTTATTTATTTTTTGAGACAGAGACTCACTCTGTCACCCAGGCTGGAGTGCAATGGTGCAATCTCGGCTCATTGCAATCTCTACCTCCCAGGTTCAAGTGATTCTCCTGCCTCAGCCTCTGGAGTAGCTAGGATGACAAGGGTGTGCCACCACCCCTGGCTAATTTTTGTATTTTTATTAGAGATGAGGTTTCACCATGTTGACCAGGCTGGTCTCGAACCCCTGACTTCAGGTGATCAACCTGCCTCGGCCTCCCAAAGTGCTGGGATTAGTTACATGGGTGGCATGAGCCACCGTGCTCGGCCCAATAATCATTTATTGACATCCCTGCTGGCCAACCCTGCTCCAGGGCTCTCCTCTCAAATAGGCAGCTTGTTCTTTCTTGCTCTGACCACCAGACTTCTGGCTTGAAGGATAGTTTAGGTCTATAAATGGCCTTGACCTTGCAGACCTCTGTTCTCACCTCTATGTAAAATGGCCATCGTGCTTGCCATGGAACTGCCTCAAAGTGGCCATGAGAATCCAAGGACTCCTTATTTTTCTCCAGACCTAGGAATGTGTCTAAGTTCTGATGCATGTCATTTGGGGAGTATTAAGATCACCTGTTATATTGCCAAAGTTCAAATTCCCACCTGGTTACTACCAGGAGGGAATTGGGGGAGATTTTTGCAGCAAATTCAGCTGCCCCAGAGTGAGAAGAATAACCCAGAAATGCCTTGCCAGGTTGAAAAGTGCTGTGAAATGTGGTTGAAAACACAATTACTGTCTCTCAGGCAGGGCAGCTAATATATGAGCATGGTTGGACACTGCCTTTTATCACCTTGACTGCTGTTTCCCCAGAGCTGCATCCAGGTAGAACCATTCAGCTCCATGCTCCCTTTTTCGTTTCAAAGTGTTCCATTTTAATGAAACAGATATGAGGTCAGGGAACAGAAGTCACTTAAGAAGTAAATGCATATGCAAACCACTGTGTAACTCACTGCAATTGAAAATGCAGTAAAACCTTGATTAAGTGTACCCCAAGTAACCAGAACTCTCAATTAACTAGGATTTATTTCTTAGAATTCTGCTTTTAGGGAAAAAGTGTATGAGAAAAGGGAGAAAAAAAAATGTCCTCTCAGAATTTTTTTTAAACTACTTCCAAGGTCTGCCTGAACTCAATCTACCTTCTACCTAATCTCCCTTTCCTTCTTCACATCCACCTGAAAACCTACAGGATGAAAGCTGATGTCCAGAGTGATCATCCTAAAATGTATAATGTCTGTTTGACTCTCTCGTTTTACAGAAGAGGGCCTGAGATCAAGAGGTGCAGTTACTTTCCCTAAGACACATAGCTGGGGGTAACCAGAAGCAAAGTCCCTTAGGTGCTCGTCAAATGCTACAACTGTGGCATGCCACCACCCCCAACATTAGCTGCCCAATCTTGGGTAGTCACTGAAATAGTTGCACATGAGCTAAAACCCGGAGAAGAAATAATGAGAGGGACTCAGCCAGATGATATCATTATCCAGGCAGCTGTGACCACATTACCCATCAGGTCAGTACCATCTGACTTTGGGACAGCAGTTGAACAGTAGCCAGAATAAAGTGCAATGGCCATTTAAATTAGCCACCCTTTGGGTTTTGGTTATAATAAACAAGGTTATTAATCTTTTTCTCTTTTTTTTGAGATGGAGTCTCGCTCTGTCGCCCAGGCTGGAGTGCAGTGGCGTGATCTCAGCTCACTGCAAGCTCCGCCTCCCGGGTTCACGCCATTCTTCTGCCTCAGCCTCCCAAGTAGCTGGGACTACAGGCACCTGCCACTACGCCCAGCTAATTTTTTTTGTATTTTTTTAGTAGAGACGGGATTTCACCATGTTAGCCAGGATGGTCTCGATCTCCTGACCTCATGATCTACCCGCTTTGGCCTCCCAAAGTGCTGGGATTACAGGCGTGAGCCACCGCGCCTGGCCGAAGCCTATTAATCTTTTAAAAATTTTAAAAACCAAGATGCTGCCTGGCATGGCCTCCTAGTGAAGACTTTTCTGACTTACCTGGGCAGTTTGTTGCCTCTTCTATGAACTCCTGTGGTTACATCAAGATGAATCTCTGTGTGTGTGTTTTTTTTGTTTTTTTTTAATCACTGCTGCCCTTAAGGCCAGGCTTAGAATAGGCAGTCACTTACATAGCTGGATTGTGGGCCATCAGGAGGACAGCCCTGTCTCTGCTCTGGCCTCAAATATTCACTTTTTCTTGCTCAGCCTTAGAGGTGTCTTAAATTCCACTCCGAGTCATTCATATAAACTTTTTGGATTTCAGCAGATCTGGGCCAGTCCTGAGCCTGCTTACCCTCAGATGCCCTCAGATATCTTCCCTGCTCTGCATGTTGGGGGCTGCCCTGCCAGTGGCATTGCCAGTAGGCTTCTGGCTAGGCTTGGCCAGGGGGAGGGCTAGAGCGAGCTTGAGGCAGGAGGTCAGGAAGAAGGGAGAAACCGGGTATCTTCCCCCTACCACCACATCAGGTGGCATCTCCACCACGGCTGAGTCTACTCTGTGGGCCCAGCTCCCTTACCCTAGTTCGGGCACTGGCAGGAAAGCCCAGTCAGTGCTCTGTTAATACAGTCTCCCCTCTTCTACTCTCACAGCTTTCTGTTGTTAATCGTGAGTTCCCTCACATGAGTCCCCACATTACATTCTCTCTGTTGAATTACCTGGTCCTGACTGGCCCCCGGGCACTTGCAGGATCCCTGTAGAAATGCAAAACCCCTGTATGCCTCCATCCTCAGTGTTTAGTGGAAGTATACCAGGGTATTTCATGGCTTTCCTTCGGCAAGCAAGGCTCAGCAAAAGTTTGATCTATCAGCCTTTATCTACCGATAAAAACCTAGAGTTAATCAGTCAACCAAAAAGCCAGTTAAAGCAGAGATCAGAAACCAAAGCTGCATGAATAACTTACAAATCTTATTTTAACTTCGCACTTAGAAATGTACACTTCTCCACCAGTCTTTCGAGGTGGGTCAAGGCCTTTCATCTGCATATGAGTCTAGTGGTTAGGGTTCCCCCTCTATTCTTCTGGCGTAAACCATCCCCATAAGGACTCTTCTGTGGTTTCTAGAATGGATTTATTAAAGTGGTATGAGAACTTAAAGACAGATGCAAAGCGTATTTGAGTGCAAAATCCTTCTAGGTTTCCAGTTTGCTTTCCAATATTGTATTATCTCCTCCACACCCAATTCAACAGCATTTTTTAAGTGATTCACCTTTGAGTATATCAATTTAGTCTGCATGAAAACTTCAACTTGCTTTCTTTTTGTACTTCGATTTCATCAGTTTACATGATATTTAAATTGTGAAGAACAATAACCAGTACAACTGGCATAAACAGGTTTGGGCCCAGCGCAGCTGCTCCTTACCAGGCATGCAGCTCAGCTAATGGGTACAGGGGCGTTGGGGCATACCAGGGCAAGGCTGGTAGCCTCCAGGGTTCACAACGTGTTAAGTTCATTACATTTGCCAAGGGGATGGGAAGTGTTGACTAATGCTGTGAGCCTAGTAAGTGGAGATGGCACTCCTCCTGTAATTTCCGCCAGGGCTCTGTGTCTGGAAGTGTCGACCCACTATGGAGAAACAAGCACTTGGGCTGATTGGGTGGATGGTGCCCTTATTATTGCAATATCAGCATGTTAATGATTCTATGATTGACATAGAATCTATGCTGCCACAGATTCTATGATTGACATCCACACCCTGCATCTTTGCCAAGGTTCTTCTTCCTGTGTCCTCATCTCTCCACCACTTGACCCAGGACTGGAGGAGTTGGGTGTGAAGAGAAGCACTGGCCTAAGTGTGAATACACAGAGCACTGGACTCTGCCAAATGGGATAAACGGAGGCCACCGAGTGGCCTCTGAAGGTATCATTGGACAATGATGAAGTGGCACCTTTCTTAAGGACCCACAGTGGGTGAGATGGGCAGAGTCTTCCAGCCCAGAACTCAGAAAACATCAGTAGGGTCCTGTCAGGAAGATTAGAGCTCTGGCCTGCTAGACTCTGCCTCGCTGTCCGAAGCTGTCTCCTCACCTGCACAGTGAAGGAGCTGGGCCAAGCAGTCCTAAGAGTTCCCTCAGCTGTTACAGCCAATGTGTCTAAAAGCTCTAATAAATGAGACCCACCCTGGAAATGCTTACAGTCATGAGCTGTCCGATACAATAACCATGAGCTGCCTGTAGATATCAAGTGCTTGAAATGTGAACACCCCAAGTTCTGATGCACTGTGAATGTAAAATGCACACTGGATTTCAAAAACTTAGTTTAAAAAAGAACATACTATTTCTTATTATTGATACATCTCAAAACAATATTTAGGGCCAAGCATGGTGGCTCATGCCTACAATCCCAGCACTTTGGGAGGCCAAGATGGGAGGATCACTTGGGGCCAGGAGTTTGAGACCAGCCTGGGCAACATAACAAGACCCTGTCTCTCCAAAAAAAAAAAAAAAAAAAAAAAAATTATCCGGGCATAGTGGCACATGCCTGTAGTCCCAGCTACTCGGGAGGCTGAAGTGAGGATCATTTGAGCCCAGGAGTTTGAGGCTGCAGTGAGCTATGATCACACCACTGTACTCCAGCCTGGGTGACAGAGCGAGACCCTGTCTTTTAAAAAAAAAAAAACAGAAACACCAATATTTGGCATATATTGGATTAAAATATATTGTTAAAATTAGTTTCCCTTTTTTTTCTTTTCCTTTTTATCATGGCTACCAGACAATTTTTAAATTGCATAGGTGGCTCACAGTGTATTTCTATTGGACAGTTCTGTTCGAGAGAGAAGCTGCACAAAGAGATAACCAGCACTCAGGCCACCTCTGCTTCAGGAGTTAAGAGAGGAAAGAGCACTGTGGGCTGGAGTCATCTGACAAGGGGTTGGAGGCAGTGGAACTGGAAGGTAGATGGGTCTGATTCTGGTAAGACAGGCAAGGGGTGGGTCTGTCTGGCCTGGGTCCAGCACAGTGGGGAGCAGGATCCCATCCTGCAGCCAAGTGCCTGGCCGGACAACTTTTCTGGAAGTGAAGGCTTTGGTAGGGACCATGGGAAGTTAAGGCTGGACAGATAGGCCTGGGTCATGCTGAGCATTCAAGGTCTCAGCCTCTGTCCACTTCCCCAGGACTCATCCCCAGTCCTCTGCTTCTCTCTTTGTTGGTGCTGATGCTCAGCCCAGCTAGAGGCCCACAGCAGGGAGAAGTAGCTGACGGAGGACTTGGTTTGTTCTTCCTGCCTTGCTTGTCTATAAGGCCTGCAGACAGCAATTGTTCAGGAAAGTGCAGGATCGCATCTGGAAGTCTGTAGGTGTCCTTGCAAAGGACTTTTAACTCCCTGGGCAAGAATTCCCTTTGATAGCGATTGGAACCCCAGGATTAGGCAGGAGAGCCAAGCACCGAAGCCCCCTGGTAGAGCTCTGCCACACACACGCCACCCGTGTCCCTGGCACTCACACCTCATTTGTCCTTGGTACACAGCAACAGTCCCTGTGACTGGCCCAGCACCTGCTACGCTCTCACCTTTCCCTTTTATGATCTGAGAAAATCCGGGGACTCACAGGAAAAACCACATGCTGTCTCTGGCTGTGGGTGTTTTCCTGGCACTTCCCGCGATGGGTCCCACCTTATGGGAACCTTCCTGAGCACTGGCCTCTGGCCAAGGGTGGGAAGGGCATGGAACTACCCACCTCACTGCCCTGCCACGGACCACACTCCCACCTCCTTCACCCAGTTCTGAATCCCAGAACTATCCTTGCTGGTCTTGGGAAGAGAGGAACGCTATGAAGGGCCAGTGTCAACCCTGCGTGATCGGCAGCCTCACCCAGCGGGCTTTTAAACCATAGCCAGGCCTGACCCCATCTCCAGAGTCTGATTAATTAAGCCACAGCAGCCAGTTTGTTTGTTTGTTTGTTTGTTTAGGCTTTCTATCATGGAGAATAACTGTTTAGATTCAAGACAAAACTTTATCATCTTGCACCTCAAAGTGTGGCCCTTGAACCAGAAGCATCTGGTGTCACCTGGAAGCTAATCAGAAATGCAGACTTTTAGGCCCTACCCCATTCCTCTTGAGTCAGAATACACATTTTAGTGAGAGCCCCATGTGAGCGGTGTGCGTAGTACCATGTGAGAAACTCCACTGGAGTGGACATCAGAATCGCCCGGGGAGTTGGGGCAACTGGAAATCTAGGGCCCCACTTTCTGAACCTGACTCTTCTTTTTTTTTTTTTTTTCGAGATGGAGTCTTGAGTCTCGCTCTGTCACCCAGGCTGTAGTGCAGTGGCGTGATCTCGGCTCTCTGCACCCTCCGCCTCCCGGGTTCAAGCGATTCTCCTGCCTCAGCCTCCCAAGCAGCTGGGATTATACAGGCGCCCACCACCACACCCGGCTAATTTTTTGTATTTTTAGCAGAGACGAGGTTTCACCATGTTGGCCAGGCTGGTTTTGAACTCCTGACCTCAAGTGATCCACCCGCCTCAGCCTCCCAAAGTGCTAGGATTACAGGCGTGAGCCACTGCACCCGGCCTAAACTTGACTCTTAGAAGTCCATGGTTGGGAGCAGGAAGCCTCACTCAATCAGCAATTCAGATTATTCTAATTAATTGGAATAATTAGTTTAGGGCTTTGTCTTTTCAAAATAATTTTCTCTCCTGTGTGATCAGTAAACCGGGCTCAGGGAGGGTGCATGCACACTGCCACCAGGTAAGCTGTGGTTTCAATTCAGCACTCTTGCATCCAAGTATCTTTAGTGGCTGCCCATTGCCTACCAAATTAAGGTCAAATTCTGCAGCCTCGCATTGAGGAAGCTCCCTAATTTGACCCCCTGCCCACTGCCAAGTCCACACCCATAATTTCCTTCTTTTTTTTTATTTTTATTTTTTCTGAGACAGAGTTGCACTCTGTCGCCCAGGCTGAAGTGCAGTAGCGCAATCTCTGCTCACTGCAACCTCCACCTTCCAGGTTTGAGCGATTCTCGTGCCTCAGCCTCCTGAGTAGCTGGGATTACAGGTATGCACCACCACACCCGGCTAATTTTTTTGTATTTTTAGTAGATACAGGGTTTCACCATGTTGGCCAGGCTGGTCTTGAACTCCTGACTTCAAGTGATCCACCCACCTTAGCCTCCCAAAGTGCTGGGATTATAGGTGTGAGCCACTAGGGCTGGCCAGTTTCCTTCTGTTAATGTATCCAACCAGCCAAAATGGAACCACTTGATCGGCTGAGCGCATTGTCTATATTCATTTTTTTGTTCCTTTGTTTATACAGTTGTGTTTTTTTGTTTCTTTGACTAGAATGTATATCCTGCTCCTTCTCTGCCTAAAACTTATCCATACCTAAATATTGTTCATCCCTCAAGGCCTGTTTCTTTGACAGCCCAGACTTAGAGCAATGTGTCCCTCCTTTGAGCTCCTGAAGGGCCAGCTGAAGACTCTGTCATTTGGTTGGTGGAGGCCAAGGTAACTGGAGTCTATGGAGTCCTTGCTTACTTCGGGGGGCCTGAGTTCTTTCTCCCCTGTTAGACTGTGACACTAAGCAAAGCCACAGACGAAAGCTTTATGCTTTTATTGTGGCACTGCTGTCTTCCTGACCCCCTTTAGCACTGTGGCTTGTGCATGGTCAGGGCTTTGTCGATATTTGATTGAAGGTGGATATGGAGGATAAAATTTGGGTTACAGGGGTGTTAGTGTGATGCTGATCACATACACTTGTGTACTTATGTATTCATATAAAGCTACTGTTTTAGTCTTTTCAAAAGTAAGCACTAGCTTTAAAGAGTGAAAGGAAAGAATGAGGTTAAATGGAGGAAAAGGCTAAAGCAATTCAGGAAGAAATAAGAAAAATATGGAAAAATGCCCCCCCCCCCCACCCACTTTTAAAAGTAAGTAACCATCCTTTATTTGTTATTTATTTTAGAGAAAGGGTCTCGTTCTGTTGCCCAGGTGAGCCTGGAGTGCAGTAGTACAGTCACAGCTCACTGCAGCCTCAAACTCTTGGGCTCAAGAGATGTTCCTGCCTCAGCCTCCCAAGTAGTCGGGACTACAGGTACATGACACCGTGCCCAGCTAATTTTTTTTTCTTTTTAATTTTTTTCTAGAGATGGGGTTGTGCTTTATTGCACCGGTTGGTCTTAAACTCCTAGCTTTGGAGGATTTTTCCTGCCTCAGCCTCCCCAGGCGTGGGGATTACCACAAGAGTGATTACCATGCCTGGCCATAAATGCCTCCTTTGGCCTCTGCCAGACCAGGGTCACAGCTCTGATCACTTGGAATCAAATCTGAGAAGTGGGAGAGTAATGAGCATAAGAACATAGCTTATTGGGAATGCAAAAGGTCTGTAAGTCTCCCTGGCCCTAGCCAGCAGGAATTGTGTTTTAAGGGAACACTGTGTTCAACATTTTCACATTCTCATAGAAACTCCAGTGTCTTACTTGTCATGAGACAACACTGGAGCTTTCCTGCCTCTTGCCTTTGTTCATAGAATTCAGATGCCCTCCTTGCTTTTGGATGCTCTCATTGCCTTCTCCAGGCCCAGGAGCACAGTGAGCACTCAATAGCAGGCAACCAAGGCTGAGGATCCAGTGCTGGAAGACTTGAAGTCAGTTTCAACCTCTCCTACTAACTATGTGCACAATCCTGGGCAGATCACCTCACATTTCTGACTTTCAGTGTTCTCATCTGGAAAATGAGGATCATTATAGTTACTTCTCAGAATCGCTGGGAGGAGTTACTGAAAAACAATATATGTTAACCCTTTAGCACAGCGCCTTGTAGGAAGTAAGCACTCAACAAACGGTAGCTATTATTATTAATATTTGCAAAATGGGAATAACAAGGCCCACTCCAGCACAGAGTTCGATTAAATAAATTGTATTAAATTTAAATAAGATGGTAAACATACAAGCGTTTGCAAAGTTTAAAGCCTGTTGCACATCACACATTCGTTCACTTAACAATAAGTACTAAGCCTGCTCAGCCTGCTGCAAGAAGATCAAGGACACACAAGGCAGAGCCCTCAGAATCCAGGAAGGGAGATAAAGTTCACATGCATCTGCAAGGCTGCAGAGAAGGAAAGATGATTTCTCCCTGAACAGGCGGTACTCTTTACTGAGAACCCTGAAGTGTGGGTTCCATTGTGGTGGATGAGACAGGACTCTGGAGGGGATGAGAGTAGGAAGGCATTCCAGGCAACAGAGAGGCTTGTGTGAGCAATGGGACCATACACGGGGTGTTAGGGAAACAGAAAATGATCTAGATTATGGAACATGGGGTGCCGCTTTACAGGGCAGTAGGTAGAAATGCAGGCTCTGGAGCCTGCCTTCTGAAATTCAGTTTCAACTCTACCATCTCCTAGCTGTGTGACCTTGAGTATATTTCTTAACCTCTCTGTGCCTCAATGTCCTCACCTATAAAATGGGGATGATAATAATAGTATCTACCTTATGAGGTTGTTGTGAGGATTAAATGAGATAATACATACTCTTGGATCTGTACAGTGGGGCACAGTCTAAGAACTTGGTGATTTCTTCCTGTGGTTAGTGGGGAACAGCAGAGAGAAAAAGAAAAGCCCAGGAAGCAGGCAGGGGCAGAATGAATGCCAGGTTCAGGAACTGTCCTTCATGACGAAGGTGGGGACCTGTCAAAGGTGATTGAACAAGAGAATGACATGATCCAAGTTGCTTGTAAGAAGATGAGTCAGCCAGCAATGTTCAGAGTAAGCCAGCTCAGGGAGAGAGGAGAGGTGGCTCCGCTGCCCAGCCTGTGGCTGAGATGGCCTAGGCATGGTCAGGCAGGGATCCTGGAGAAGGAACCAGAGCCCCTCAGAGGCCTCCCACCAGAGCCACAGTCACTGAATCTGCTGCTGGAGCCAGGCAGGGCCCCTGGCCAGGCAGGGAGGGGTCTCTGAAGATTCCAGACATTTATTCGTCCCAGAGTCTGTGTGGTCACCATTCCTTACAGTGAGCCCAAAGCCCAGTTCTTCATGACCAACACTCAGTTTTCCCCTGAAGATATTTACTATTAGATAATATTGATAGCTAATGTTTATTGAGTACTTCCTGCCAGCCAGGAATTGTTCTAAGTACTCATAGTATTAACTCTTTTAATCCTCACAACCCTAGGATGTAGAATTGACTCATACTCCCCACTTGACAGAGGAGGAAACTGAGGCACACAGACGTTCAGTCACTTGCTCAGAGTCACACAGCTAATGAATAGCAGAGCAGGGATCCAAACCCTGGTCTAGGGCTGCCTTTTCACATCTTCTACTCCTTGTCAGTTCATGTTTGTCAGGCAGAAAAAAATCATGTCTTATTTGAGCCTGTGACAAACGTCTCTAGTGAGGAGACTTCTCCTGGGGGAGAGGTAATGGGCCCCTTTGGGTAGGCACCACAAGGTAAACATGCTTGGGTGACGAAATGGGGCCTTTCCCTCCCTCTTGCTCACCCTCCTCTCCCCAGCATACTCCCAGCTCTACCTCCAAAGCCTGCTCTCAGGACAGAGCCTAAGGCCCCTTGAAAGCAAGGTCTGTGTCTTCTTCGCCTTTTTACCTACCCCCACCCGCCCTGCCGTAAAGCCCAGCAGAGGACCAGGCTCAAGGTAGGCCCTTGAGTTCAGCTGAGTTGATCTGGATGAACTCATCCATACTGAGATGTAATTGACTGATAAGATGTTAATGACACCATTCCCGGGGGCTGGGCATTTTAATGTGGGCTAAAGTACAGGTTTGGCTTGCCCCAAAGGAATGAAGGTTTGATTGTGGAATGATGGGCATCAGTCAGCGGGGAAGCTTCAGGGGTCAGTAGGAGTGACAGAGGTTCACTGAACAGAGGTTCAGACAAAGGGGTTCGGGTGACAGAGTCCCTCTCTGGCTCCCAGATACCATACCCCATACAAGCAGCCACCATTTCTGTCTCTGCCTTGCCAAGTGCTTCAAACTCAACATACTTACTAGGTCCTGAGGTGCATGAGACCCATGCTAACCCCTGAGGAGGGCAAGAAGTGGGTGGGAAGGCCCAGCACTGGCCCGGAGGGTTGAGGAAGCCAGGCTGGGCCACACTGGGTCTGAATCTGTGTAAACACCAGCCACGGGGGCCAGGGTAGGGGTGATAGGGCGAGTGGGGCCTGCCTGAGTCACTCACTCCTCCGTGGCTCACAGGCATACTGTGGGTCCAGGTTCATGCTGGATGCCCCAGAAAAGTGCAGACATGCCCAGTGGAGTCAGGTCAGAGGAGCAGAGGAGCTGCAGGGACCTCAAGAGCCACCTGCCGCCACTGCTGTGAGTCAACCCAGAGCTAAAGATGGCCGCTTCCTAATATGACAAGTGAAATGAAATAGAGTGTGATGTGAAACTTACTCAAAACAACAGGGCGAAGAGACCTAAGCCCCCATCGTGGGGAGGGGATGGCATATCATCTGGCAGGACCTCATTTCTGCAGTCCCCCGACCTCTGGCCCCTGATCTTTGCTCCCCACTGCCCCGCCTTCCTCTGACCCAGGGTGAGGCCTCGGAAGGCTGAACCTTCCCTGAGACCTTTCATTCTCTCCTTAGTTGCTCCGGGGCTAGGAGACGTGCCCCACTGCTTCCTTCCTCAACACCACCCTTCAGCACAGTGGGACACCCACCCAGGGGTAATGGAAAAGGAAGCTGGGTGCAGAGGAGGCCTCATGCCTGCAGAAGGTTCTGGTAGTTTCCTTCGGTGTGGAAACCTTCCATAGGCACAAGGGAGGAGGCTGTCCCTGCGACGACCCTGGAGAGTCGGTCTCAGGTCGTGTTTAAAGGCCTGCTTCAACCAACAGGATTGGAAGTTCACCAAATGGGTCCACTGAAGCTCTTCCTTTCTTCAGGGACAAGATAGGAGGGGAAAGTAAGTTCCTAATATGGGTTGCTAAAATAAGGCCCTTTATAACCTCATAATCAGAAGGAACAAAGGAGTTTCCTTACCCAGCCACCATTTACAGTCAGGGGAACTTCTTTAATTTCATTTTTTTAAGGGCACTGAAATGGATTTTGCTGCTGTATGGAGCAGTAAAGCCCCATTATGACAAATTCCGTTACAGAGAAGCATTCAGTGATTAGAGATTTCCATGTCCCAGCAAATGGCCTATGGAAACAGGGCTCTGTGAGTGGGGTCAGACACAAACTTTGCACCGCAGCCTCCTCTAGTCCTTCTCTCTGTCTCCAGCGTACCCTTCCCTTAGATGGAGAGAAATGCTTTGCATTTATTTTGCTGCCTCTGTATGAGGAGGTGTGGGATGGGTGAGGAGGGGTAGGGTGGGTGAGGACAGGCAGGGGACGAGGGGCTAAAGAGAGAAAGAGAGATGAAGGAATACTGTGGAGGGAAGAAAGCTGGTCTGCAACTGAGGCTTCTAGATTGTTAGTTTGGCATCAATTACAGCCCCTCGGGATGTTGGTTCTAGAGGGCTACTTGGAAATCAATCATTTAAGGCAGTGTTTTTCAAACTGCAAGTGATGCTCTATTATGGATAGTTTGATCAATCTAGTAGGTCATAGCGCTAGCTTTTTAAAATTAAAAAAAGAAAAGAAGAATAGAATAGAAAATAACATGCATCATATGTAGTTAGAGTAAGTATTATTCAATACTTTTATTTCAGGTCTTCACACGCAGATGTATATCCTGGTCATGAAGAAAAATGTCATAGCGGGTTATAGTTGGGAAAAGTTTGGTGAACACTGATCATGTCTCCCAATACCTAGATTTTCATTTTAAGAACACTGAGGTACAGAGAGGGAAAGCCACTTGTCCAAAATCAACCAACTCATGAAATTTGCATCCAGGACATGAGGCCTGACTTCCAGGCCAGACCTCATTCACCCAGCAGTTTCCCACATCAGATCCTTCCTGTGGAGGGCAGTTGAAGTGTACATGTGGCTCTCCATCAAAGCAACCTGCTCTAGGCCTTGCTCTAGGCCTCTGACTCTCAGTTTTCTCATCTCTAAAATGGGCCCATACCCACCCAGCAAGGTCATTGTGAGGATGATGAGATTACATAAAACTCATGCCCAGCGCACGGGAGGTACTCAGAGTCTGCTGTTTGCCTTACTTTCTCTCCTTTCCAGATACCTGGAGCTTCTCCCTTTCCCTGGGGTAAAATACATAGACATATATTACAATTCCCCTAACTTGTGCCTCGACACAAGCAAACATCCCAGAGAGAAGGCAGTGACCTGTGCCTGCCTGCACACACCTCCTACCTTGTCAGGCAGTTCCAGCATTGCTTTGAGCCCGTTGCTTCCCTGCTGAGGGCCTGGGTGACAGCTCCGTCTCATCTTGGGTTCCTGCAGATAAGGAACAGGACTTCGGTAATGTAGGTGGGTTGAAAATACCCAAGATGACTAACAATTTGATCATTCCCAGGCACCATTGTGGAAGTTTTACCTGTATTCTTACCTGCAGAGAAAAATGATGGCTCAGATCTCATGCTCAAGATGTTCTTACATTCTGTTGCCCTATGATAAGGCTCAGCGTGTTGGAATCTTCTCCAAATAGGCTGTGCAAGGGGACAGTGTATAATTTTGTGAAAAACAAATGCTTTATGGGGACTGTTTTAATTTCAACTCACTTGGAACACCCCCAAGTCCCCAAACCATTGTGATAAGGACCAGTTTTCTTCCTCTTGGCCTCCTCTAATGCGTAGACCAACACTGTCCTATAGAAATATTGTGCCAGCCACATACTGACTTTAAAATGTTCCTCATAGTCACATTACAAAAATACAAGTTAACATTAATTTTTGCAATATATTTTAACTCAGTATATCTAACATATCATTTCAACATGTAATTCATATAAAAATTATTAATGCTATATCTATCTTTTTTTTTGGTACTAAATCTTCAAAATCCAGTGTCTATCTTCCACTTGCAGCTCATCTCAGTTTGAGCAGCTACATTTCAAGTGCTTAATAGCCTCGTGTGGCTAATGGCTTCCAGGTCACACAGCACAAGCAGAGTCTTCTGCACATGGTAGGAGTTCAAAACATTTTGCAGAACTTAATTTGATGCTGGACCCCTGTTGAACCTCAGGAGGCACGTTAAGATCTGAGGATTGGGAACTGAAGGAAAAGAAGGGAGAAAGGCCTTGATGGTGGTATTGTAAAGAAATCACTTAGAGGGAGGCTGAGGCAGGAGAATGGCATGAACCTGGGAGGCGGAGCTTGCAGTGAGCTGAGATTGCACCACTGCACTCCAGCCTGGGCGACAGAGTGAGACTCTATCTCAACCAAAAAAAAAAAGAAAAAGAAAAAGAAAAAGAAAAAAGAAATCATTTAGAATGAGCAAAACCACAGCCTTTAAAACAGCCAGGAACTGCCTCCCCTTCCTGGGCTACATCAGACTTGTCTGTTGGTCCTGACATGGATGGTACAACAGGTGTCTAGAATCAGAAAACCTGAGTGCAAGGTGCAGACTCGATGCCCCATGCTGAATGGTCATGGGGCCAGTTGCAGGATCCAAGCTATGCTAAGCCTCCCTGGAAGTTTGGCTGTTGACTGTCTGGAGACTGAGAGATGGCCTCCTGATGTCTCATTTTCATCACAGGTAGGGTTTCCACTTCCCTTCTCAAAGATTTGCATCAAGAAGAACTAAATTTTAGCTTTTGTTACTCATCCATTTCAAGGAATTTACCCCCAGTAATGGGAGAAGCTCCATGGTGTCTTTGCAGGGAGAGCTGTATGGCTGGCCAGTGTCAGGCTCCCAGGGAAATTTCAGTGATGCTTGATGAGAGAGATCAAACCAGGGGTGAGTGAGGAAAGAATACACGAATCTCAAGTGGGGAAAAGAAGCAGGAAGCACGTGGGCTTGCCCGGGCTCTCTACAGTGGCAGGGGCAGAGGGAGAAAGATGAGCAGGTGGACAGCCAGACCCAGGGGAAACCTGGGGCTCTCGGGTTGCCTGGCCTCATGGGCTCTGGGGTTGCCTGGCCTTGTGGGCTCTGGAGGCTTGCCCAGGCCTCACTGTGTGCAGCCCCAGCAGGACCAGCCAAGCTCACAGTGGCTGGTGTCAGGACAGCCCAGTTCATGTCACATGGTGCCACATCAGCCACTAACCTACATAATAGACCCCATGTGAGGGCACTTCAGAGCTTGAAGGGGAAGTGCAGAGACCATTCCTTCCTTTACAGATGCAGAAACAGAGGCCCACAGAGGTGAAGCAGCTTGACGGGTTAGATGGAAAGTAGAAGGATGCCTAGGAATTGGAAACTCCAGGTGCCTGCTCCTTCTGTCATGCACATTAATTAGAGCATTGTTTGTGGCTCTCTTAGCTTCGCCTTAATGAGAGTCAATACATGAAAAATATGGGCTTACACTGGGACCCACAGAGAAATAAGGATGTGAAATGAGAGGGTACAAGTGAACACCCAAATGCCGTGTCGCTTGTGGGCAACTTGGATCTGGCAGGGTGCTGTCTGCACTCAGATATCCAGAGTCACACATGGGTCTGTCCAGGTACTAGAGGGCTTGGATACAGGAATCAGGACGGTGTGGGCTGAGGTGACTGAAGTGTTAAGAGTGACAGCAGGCTGGCTCAGAAGCCCTTGTACTCCATGCAGGGCTGATCCCATCTGGGGCTGTCATCCTTCAGCTGATGGAGACATTGAATGTCACTCCCCCACCAGGCGGGCCCCAAAGGCGCCATTCTGCTGTCAGTGGGCTTGCCAGAGTGTGGTAACGTCTGCTCCCTGTGCTGAGGAGCAGTGGTGTCGTTAGCACAGACTCATGTGCTGCTGTCAGAGGAGTGGAAAGCTGAGGAGGTGGCCCCATGCCCTGCAGTCCCTGGGCACTTGCCCACTGGCCCACAGACTAGGCTCTTCTTGCTGGCTGAGGTGCCAGTGCTCGGTCCCCCTGGAAGTGGACCTATGTCCCTCTTCCCCGGCTCCCCTGTAGCCTCCCAGGAAGCAGGTCCTAGAGGCTACATCATACCCCACGAAGTGGAATGGCAGAACTGCAAGAGCCAAGGCCTTTCCAGCGGGCTGGAGCCCACCCCTTCTCTTTTGTGAAGGCAGTTTTGCTAAGAGTATGGGTCTGGAGGGGCTCTGATGGGTGAGCTGGCTGCCTTCTCCTTAGGCCATTGTGGCCCCTAAAGCCCAGCCAGCTTCATCCTCTCTGCTTTGGCGAGGAGGTGCTGATGTAGCCAGGAGGGGAGGGGTTAGGAAATGAAGTGGCCAGTACCCCACGATCCCACTGCAGTTGAGTTTGTCCCCTCCAATGAGGTGGACCCTGGGCCCATTTATTCTGACACTTTGTTCCGCAGGATTCTTTGAATCTCTGAGATGGGATAGTGGGTGCCTCCCTTTCCAGAATAGGTAACACTTTAAAAAATTGGGCACAAATGTTTTATTTCACTTATTCAACAAATATCTGGTGCCTACTATGTACAAGAGACACTGTGCTGGGCACCATGGACCCCATAATAAGGGCAACGAGTCATGACTTACCTGTGGTTGAACTGAAAAATGCCACTGGCCCCTTGGCATCTGGCCATACATCATATCGTGACGCATGTATGATCCCAAACAAGGCAGAGAGCCATCTGAGGCCTCAGTTTACCAATCTGTAAAACTGGAATAATTGATCTTTAAGTTCACCCCAGCTCTAGAAATTCTATAATTCCTCACAGCAATCCACTCCTAGGCATATACCCAAAATAAATGAAAATGGGTACTCAAACAAATACTTGTACATCAACATTCACAGCAGCGCTATTCACAATAGTCAAAACTAAACCGAATGTCTATCAATGAATGAATGAATGAATGAATGAACAAATTGTGATATATGCATTCAGTGGAATATTATTTAGCCATTAAAAATGAATGAAGCACTAATACATGCTACAACATGGATGTACCTGGAAAACATCATGCTAGTGAAAGAAGCCAGACACAAAAGGTTACATGTTGTATAATTTTATGGGCTCTGTGGATCAAGAGGACAAAGTCCATCATTAACTTGAACTAAGCTCCTGCCAAGCCCAGAGCCCCCCACCCTGCTACCTGCCTATGGGTTCTTGCATCTTCTCTGCTTTGGAAATTAGTGGCTCTCTCTACCACTCTGGTGTGAGAATGGAGGTTCTCCTGTAGCTTTCAGTTAGTCGGGGCAGTGCTCACCACAACCCTTGGAGCCCCCAAGCATCCCACGACTGCTCCCCAGTACACCCAACTCACTCTTCTTATGCTGGGCCTGCTGCACCGATGCCCTCAAGGCTGACCTGATGCTGCCGGTGGAGTGTGAGCCAAGGTGCCAGTACCAAGGTTGAGGGTACCCTGCCCATCCTGAAGGTATGCCCCCCAGAGGCAGCAGAGGTCCTGGGGCCACACCATGTTCTCTGCAGAGTCAGACAGCCACACTTTCCCACCTTTGTGCTGCCACCAAAGGGGCCTTGCATGTGTGTCTCGGAGATGTTAGACACAGAACCTTTGGATTTTCCTGGGCTCTCTCCCGGTAGGATCCTTTCCCTTGTACAGGACCTGATATATTGCAGGAGCTTGAGAATTATGTGTTGTGTAACTGAATGAGTGAATGAATGATGGGTATTTGGAATCATGCGAGATAAGCCAGAGGGCCATCTTAGTGACAAATCTCCCATCACCTCCAACCCTGAGGGGTCTGAGTCTCTAGCTTCTGGCCTTCTACTCCACCTGTCTTGGGGAGAGTCATGGTATGGGGGGCAGCTTGTTCCTTCATGCAACAGATGCTTGGCTGCCTGCCCTCCCCCCCACCCCAAGACTCTCCCTCATGTGCCCTGGGCCCCTCTAATTCTGCATAGACATAGTTTAAACTCAAGCTGGAGCCCAGCCAGGTGAGCTGGGGAGGCTAAGGGACCGAAAGAGGCTCTTGGTGGGTCTCCTCAGCATCTTACCTCTATAACCAGGGAGCCAGCAGGGTATTGTGCAGGCCTGAGTCCTGCCTCTGCCTGCTGAGAGGTGATGATGATAAGACCCAACTCAGATGGTGAGGACGAGGTGACCCAGGTGCTCATCAAATGTTGCCACCACTACATTCAGTGCTTACACCTTTGGGGGCTCACTTACCCCGACTTCCACGTGTGCATCTGTGACTGGAAGCAGCTACCCTCTTTGGTGACCTTCCATGTGCCCTGACTGTACTTTGTCACTTCACTTCTCTGTTCATTCATTCAACAAGTGTTTTAAGCAGCTGCTCCATGCCAGGCCCTGTACTAGGCTCAGACTCGCCAAGTTGGATAGGGTGTGCCCCACACGCCCTTCCTCACTCCCTGGTTTTGTGCGTTTATTGCAGGGTTTCTCAATGACGGAGTTTGGGGTGTGAGCGTACTGGGGGAGTTCCGTATTGAATCACCAGTAGGGTGTTTTTAAGCACCACCCCCATCTCACCTTCATTACCCCCTCCACTTACATAGTTACCTTTGTGTGTGTGTGTCTGGAGAATATTTAAGTTTCAAGTATACCATACCTTATTATTAACTATAGTCACCATGACTTTTATTAGGTCTCCAGAACTTACTCATAACTGGAAGTTTGTACCCTCTAGCCGACATCTCCTCATTTCCTCCACCCCACCCCTGCAGGATTTTCTGATTTTTAAAGAGAGCCTGTATTGCCTTTAGAATAAGAAAAAAAATCATAGAGGAGGAAATGCTTTTTTTTTTTTTTTTTGCATATAACAACATATTGTGCATTTCTTTCTATTCTCTTCCTGTGACCTTTGCTGGAAGGGAACTTAGGTGCTGTCTTGGCCAAGTTCAGAAACATGTAGGACATTATGGAGAAGTGTTAAAGCCAGGTTAGTACTTATTTGAAGCTTCTTCCTTGATTGAATTCGATTTGTTGGAAAAGGGATCATGGTTCGGGCTTTGGGCAGGGCATAATGACTACATTCTCCTGCAATCCCATGGGTTCTCAGCAGAGCAGTGCATTTTGGGACCCCTGGCTCCAACATGCAAGTCTAGAAGGTTCCCTGTGGAGCCCTCATAATAGCTGTCCCAAGGTCTCCGTGGGTCAAGAGGACAAAGCCCATCAGCAACTTGAACTAGGCTCCTGCCAAGCCCAGAGCCCCTCACCCTGCTCCCTGCCCATGGGGTTCTTGCATCTTCTCTGCTTTGGAAATTAGTCGTGTGGGCAACCACTCACCCACAATCTCAGTGGCTGGCAAGGTGCTTGGAAAGCAGGGAATATTTGGGGTCAGTGTCCTGGATATTTAAAAATTGCTTTTCTATTTGGGACCAGTGTCCTAGATATAGCCTGGATATAGAACTGCCAGTGGCCCTTTGCCCATTGGAAACCCCCCACCTCCCTCCCCTTACCCTCCTCTAGGCACCCAGCACTTTCCATTTTTCTTTTCTAGGTCCTTACCACATTAAACCTTGTGGTTATTTATAAAGAACCTGTTGCAACTACAAGAGTGTCAATTCCTTCCTTCACTCGTTGAGTCTCACTCTCCTCATAAATAAAATTAGAGACTGATTAGCTGCCTCCTAGCATTGCTGTGAAAACTAAAGTCAGGTCACAGGAGTAAAGTGCCTCACAAGCCACTAGGAACATAGAAGCGGCTCATTTAGTGGGGACCCATTATCCCTCTGCCTTGGGGACAAGAAACATGTTTATTTTTCATTCTTGCAGCACCTTGCCCAGAGCCCGACTCATAGAAGGCCTTCATTTGGTAGGCATTTGCTGAATTTGCCTGAGCAGGCGCTGGGGAGGAACAAGTTAAGGGAGGGTGGAGTGAGGGAACAAACATTTCTTTGGCACCCGGTACTACATGCCAAGAGGCGCTCTCTTAGGTGCACAAAGATGGATTATATGTTCAGCCCGAGAGCAGAGCTGGGAACTCCTAGGAGAGCGGATTTGGGAGGATGGGGCATCTTCAACTGGTGTTTCTGATTTCTGGACGTGCTGGGAGATTAGCGGACAGAGCAGGTGGGGCCTCTGAAGGCTCTTCTGTTTAACCTGAACATCCTCCCTTTCAACTGCAGGGAGGATGACGCTGACCTGTGTCGTGTCATTTCTACCTTTCTACCTGGGGAAAGGTAGAAAGGAGTCACCTGCCCCTCCTCCACCCAGAAACAGGCCTGAGAGCTCTTGCTCTCCCTGCAGCTGCAGGGGAAGCCTCCAGATGCCATCCTGGGAGTGGGGAGGCAGGAGGAGGAATCAATCAACCCAAAACTGTGCAATCGCTAAGCCGATGATCTCAGCCAAGCCCACGGTGAGGGAAGAAGGGCTGCTCTGTGTTTCCTGGAACTCCAGGCATCAAACAGATCCTGTGGAGGTTCTAGCATGTTCTTCCTCTCTGGGCTGGCTGTTCCCATTTCCATCTGGCTTCTCCTTATTGGGCACTGGGCTTGAAGCCCTTTGTCGCATCACCAGCCTCTTTGGATAAGAATGAGCAGATCTGCAGCTAAGACTGGAGAGCTTGTGTCCTTTCTCTCCCATAGAACAGTAAGGGCATTTGGGAGGGGAGAAATGACCAAGTGGAGGCCAGTATGCCTTGAGGAGCTGTTTGGCAGTGCCATCTACCCAGCACATTGATGAAGCTCAAATGCGTCCTCTTCATGCTAATGCCTGTAGCACTGTGGGTGGGGGAGGCAGAGTTGAGAAAACACATGGAAGTCTGTATCCTGGGGAAATTGCCAAACGCCTCTTTTCTCTCCTTGTACCTTGTGCCACCTCCCTCTTCTCTGCGCACTTTGATAGATGACCTATTTTGATGCTGGCAAAGATGTGAGTTCAATTAACTAGAGGAGTCAAAGGATCAAGGGAAATTTGAGAATTAAAAAACAAAAGGTGCCAGTATGTTAATAAGTGTGTGACCCATCACAAAAACATCACTGAATGGAGAGGACCTGGACAGCAGGAGAGCTGGGTGTCCGTTCCTTTAAGCCAAGCGTCCTTGATCCTGCCATTTTTCCTCTGTGTTTGCCAGGCTGGAACCGTCCAGCTAAAAACTGCTTTGATTCTGTTTTCTCTGCTCGGCCATAGAGAGCACCTTTGAGAAGAGGCCCTTACTTTTCTCTTCATCCTGTCACTGGAGAGTTTGTAGGGGCTGGAAACACCAGATTACTCTGTTCCAGAGTGCTGTCTGCAATTGGTCTGAGGGTATCATGAAAGCCTTCCTCTCCATACAAGAAAGGTGCAAGGAAGCAGCCTCAGCACACAGCTGCCCACACAGGGCTGTGCGGTTCTGAGCTGCTGGGCTCTCTCTGATGGTTCCCTTGGTGCCCAGTGGTGCTCATCCATTCCTATGACAGTCGTCTGCTGAGCACCTACTGTGTACCAGGCCAGAGGGCCATGGAGACAGAGGAGGTCCCTGCTTCTCATGTGCAAGGGGCTGTGTTATATGAAGGAAAAAGCGATATCTCAGGAATGACTGCCCCCCAGATGGAGGGTGACCTTAGAAAAGGTCATAATGGGCCGGGCGTGGTGGCTCACATCTGTAATCCCAGCACTTTGGGAGGCCGAGGCAGGCAGATCACCTGAGATCAGGAGTTCAAGACCAGCCTGACCAATATGGTGAAACCCCGTCTCTACTAAAAATGGAAAAATTAGCTAGGCGTGGTGGCATGCGTCTGTAATCCCAGCTACTCAGGAGGCTGAGACAGGAGAATTGCTTGAACCTGGGAAGTGGAGGTTGCAGTGAGCTGAGATTGTGCCACTGCACTCCAGCCTGGGTGACAGAACGAGACTCCGTCTGAAAAAAAAAAAAAAAAAGAAATTTTTCTTTTCGAGAAAGTCATAATGAGGACTGAATACCCACTGCAGGCCTGGCTGGGGCCTGAGGGGCAGGGACAGGGCCTTTGCCCTGAGAAGCTAATATTTCTTTGGGGGTCTACAGGAGACAAATCAGAGTGAGGAGAGAAAAGGGAGAACTGAGGAGAGAGGATAGGGCTTTGTGCAGAAACTCGGGGAGCAAGGGCTGAAACGTCCACCCCAGGCCTCTCCTGCCAGCTGCCAGCCACAGGACAGCCTGGCCCTTAAAGAGAGGGGTTGGGGAGCCAGGGCGGAGGCCAGCCGGCCAGCCACAGCCAGACTCAGCCCTGGAAATAAGGTCTTCTTGGGTGGGGGGAGAGGGAGGGCAGGGGAAGGAGAGAAAGAGGCTGAGGGAGGAGCAGAGCCTTCTCCCTGTTCAAACTCAGGGCCTGTTTTAATCCTTTGGCCCAGAAGAGCAGCCACTGGGAGCCTGTCCGTACCTGCCCGCACCCCTGCGCCTGTCCCAGCCCCGGGGACTCTTCTGTTTGCATTGTTTCCTGCACCCCACACCCAAGCCCACAAATAAAGACGGCCACCCCTGCCCACCACCTCCCGCCCTCCCCGCCAGGGTGACTCAGGCTGGGCGCCTGGTGGCAGCGGCTCTGCTCGCCTGGCCCTGCTCCGCTGCCTACATCTGTTCCTGATTTGCTGAGCCTAGCCAGTAGCCCTTTATGTCTCTGTGACCTAAATGAGGGTGGGGTTTCTTTCCCCTAGACTTAAAAAAATAATCTGCACACCCCCTGTGGTGTGCAGATTATTATAGTGTCTGCTTGCTTAGAGGGGACAAGAAAGAAAGCGAAGTCGGACAAGTCCAGTTTAATTGCGACGTGCAGCTGCCCAAGGTCTCCTCTCCACTCTGGCCAGTTCTGAGCCAAACCAGTTTTCCATGGCCAAACTGGGCCTGGTTTCCACATTGGTTCCTGTCAGGAAGTTCCTCCGCCCAGCATGTGCTGTTAAATAGGATCCCGTTCATTCCTTTTCCTCTTATAAACTTCCCTTTCAGGTCATCCTAAGGGAGAGTGGGGCTGTGGCCTGGAGGGGGAAGGGAACTCCAGGCTGCACTCCCAAAAGGGAAGTGGCTCTGTCGGGAAGGCCAGCAAGGGGCTGGCCAGGGTCAAACATCTGGGGTCCCAGCCCAAGGATGAAGCGGAGAGCGGCTGCCTTCTCCCCAGCAGTGCCGGCTGCCTCCTTCATCACAGGCGGCTCTTAATGCTACCTTTCCTCGGTTCCCCACAGGGAGGTGGGATTGGAGGAGCAATGGGAAAAGCATCCCATCCTAAAAATATCTCCCACCTTCTCCCCTCCTAAAAATATCTCTGCCACAAACTTCCCACAGAGTGTGAAACTCTACCTTCCCTATTTCAGTCTTTGCTTGTTTGCTTGTTGCAAGCGCCCCGGGGAGACACTGTGAAGCTTGGCCTCCTGCCCCTGTGTCTGTCTGTTGAGTCGCAGGAAGCTGGCGGCCCTCCTTCAGGAGTGGGACATGGGAAGGAGGCTGCAGATCGACCTGGGAAAGGTGAGCTGGGGTTGGCGCCTGAGGCCAACCTGGCCAATGGATGCAGCCACCCAGGGAGAAGGGGGAAAGGGTGAGAGATCGGAGGAGTCTCCTGGCCCTGAGCGCCAGGCTTCATATACATTATCTCATTTAACCCTTGACTCCCTTTTGTAGCATGGGTATTTTTATCCCCGTTTGGGGTCTTCTTACCCCATTTTACAGACGACAGACTTGAAATTCAGAGAAGTAGAGTGTCAACTCACTTTCACACAGCTAGAAATCATGGCTGTCGGGTTCCAGTGGTCAAATGCTTTCCTCATATCCCATGCAGCCTTCATTCATTCATTCATTCATGCTTCATTCATACATTCACTTGTGGTAAAATTATACGTAAAGTAAGATTCATCATTTAGGTATATAATTCAGTAACAGTAAGTGTATTCACAGTGTAATGCAAACATCACCACTAGCCATCTCCAGAACTTCTTTAGCATCCCAAATGAAACTCTGTCCCCATTAAACACTAACTCGCCACACCTCCATCCCCTGATTCCAGGTACTTCCAAGAAGCAGAATCAGTGTTTGTCCTTTTATGTCTGGCATATTTCGCTTAACCTGATATCCTCAAAGTTCACGCATGTGGTAGCAGGTGTTAGAATTTCCTTCCTTTTTAAGGCTGAATAATGTTTTGTTTTGTGTATATATCACATTTGGTTTCCCCATTCATCCACTGATGGACTTCGGTTTGTTTCCACCTTTGAGCTAGTGTGAATAATGCTATGAATGTGCTTGTACAAATATCTGTTCGAGTTCTTGCTTCCAATTATTTTTGATTATGTACTCAAAAGTAGAATTGCTGGATCCTATGGTAATTCCATGTCTAATTTTTTGAGGAACCTCCCTAGCGTTTGCCACAGCAGCTGCAGCATTTTATATTCCTACCAGTCAGGCACAAGGGTTCCAATTTCTCTACATCCTCACCAACACTTGTTATTTAGTTTCTTTGACAGTAGCCATCCTAATGGCTATGAGATGGTATTTCATTGTAGTTTTGACTTACCCTTTCCTAATAGTGATGGTGAGCATCTGTTCATGTGCTTACTGGGCCATTTGTATGTCTTCTTTAGAGAAATGTCTATTTGAGTTGTGTTGTTGGGGTTTTTCTGTTGTTGAGTCATTCATGCTTCTTTACTCAAAATTATAAATGACCAGACGTTTCTTAGAGACTCTAATGTCATCATTATGTTCCTAAAGAGGACCCCTGGGTAATCACAATACCCCCTGGATCTTCTAAATAGTACCTGTGGCGGTAGTGCCTTTGTGTAAAGGATGTTTTATTGCATCTGAAGTCTCTGGAAATCCATAGCTGTTGTGAAACTGCATTTATCATAAACATATTAAGTTCCTACTATGTACTAGGCATTGTGCTATAGATGTGAAAAGCAGTATGACATGCTCTCTCCCCTTAAGAACCTTAGACGCTGCTGGGGAAAAGTGGATACAACATAAAGTGATTTCCGAACCTGAAATCTCAACATATTATCTGATGGGAATTTTTACTGCTTGGGCTGGGTTTTGAGATTGGCTGGGACCCCAGGGGCAGTTCAGTGGGGAAAGGGGGAAAACTCAGCCTCAAAAGGAAGCCAAGGAAAGGATCAGAGCAGAAACATGGGAAGGGCAGGATGGGGTGGGCTAGGGAGGCCTCTGGATCTATAGACTCTTCTTGCCCTAAAGAATGGCATGTTTGCACTCCTTCCCCCAACATGTACAGATGCCTGTCACTCTTGGTGACTTTGCTGGGCTTCTAGTCCCTGCAGATGTTTAAGGGAGCAATGAATGGGGAGTGTGGATGCAAACTACGGCCTCCTTGGCACTGTTTCAGATGGGGGATTTCCCTTCTCTAGGAGAACCCTGTGCTGGAAAAGGTGTGGCACCCACACTGAAATGGGGCAAGCTCTTCCCAGCTTTGTGGGGGCCCTTGGAAAACATCCACTGAGATGGAGGCAGTCTTCTTCCTCTTCTTCCTCCTGCTCCTCTTGACCTGGACCAGCAAGATAGCACCAATCCTTTTCTCCAGATGGCAGTATCTGAATGACTTTCACAGCTGAAGGCCAGAGACCAGCCTACAGCTGGGATTCAGGCTTCAAAGCTTTGGTGAGGATGACTCCAGAACCAGGCAGGTAGTCCCCCTCCAGGATGCCATGGCCTAAAGCATTTCACTCCTCAGTCACTAGGCTGTGAACTCATTGTGGCTGACACTTTTATTCGCTGCTATGTGTTTAGCAATGCCCGGCACACAGACCTGCTTACTATGCTTTTGCTGAGTGAGTGAAGGGATAAGTCCCTTTCTGCCTTTTTGATACTCACTTTGGTGCCCCTTGAGGTCACAGAGACCTGGATTTGACTTCTGGCTCTGCCACACAAGAGCACGGATGCTTTGGGTCAGTTACTTCAGCTCTGAGAGGCTCAATTGCCTCACCTGTGAAATGGGTTAGTGATTCCAGGAATCTTACCAGGCCCCATGGACAGCATGTACATAAAGAGCCTAGCCCTTCCCTCTCCTCCCGCTCCAGGGGCCAGGCCTGACTCCCCTGAAGCCATTTCCTTACCATTTTGATCCCTAAGCCTGTTATCAGATCTTCTTTCTGATCTACCACCATGGCTCAAATCTTGCCCTTCATCCTTGCCTTTCTCAAAGACAAAAACACCCTTCCTCTGCTCCACTCAGAGTGTAGCGGGGAGGCTTATACTGCAGTGGTTAAGAGCATATCCCTGGAATTGGAAGGAACAGGGTCTAAGATTATGTAGATATAGCACAAAGCCTTGCTCCTGATAGTAGAGGCTCCGAATACATGGGGAGGGGGTGGGAGAGGATAGAGGGGCCCGACTTGCTTTCTTGGGCCTCTGTTGAACCACAAAGCACAGGTGTCTTGGGCATGTTCTGTGAGCTCTCAAGCTCTCACAGCTTCCTGCCATATGCCCAGCCTGTCCTCTGTCTGCTCACAGTCCAGGGGAAGACACAGAAGAAAGGGAGAAATAACTCAAGGACTACACAAGGCAGCAATCTGGGCTTGACTGTAAATCCGGTCAGGAACAGTGATGAGAGACCGCAGAGGGAAGAGAAGAATCGGGAGATCTTTCAAAGGGAGAGGGTGTCAGCTGGACCCTGGAGAATGCCTAGGAGATGAAACAACAAGCAAGGGAAGGGCATTTTCCGATTGTGGTGAGAATTGAGAAAGGTAACAGGCGTGCCACCCACAGGAACACCTGGACAGGGGTGGGCCCAGTGACTGTGGGACAGTATGCTCATTGATTCAGTCAATCCAGCAACAGAAATGCATGAGCACCTACTCTGTGCCCTGCCCTGGCTGCGCTGGGGCCGGGGATACCAAGGTGGTTGGAGGCCACACATACCCTCCAGGAGCAGAGGCGGCCTACCTGGCAGGTGCCACGTGCCCTTAGTGGAGACTGGGAGGATGCTGAGTTCATCTCACTCCCTGAGCTCCGGAAAGAGCTTGTTCTCTTCTCACATCATGGGGTCCTGCTGGTTTCTCCCACTACGATGTCCTCGGCCCCCTCCTGAGAGGAGACATTATATTCTGGCCCCCAGATTCTGACCATAATAGTGGAGCACATTGTGAAGGTGAAAAGGGCCTTGAGAGGTGGTCCATGCTCAGAGCTGTCAAACTTTAGAGAGCAGCTGAGTAATGTGCTGGGGAGCTTGTTAAGTCTGGAGATGCCAGGAGCCTGCCCAAAGGTTCTGATTCTTAGGTCCTGGATGGGGCCCAGGGAATTTGCATTTCTAGTAAGCTCCAAAGTGACTTGTTTCCTCTGAGAAGCCATGGCCCTCAGCCTGGGTTGCACATGGGGAGGCCCTGGGGAGTTTTAAAACACTGATGCCCAGGCTCCATTTCCAGAAAGTCTAATTCAACTTGTCTGGGGTTGGGGTCTAGATGCTGGTGTTTTGTTTTTTTGTTGTTTTTTTTTTAACAGCTTCTGAGGTGTCTGATGTGTAGCCTGGGTTAAGACTTAGACAAGGCTCAGCCAGGTGCGGTGGCTCACATCTGTAATCCCAGAACTTTGGGAGGCCAAGGCGGGCAGATCACAAGGTCAAGAGATCGAGACCATCCTGGCTAACACGGTGAAACCCCGTTTCTAATAAAAATACCAAAAATTAGCCAGGCGTGGTGGCAGGCACCGAGTAGTCCCAGCTACTCGGGAGGCTGAGGCAAGAGAATGGTGTGAACCCGGGAGGCGGAGCCTGCAGTGAGCCGAGGTTGCACCACTGCACTTCAGCCTGGGCAACAGAGTGAGACTCCATCTCAAAAAAAAAAAAAAAAAAGACTTACAAGGCTCAAGTTTGAGTGCCACTGAATTCGTCTAACCAAGTCGTATTAGTCAGAGTTCTCCAGAGAAGCAGAACCAATAGGATGGAGAGTGGAAAAGGAGAGAGAGAGGGAGAGATTGATTGATTGATTGATGACAGAGTTTCACTCTTATTGCCCAGGCCGGAGTGCAATGGTGCAATCTTGGCTCACTGCAAACTCTGCCTCCCAGGTTCAAGTGATTCTCCTGACTTAGCTTCCCGAGTAGCTGGGATTACAGGCATGCGCCACCATGCCCAGCTAATTTTGTATTTTTAGTAGAGACGGGGTTTCTCCATGTTGGTCAGGCTGGTCTCGAACTCCCAACCTCAGGTGATCTGCCCGCCTCGGCCTCCCAAATTGCTGAGATTGCAGGCATGAGCCACCATGCCCAACTGAGAGAGAGATTTATTTTACAGAATTGGCTCGTGCAATTGTAAGGGCTGGCAAGTCCAAATCTCCAGGCTAGCAGACTGGAGACCCACGGGAGAGTTGGTGTTGCAGCTTGACTCTGGGGACAGAGTTACCTCTTCCTCTGGGGACCTCAGTCATTTTCTCTTAAGGCCTTCAGCTGATTGGATGAGGCCCACTTACATTCTAAAAGGTCATCTGCTTTACTGAAAGTCTACTGATTTAAATGTTAATCTCCTCTAAAAGTAATTTACAACTCCCTCTATTTCTGCTTGACCCAGTATGTGGATACCATGGCCTAGCCAAGTTGACATGTAAGATTAACCATTGTACACCTGATTTTACAAATAAGGGAAGTAGAGAAGTGGTCAACAACTCATCCAGAGTTTCATAGCTGGTTCCTCCGTTGCTGTTTTATTTATCATGGACTCATAGATTATAAAACTATGAAGGGATCTTCAAGGTAAAATCCAGCTCCTTCACTTACAGAGGAAGGCTATGACTCCAGGAGGCTAACCACCCTTTCCAAGTCATTCATTTTGGCAGGGAATAGAGCTATAGAGCTATAGAGCTAGGTTTTGTTTTGTTTTGTTTTGTTTTTTTGGAGATGGAGACTTGCTCTGTCACCCAGGCTAGAGTGCAGTGGCACAATCTTGGCTCACTGCAACCTCCACCTCCTGGGCTCAAGCAATTCTCCTGCCTCAGTCTCCTGAATAGCTGGGACTACAGGCACACACCACCACGCCCGGCTAATTTTTGTATTTTTAGTAGAGACAGGGTTTGACCATGTTGCCCAGGCTGGTCCCAAACTCCTGAACTCAGGCAATCCGCCCGCCTTGGCCTCCCAAAGTGCTAGGATTACAGGCGTGAGCCACCACACCCGGCAGAGCTAGGTCTTAAACCCAAGACTCCTAACGTCTAGTGGCTGCTCCTTCTCCTCCACTCCAAATGGCAACACAGTGAGAGCTTGAAGAGAAGTGCCTTTTTCTGCACTTGTGAACATGCCCAGCATTTCTCAGGGCCTGTAGACTTGCATTTGAAGATCTCAGGAACAGGGGAGGGGGAAGCTATAAATTGACTCAGCCTCTAAGTAGAGGGGAGAGTTGGGAGGCCTCCCAGTGGCTGCCAACTCCCTGGATTTATATCCAGGTCCCGTTGTTATCTATAATTTTGTGGCTGCTTCATCTATGCTTGCATTTGCACACTTAATGCCATAATCTACAGATATGGTCTCTGCACACTCGCCTCTCACTCAGCACTAAACATGGCTTGTGAAATAGATTTTGCTTTAAATCAAAGCCCAGTTATAATAGTTGATCTTGTTAGAAACACATCACCCCCACCTCCGCCCCCCCAGGGCTTGGCAGCACCCACATCCGTGGGGTGTACAGATCCTCTGAAATATGCATGTGATGTTAGCCAGAGATTGTGTTCCAAAGAGTCTGGCTGAGGCAGGCTGTGGGCAGATAGGGGCTCTAGAGACAGAGCCGCAAACCAAGGCTGGTGGAGCCAGGGTGGGCACTAGCCCAGTCCCCAGGGATGCCAGCAAGGATTATGGGGCCTCAGGAGATGAACAGCATGGAAGCCGAAGGTTAGGAGATGATGCCTGGCTGGCAGATGAAGGAGAGAGCAGATACCACATGCAGAGACAGAAGACCTCCAAATGGGTGGGCTTCCTCACACAAGAAGCTTCCATGCATTGCCTACTAGGGCTGGATCCAGAACTTATTGGGAAGGAGGAGGAGGGGTGAGCAGAGAGGGCAGAGCTGGCAAGTCCTGACCCTGAGCTAATTCCAGGGATGGGGGTGTATTGGAAGATGAGCTGCCCCACTCTGCCCCCTCATTTCTGTTCAGAGAAAGCAGGCATCCTCTGATAAGACCACTTCTCCAACGGCCCTAGAGGGAAACTGTATGGTACAGTAGAGGAGGCCCTGGGATGCCGCAGCTACCTGTGTGACCTCATGGAGGCTGCTTCACACCAGAGCCAGGGCGAGAGGTCAGGCCTCCAGGCTTGTATCCCAGAGGGCTCTGTCCTCTGGTCCACAGCTTCCCAACCAGTGGCTTTGCCCCTTCATGCCTCTTGTCAGCTGAACAGCCCAGCAACCTCCTGAGAGCCCTCCAATTCCTTTGTGCCATAAAAATAGTGTTTCTCTGCAAATTCCATGACTGAAAAAGTTTGGAAAGCATGGCTCTACCCCCAGTGTTACCTGAAGGTGTGCTTGTCACACCAGTTCTGCAGGATATTAAAAGGCGTTAGGCAAAGCAGAAAGATTAAACAAGTTTGGGAAATGCAGAGTTAAACAAAGTTAAACAGGTTTCTATACTATGGGCTTTCTCAGGCGTGTGTGTTTGTGTGTGTGTGTGTGTGTGAGAGAGAGAGAGAGATTCATTGCGAATCTCCAGCAAGGCTCTGGTATTCAGGTATGCCCAACATTTATGTCACTCAAAGTTCATAGTTGCAAATAAGCAACACAAACTGCTGCTGCTAACTGTCACTCACTTAAGATTCAAGGTCCTGGCAGCGGGGTCCAGCCAGCTGGGCCTAGCGCTGTGTGCGCATGCGCTCGCTGGACAGGGAGGGGGCGGGGGGCACTGGGAGTGGAAGGAGGCCCCTCTTCCTCAGTGGGAGGCAGAGTCCTGCTTCCTACCATCAAAACTCTCCCCACAGGGCCTCTCCCAACCAAAAGGACATGTTAGATGTTTGGCGGTTAAAGTCTGTGACTGCAGAGTCCTTTCCTTGAGTGGAGTGGTGGGAGCTTAGGAGTACCCTGAAGGAGGGAGGTGGTGTTTCGAGAAGCCCTCTGTGGGCTTTGTTGCTTTGTTCCAGGTCTTCTCCTGCCATTTTCCTCTAGAGCAGAACTTCTAGGGTCCACTTCAGCCTGCATCCTACTCCTCCCGGGGGGCCCTGCCTTGGGACCACCTTCTTCTCCCTGTTCCTATTGCCATTTTTCTTTTTTTATTTTTTGAGATAGTCTCACTCTGTCACCCAGGCTAGAGTGCAGTGGTGTGAAGACGGCTCACTGCAGCCTCAACTTCCCAGGCTCAAGTGAGCCTCCCACTTCAGCCTCCTAAGTAGCTGGGACTGCAGGTGCATGCCACCATGCCCAGCTAATTTTTGTATATTTTGTAGAAATGGGGTTTTGCCATATTGCCCAGGCTGGTTTTGAACTCCTAAACTCAAGTAATCCACCCGCCTCGGCCTCCCAAAGTGCTGGGATTATAGGCATGAGCCACCACACCTGGCCTATTGCCATTCTTCTTGCCTCAACTCACAGGCACAGATGGTGGGCCCAAGGTCCATGGGACAGGTACCCTGTATCTTCCAAGAAGACGAGTCATTGACATGATAAGCTCACAAGTACTACTATAGGACTAGCCCAGAAATCCTGAAATAACTTGGATACAGGATAAAAAAGGCCTTAGTGGTTTCCACCAGCAGAGCTTCTTGTTAAGACCTCCCCTAGTGGGAATTCCCAGTGGTTGGAATGGCAAGGTGGATGGCATCACACTCTGCTGGTGGAAGAGATATACTTTGGAATGGGCAGAGCTTAGTGGGGTGCCCTCCAGTGACCCCATCCAGCAGCTGCATATGCATGGAGCCAACCCTGCTTCTGTTTCCCAGTAGACTGGGGCCACCTTCTCATTCTTCATGGCCATATTGCTCAAATTTCCAATATAATTATACAACTTTGTGTTGACATTTACTTGGAAAGACATGCTTAGGAGGAGGACTGGATTGCCAGAGATCAATATCACTATTGTCACTGTCCTTATTAATAAGTATTTAATTATCAATTATAAATTATATATAATTATAAATTAAATATAAATGCAAAGATATCATGGAAGTTTTGGGTTGGATACAAAAAAGGCATTTGGCATGATTTCTACCATGGACGCTTTTACATTCCAGTCCTATAAGCTTTAGTTTTCTCAACATCTGCAAAATTAGGATTAACCACATAATCCCCATAGCCCCATACACCTCTCAAGACATCTCTGCCCAGTGAGCATCTGTTGAAAACCTAGACCACTTCTTGTTGAGAAAGCTGGCCATGGCAATTGGCCATTCTTTTATTTCTATAACACATACTGTCACCTCTCCTCCTTTCTCTCCTTTTTCCACACCTTCCTTTTCCCTGCTTCCCTTTCCTCCCTTTTCTCCCTGTTTAAATCTCATTAACTTCCCCTCCTGCCTTTCTTCCCAGTTCTGTTATGTTCTGTCACCCTACTGTCTGCTCCTCTTTGCCTTGGATCCCTCTGGGAGCCCCAGGGCAGAGGGCTGCCCCCTCACAGAAGTATTAAGGTGCCCAGGTTAAGCAATCCCTGGTGACAGCAGGAACTCTTCCTCTGGCATTGAATGGGACAGGACAGGACCTCAAGGGTGTAAGCTGGGGGGGAAAAGCCCCTGCGCTGTTTGTCTAGTGGAGCTGATGTCACATGATCCTTAAGGGCAGCGGAGATGGGTGGTGCATACAAGGAGGCGGAGATGAACGAGGGTGACCAACCATCCCAACTTGCCTGAGACAGAGGGGGTTTCTGGAATGCAGGACTTCCAATGCTTCAACCAGGAAAGTCCTGGGAAAACCAAGACATGTTGGTCTCACCTTTTGGCTTGGGTGGTGGGAAGGAGGGAGGGTAATCTCAGGGATGAGAATGGTGTCTCTGTAATCCTTTCTGGTTGCTGGCTGGCAGAGTCACAGACTTTCTCCATCCCACTGATGCCAGGGCCTCCATCCTGAACAGAGAGCTGAGCAGGTGAAGGCAAAATGCGGGTTCCAGCGCAGTCACTGTGGCTCCCTGTGCCAGGACAAGCATCTTGGCCATGCCTAAGAGCTCAAGCTGAGCTTTCTGCCACAACCAGGTAGACACTTTGACATCTCTGTGCCTCAGCATCCTCAACCATAAAAGGCCCTGTCCAGCCCTGACATCTTAAGGCCTTCATCAGATATTTGCGGACAGCATTCCTAGCTCTGCCACCCATGAGTTATCCCAGTTTTTAGCCTTTGGATGCTCTCAGATGTTCTAGAATGGAACAGGCCACTGACTTACTGCAGTCCTGAGATATGTGACTTGGCCACTCCTGGTCTCAGTCTCCTTCTAGGAAAATGAGGGTAAAAATAATCATCTCATAGGGTTAGCGTAAGGATCAAATGAGGTAATTTGTGTAAAAGAGCCCAGCTCAATACCTGGCACACAGTAGGTGCTCAAGAGAAGATGCATGAAATTAAAGCAGCTCTAGATATGTCTTGACACGCTTAGTGTTCAGGGGTTCTGACTGTGACAGGATCTTGTGTTGAGCACAGAAGTGATAGAGTGCGCCAACAGCATGAAAATCAAGCGTGACTCATGCTTCCAGCTAATCCAGGTCCTCCCTGGGGAGAGGGAGAGGGAAGTGCTCTCCTCTCCCCTTCTGGGGATCAAGCCCCTTAAAGGTGTTCCCCTCACCTATCACATGATGAACCCTCAGGAACACAATGGCATGTTTCACAATGGCTGTCTTTGTTATGTTTTGAAGTTATAGCAATATTGAAGCAATATTGGGCCAAAGGTTTTCAGAGGAAATCCTTTTTATACTGATTTATAAATTGTTTAATGAGAAGAAATAAGATTCTCTCATGTTTTCCTTGGGAGATTTAGCTCCTGTAAATTTTCTGGTTTAGCACTTTGTCCTTCTTGCCACACGTGAGAACAGAGGTACACTGTGTGCCCAGGCCTGCAGAGCACACATCGGCACTTGCTGTTTACTGAGGACTTTGCCATTCTTTATTACTGATGCTCCCAGGTCATTTCCTGCTTTCGACAGTAGAAGTGATACTGACTATTTCAAAGTAAATAGGCCCATCTGTGCTCAGCAAGTCACTCAACAAACATTATACCAAATGCCTAGTGATGTGAACCTCCAGGCTCCACTCTGTGAAAGGTACAGAGAAGCAACTCATTCTCATTCTCAAGGAACTTACATTCCCGTCCAGTGGGCTCCATGCTTTTGAAAATAAGCATCCTTTTTGGAGCTGAAAATATGTCATGGGACCCTGCTTGGCTGTACCCCAACCCTGGGTGATTCCGTAATGATTTTACCTACATTTGTGTTGAATCGATTCCAATCCCGTCTGCATTTGAAAGCTGGCCATACATATATGTGCGTGAAACTCATTGTTGAGTATGCTGATGGAATTGGGGGTGCTTGTGGGCCTGAAGGCCTCCTGCTCTGTCCTCAACTGCCTGAGGGGCTCAGTGAGTGTTCAGGACTAGTGGAGGGAAAAGAGGGACTCAAGGGTAAAGGAGTGAGAGCATCCCTTACA
Source organism: Homo sapiens (assembly GCF_000001405.40). Taxonomy (NCBI): domain Eukaryota; kingdom Metazoa; phylum Chordata; class Mammalia; order Primates; family Hominidae; genus Homo; species Homo sapiens. The sequence continues at coordinate 48,061,400 of NC_000018.10, read as the reverse complement.
AAGGAAAGACGAGGCCAAGCACTCCACGTGGGACTATACCAGGTGGGTGGCCCCTCAGTGCACAGACCACAATGAGTCTTGGGGTGAAGCTGTAAAGGAAGCAATATTTTCCTGGGGAATGTGTAAATGATCCAGCCTTTGTTTTATCCTACTCTTGTCTGTTTCAGGAAAGCTTCCTCATGACCCTTTTCTCTGTTGAACTTTGCATCTGTGTACACATTTTTCCTTTCAGTTTTCATGATGAAGGTCCATTCGTCTAAAGCTCTATAAATGATCTGTAAATATTTCCAAGCCCTCACCTCCTGCCTTGCTCACTGCGTGGTAAACCCCTTGCTCTCTAGTGGCCAGAACAGGGTCATACCCCTGTCCCTACCACTGTCCAATCCCACCCCAGCCCCAGCACTCCATGGCGGCTTGGTCACCACTTTTCAAGCAGCTGGGGTTGGATGCGACTGGGTTTCTCTCCATTCCTGGCAGCCCCTTTCACTCTACGGGCTATGGGTGTACCTGATCCCCCGACACTCACCCTGCAGCACCCGCTGTGGTCTGCTGACCCCATCCCCAGCACCTCACACCCCAGAGCTATTTCTCCTGCTCTCCCCAGGCCCATCACAATAGCACCTATTTTCCACTTACATCTCCATGTGGTGAGGACTAGGAGAGAGGGAAGGATGGGAACATGAAGGACAGGCACCTAATTCAGGAAGGTTTCCTGGAGGAGGTGACACCTGGGCCAAGTCTTAAAGGATGAGCAAGAGTTCACCCAATGAAGGTGGGGTAGGGTGAGGAGGTTGGGAGGGGACGGCATTTTAGCTGAGGAGGCGGAATGGGCAAGGCCAGGCTGGTGGGAGTTGGGCACACTGGTGACATCTTCCAGGTATTGGAAGGTGGAGGGAACCAGCAGGAGGCAGGCAGGAGGAGCAGAGGGGGTGTGCCATGGGCTCCCACAGTGAAAGCTGATTCACTGAGTCAGGAGCAAGGAAGAGGGAGACCTTAGTCTCAGCCAAGGTTTGGGAGCTAGATGGCTACTGTGGAGAGAGGGACTCGGTTGGCGGAAGTGAAGGGTGGCCATCCCCATCCCCGCTCCCTGCATGCCCTGCCTTTCCTTTCTTCCAGAGAACTGTAGCATATTTGTTTATTCCTTCCCTCCTCCTTCTCCCCTCTGCTTCCCCTGCTGGCACAAACTCCGCAGAAAAGCTAAAAATTCCTCTCATTTGACCCAAATCAGAGGGTGGATGAGCTGGGCTTTATTACACACTGGTTAAAATGGGTCGTGTGGGAGAGGATGGGCTACATTATAATTGTATCTTTGGTCACCTCCACCCACCCGGCCGAAAAAAAATGGTAGAGCTGCCTCTATTTAGACACCGTTTTACAAAGGGGCTCTCCTCCTCCCTTCAACTGGTGTTTATTAGTCTTGAGAAATAAGCCTGCCTGCCTGGAAAAGAGTGGGAGGAGGAAGAAGCCGGGGAAGGGTCGCACCCTCCCACCAGCTGCCTGTAGGGAAGCTGCCTGGGCGGGTGGGGGGATGGACCTCTGGGGACTGGGGACCAGGAGGCAGCTGGGGAGAGACTGGGGCAGGGGCTGTTTTCAAAGGAGCAGCAACAGCTCCCTCCACAGTATTTTTTTTTATGATTCTTTAGCTCCTAAATTGTTCTGTGGGATTAAGTGTACCATGTATTTGGAATTAAGTGTCAGGAAAGCTGAAAGGGAGGCTGTCGCTCTGGCTTTGAAAGAAATATCTTTGAAAAGGGTGTGGGGCCGGTAAATAAATCTCTAGTAGCAGTCAGTGTAGTAAGAAGTGACAGCCCTCTCCAGGCCCTCCTGCCCCTCCCTCCAGGAGACCACTGGCAATGGGTTGTGAGTCAGGCACACCATGGGACATTTGAGAATGCTGGCATTTGAATGCTCCAGTGTGCCAGTGAGTTGTAGGTCTCAGGTGGGGAGGTTGCAGGCATTCTGTGTGTGAGTTGTCTGCATACTTAGGAGGGTACCAGCCAAACCAGAAGCATGTGTGTGTGCTGGAGCCTTTTAGTTAACCCCCGCCTTCTGTTTGCAAATAGGAAGCTGGCAAATCACTGTGTATTCTCCTGCTGTTCCCAACCCCCAGTAACCATGATGGGAGATATAGGGGAATTATAAACCACAGATCTTTACTATTTTGTTGGAGATACAAGATGACACACACAAAACCCAGGCAAAAAAAAATAAATGGACAAAGGCCAAAGAGTACATCCTGCTTCCCAAAGGAGTTGAGTTAGTTAATGTACATTAGTTAGCTGTTTCTGCATAACAAAATGCCCCAAAACCATAGCAGCTTAAAACAATAAACATCTCTCATCCACATGATTTTATACTCAGGAATCCAGGAGCAGCTTAGCTGGAACGTTCTGGCTCAGGGATTCCTATGTGGTTTCAGTCCTGAAGGTGACTGGGACTGGAGGTGGGGACAGGAGGACCTACTTCCAAGCTGGCTCACTCACATCACTGGCAAGTTGTGCTGGCCGTTGATGGGAGGCCTCAGTCCCTCTTCATACCTCTCCTTGGGCTGCTGAACTATCTCTCAAGATGACAATGGTTTCCCCCACAGTAAGAGTTCCTGGAGAAATCAAGGTGAATGTGGCAATATCTCTTATAGCCTCGCCATGGCAGGCACACACCATCGCCTTCCTGTAGTCTGTAGGCACATATACCAGCCCTGATACAATGCAGGAGGGGACTGCACGGGGCATGAATACCACGAGGTGAGGATCCTTGGGAGCCATTCCGGAGGCTGGCTGCCACTCTCTGAAGTCACATAGCTTAGAGGAGAAGGTGTCAGGGAAGAAGTGAAACTGACTCACAAGGGGTCTTAAAGACCCTGGGATGACCAGAGAGGTGGGACTAGAGGTGTGAGCAGCTCAAAGGAACACGCACCAATGCAGAAAAGAGAATGGACTGTTCAGAGGCAGTTTAGAGACCAGCTTTAAAAAGACCCCAGGTCAGAGAGAACTGGGAAATTATATCCAGAACAGACTGTGGGGGACCACAAAAGGCAGACTGAGATGGCAGGGTCCCACAAAGGGCATCATCAAAAGTCCTAGAGTAGGGAAATGACAGCGTCCAAGTGGGGAAGCTCAGCCCCTTACTTGCTGGGCCCCTTGAGTGGGTCCAACCCTTTAGAGCTCATTGGCCATATGTTTAAAACAAGAATAACAAATAACAAATGAGTTACTATATGTGAGATAAGTGGTTAGCTGAAAGCAGTAAGATTTTCATTATTGTGATTATCATCATTTGCAGCCATACTCTTGAAGCTCAGATGGTGCTGACACAACATCACGGCTCTTCCTAGCACCTGTGTCCTTGGTGCTATATAGTAAATGTTGAACTAACAGATAACTGGAGTCATGTATTCTTCCATCACTGGAGAACCCAGCTGTGATGCACAGCTTGCCTATGTGGCCACGGGGACATTACCGTGCAGTAGACAGGTGCTGGGCAGAACATGGGCCACCTCTAATGTCCTGCAGTTGAATCCTACAGCACCTGATGGCAGCCAGAGCCTGTTTTCATCCATTTCTCCCTTGAGCCTCACAGCCACCCATGAGATAGACAGCCAGTGTCATTAATTCCATTTTACAGACAGAAAAACTGAGATGGGTAGCTGAAGGCCCCAGAACAAATCAGTAGGCATCAGACATTACAAAAAATGTCAAAGACAATTTAGAAGTCTGTAAAAGAAGGACGAAAATATAGATCATTCAGCATTTTTAATAATAATGGCTTTAAGGTTCAAATACTATCAAAGAGTATATGTAGGAAAATAAATCTGCCTTCTACCCCTCACTGGCAGCCTTCCAACCTCTCCAGTAGGAAGGCTCTAACAGTTTAATTCATGCATCTACAAACCAGTATGTACACATGGTCATCTTTTTCTTTCTAAACCTGGTAACCATGCAGCATAGTGATAAATCTTAGACATAGTTCTCTATGTATCAATATACAGATATGCCTCATTCTTTTTAATGGCTGCATAGTACTCCATGATGTATCTAGCAAGCCTCTATTGATGGATATACTGTTTACTTCCAATTGTTGGCTATAGAATCAATGCCACAGAGATAATCCTATATGTAAGTTGAACATATGGCAGTAGTGAAATTGCAAGATATATATCTATAAGGGTAATTGCTGAGTTATCAGAATTTTTTTTATTTTTGGCCCATCTGGTAGATGAAACTTGAAATCTAATTTTTATGTCTTTAATGCTGAATGATGGTAAGCATTTTTCATACACTTAAAAGCTATTTATATTTATTTTTCTATGATCTTCCTGTTCATGGGTTGGTTTTTTTTTTTTTTTTTTTTGACAATTTTTCTAATAAACTATAGGTCTTTTCCTGATTTGGTGACACATGGTCTCTCTCTATATAAAGGAAATTAGCCCTTCATCATATGTTTCAAATATGTTCTTCAGTTTGTTTGTGTCTTGATTTTGTTATGGAATTTTGGATGTACATAAATGTTTAAATCATTATTTAGTCAAATTTAACAAATCTTTTATGACTTCTGGGTTTTCTATCTTAGCAAAATATTTTTCCTTTGCAATTATAAAGTAGTTCTTCAATATTTTATTTACTTTTTTTAACTTTTAAAGCTTTGCTACATGTATCATTTGTTTTGGTGTAAGGAGTGAGGAAGGGATACAAGTTTTATTTTGTTTTGTTTTGTCTCCTACATGGTTGCCTAGTTGTTCTAATCTCATTAATTGAAAAATCCATTTTAAAATACAAATTGAAATTCCACCTTTATTACATGCTAAATTCATACCTACATGAATTTATGTGAGTCTGTTTATGGACTGCCCGTGACTTTATATTGATCTGTCTTCCTGTTCATGATCCAGTACCAAATATTTTATTTTTATGGCTTTCTAATGTGTCTTCATATCTGGTAGGGCTGGTCCCCCTACTTCTGTTACTCATCTGTTTCAAAAATTTCTTGGCTATTCCTAAATGCTTATTTTTCTATATGAACTTCAGAATCAGCTTATCTAATTTCAGTAGAAATTCCGATATTTTTATTGGGATTGTATTGCACTTATTAAATTATTTAGGGGAAATTGGCATCTTTATGGTATTGTGGCTCCCTGTCCAAATACGAGTTGTATCTTTCCATTGACTTAAGTCTTAAGGAGTGCTTCAGTCATGTTTAAAACAGTCTCTGTATGGATCTTACACATTTCTTAATAACTTATTCCTAGGTGTTGTTTCTATTTTTGTTGCCAAGTCAGTGGGGTCCCTAATATACTTCTGAACTTGTCTGTTATTTGTATAGGAAAGTATCCAATCATATCATCCACAAATAATGACTTTTTTGCCAACTCTTCTTTTTACTTTTTAACCTTGTATTTCTTATTCAACATTTCTGATCTTGAGACTTCAAATGGGAAGCCGACCTTCTAGGTGTGAGGAAATTCCTGAGCCCGTCCTAGCTCAGCAGCGGATCTGCCAGGTTTCCTCAGTCCAGGGTGGAGATGGGGAGATTCTCCTGCCTTGAGAATATTTTCACTGTAAATTTATGATGGTCTGGAAACCAAAAATCGCAGAGCAAGACGACGAGCGGTGGTAGCTGCAGTGGGGTCGAGTTGGGGTGGAGGGAAAGGGTAGCTACTCTATAAGGTGCTGAATCAGGTGAACTATTCTTCCTTTAGGTCGGGAAAGTCTAGTCCTTGGTGCTGGGCTCCTGTGGCTGGGAGCAAATATCAGGAGAGTGAAGGCAGGCTCCTGTCTCCTGAGAGTCTCACAAAGCACAAAAGGGAGGGCTGGATTCCCAGGCTGCATTCAGAAGCGGGCACTTGTGATGCATTGTTGCACAGCTTTCCACGATGCCCTCCCTCCCCAGACAGCCGTTCAGCCCAGACACCTAGCTCTGACTTGCTGGCTTCCATATTCCTGATTGTAGCACCCAGCCCGTACTTGGTTCTTTTTTTTTTTTTTTTTTTTTTTGAGACTTGAGTCTTACTCTGTCACCCATGCTGGAGTGCAGTGGCGCAATCTCAGCTCACTGCAACCTCTGCCTCCTGGGTTCCAGCGATTCTCCTGCCTCAGCCTTCCGAGTAGCTGGGATTATATGCACCTGCCACCATGCCCAGCTAATTTTTGTATTTTTAGTAGAGATGGGGTTTCACCATGATGGCCAGGCTGGTCTTGAACTCCTGACTTTAAATGATCCTCCCGCCTCAGCCTCCCAAAGTACTGGGATTACTTTGGGAGGTGAGCCACCATGCCCAGCCCCACATTAGGTTCTTTATTGGTTCCTACTTCTTTGAGATATTTTGCTGTGGGTTACTCTTACCTGCCCAGTGAAGCCAGAAGCCCCTCTAAAGCAGGTATTTTCTATAGACTTACACAGCATGAAGCCCAGTCAAGCATATGGTGAGTGATCAATAACATGTGGTAATTGACTGATATTCCACGAGTCAACCAAAGGGGACAAATGAGTTTCCAACTCACATCCTAATTGCCCTCTCTTTGGAAAGGGAACCAAACAGCCATCAGCTTCTGCAGTGGGCAAGGGAGGAAATGATAGCAGAGGAGAGACTGGGCTCAGGTATAAATAGGAAAAGGAAACGCTTGGGCTTTCTCAGTGCAATAAAAGTTCTATATAATAATATTATAAGGAACTGTGCAATTAAGCCTGGAAATTGCAAGCTTCCAGTTTGTTCTTTCCCAGCCAAATGCCAGGCGGTTCTCGTGGTGGACGGCGTTTGCTTAGAAGAAAAGTACAAGTTCTGAGGCAAATCTGAGGTTTGGCTTCCTTTGAAAAACACAGGCAGGGCCGGGATCTTTGAGGCCATCTGGCTGGACCTCGTCTCTAAATTGAGGTAGACAACAGCAGGGAGGCAGGAGTGTTTGTCGAGGGCTGAGGCATAACCAGGACATCTTACACCTGTGATGAGTCCTCGGCATGTGACTCTGTCCTCTTTCCTCCCACAGCTGCCACCCCCCACGGCAGCTCCTCCCCGGCCAGATCCCACATGGAGGTCTGGGGTAGAGAAGGGCAGGGGAGTGGCCGTGAATAATGCAGAGCGGCTTCCTGGGTCAGGAGATACAATCTCCTAACTGGTTCCGGCCGCCCTTCCCTCCCTGCTCCAGGACTGCTTCTTGCTGACACCTTCCTCAAATACAGCGCCAAGAGATTCTTCTCCTATCCAGAACCTTCCCTGATTTCCTTCGCGGAAGGATTCCAATGCTCATGAGGCCCCTGCCTCACCGTCCCACCCACGCCCAAGACTCCCACATGGTGGGCTGCAGTGTTCCCTGCTCTGCTTCCCAGACTAGCCTGTCTCTAAATTCGTTGAACTTAAATCTTTGAACCCAGCACCGCAAACTCCCTGGCATTCCTGTCTGCATGTGCCATCCTCACTCAGCCTCTGCGCATGCCTTCGCACAAGCTAATCCCTTTGCCAAAATGTTGTCCTTCCCCTGCCCCACATCCCTGGCTGCTTGGGGGCCTCACCTCCTTGGAGGAGTCCCCTTCCTGGGCCCAGCAGAGTCCCCGTCCTCTGACCCCAGGCACCCCATCTGCCTCCATGAACCAGCACTTAGCACTCATTTTAGGTCTTGTCTTTACTGTCTCTCCCACTCTTCTGTGGCTTCTTAAGACCAGGAGCTCCATCTCTTTCATCCATGTTTCTCCAGCACTTAGCTAAATGGGTAAATACTGCAGTAGCTGAGAGAGACAGTTGCAGACTGCTTAGGAAACCCGGAACCTGACTGCTTAGGTTCAAGCCTCGGCTCTACCTCAGTTTCCCTACTTGAAAAATGGGGTGATAATGATGACAGTAGCCACCTCATGGGGTTTTTGAGAGGATGAAATGAGAGAAATATAAATGCAAATATAAATATAAATATAAATGTAAAATATTTAGGACAGCGACTGGTACCTAATGGGCACCCAGAGTACATCTCAGTGACCAGTTTGATTCAGTCAAAGGTGAAGGAATCTCAGAATTGGTCCTTCCATCACCTGTTTACTGTGTCTCTGTGCAGCATACCTGAAGTCACCATTATGGGAGAATGAGTTGTGTTCCTGTCCATTCCCCAACCCGCGCATGCAAGGCCTGTGGGGTGTCTGTAATGAATCTGTGCACATTCTGCAGAAGCGGCCGCTCCCAACTCCATGCCCATTCTTGGCCACTGTAGGGGCGATGGGAAGACAGACATGGAAGCTGCCTCCTCACTTTTCCTCTGGGGCAGGCGGAAGGGACGCATCAAGCACTTTTACCAACCTGTTGAGTCGTCATCACTCTACTCACTGTGGTCAAATAATAACCCCACCTTGACCTTGTAGAACACTCGTCATCTGAAAGTCCAACGTGTGTTCACATGTATTTTCCTGTGTAACTTGGCAGGGTCCCAGAGAGAACTAAAGTGAAGGGGGTGGGAGGAGAAAGAGGGCAAAGTCAAGGTCACAGGAAACCCAAAGTGAGATGCAGCAGCCCCAAGACATCTGAAGTCGAGCTGTGCATGACCTCAGAATCCAAGGATCTATCCTGGAACCAAAATATTGAAATGGATTCATGTGTGGGCAGCAAGGGACATTCACAACCAGCTAGTCTTATATAAAAGAAGAAACTGAAGCTCAAACAGGGACCCGGCCGCTTCAAGGTCACATGAAGCAGTTGCAGAGCAGAGCTAGGATTTTAACTATAATTCCTCCCCCAGAGGGTTTTGGCCTGCTGTCTGCTGACTGCACACCTGGGTACTTCCCAGCCTTTGCTCCTCATGCTCCCGGCCTTTCTCTGCTCCAACTATGGCCCCCTCACCTGGCCTCTGCTTTCCTTTCTGCCTGGTGTAAAGTCCCCAGGGCCAGCAGCAATGGACTCAGCTTCCAGAGCCCTACCCACAGCACTGGGAGCCCTTGGCACGTGGGTAGAAGAGGCATGCAGACAGCACACTCAGAGGCTAGCCAGCTGTGGAGCACCTTAATGCCTTCTAGAACAGATGCCAAAATATCCCCAGGAAGGGTCAAAATATGGTACCACTTAGCCCAGTTATCCACACACAACCTCTTCAATAACTAGCAAAATCTAAACCATTTCCACTCTACTAGAGGAGATGGCCCCTTTGGGCAGAAATGGCTACAAAGAATAGTGCTCTCATGGGTTGATGCTTGTCCCACCCTTCCACCACAGCCCCACCCTCCAGGGAGCCATCCAACACCAGAAGGGGACATCTCCTGTGAAGGCAGCCTGAGGCCATTGGGAGTATGAAACTCAGTAACGCGTGGCCTAGTGCTGTTTATGGGAGACGAGTGATTTATTTTATTATCTAAATTTTCAGTGGTTTAATAAGGTTTAATAAGCCTCCCAAGAAGTTTTCTGGCTCAGGAAATCGCCTGTAATAAACACAAGTAGTAAATCCTTTATTTTGAACATGAAAGAGGTGTGCAACTTTTCTTAAAAGAAAACAAGTCTCCCCCCACTGCCCCCTAGAAAATAAAGGATGAAAAAATAATTAAAGAACAACAGCTTGAAGGGGCACCATTTGATTTGCCTGCCGCAGACTTCCATGGCCAACCCGGCCAGGGTGCCAGCCATCTGCGGTGGCACTCCTCTCCATTGGTGTGTCCCGCCAGCTCTTGACCCTGCAGTTGCACCCTAGCAAACTGAAACGAGCCCTCACTTTGTGACTGAGGCCAGGCAGCCCCGTAGGGAACCCACTTTTTCTGTCTTTCTTGCAAGTCCCCTGCATGGTGCATTAGCAAAAGCAATGGCCTCAGGGAAGATGCGAGCGCCCCCACTCTCATCCCATCACTTTGTGACCTTAGCCTCACCTTCACTTTAGTTTCCTCATCTGTCAAATAGGCATAATTCCGCCTGGCCTGCCACCAAAGAGGTCAAAGTGCTTTGAAAGGTAAAAGGCTCCAAGCCACCCCTTGGATGAGGGGATGAGGGCAGTGGTCCTGGCACATCCACTTCAGATTGCCCCAGAGGCCTCAGGCAGCCTCTACATAGACGAAGGGGGTCCTCTAGGTGTGACTGAGCAGCTCTGACACTCATGTACCCTCAGCCTGAATCCCACACCCATTTCTATCCCCAAAGCCCAGGTGTGAGGCTTCCCCTCATTCTTCCTCACCCATCTGCCCATCCCTTGGGCTACGCTCTTCGGTACCCTTCAAGTCCAGCCTAGAGAAGCGCACCCTGGCTTTTGCCCTACTCTAAACCTCTATGGGGATCTTAGACCTTGTTCTGATAAAATCAAACCAATGCTGGTGTAGAGGAGATGGAGAAAGGGTTGAAGAGGTGGCGATGATGTTGGGGCTGGAGGTCAACAGGGGATACAGCCTCATACAGGGGGCAGAGCCTAGGTGACCAGCAGGAGGTTTGGGACCTCTGTCACTTACACAGTTCTGTGACCTTGGGCAAATCAATTCACCAGCAGGAGCTTAGGTTTCTCGTTGGCAAAATAGGCAAAATAATTCCTTATGTACACAGGGATCCTAGGAAAACATGAAGAAAAATGCCTGTGAACAAGCTTTCCTGAAAGTAAAGCTCAACAGGCATGTGGCATTGTTAACCCAGGGGGTTTCAGCAGAGAACCATGAAGCAGAGACTTGAGTGACTGGTTGCAGAAAAAAAACTCAGACCTTAGATGTAGGGGCAGAGAAAATCTGTCTGTGACTGGGATGAGAACCCAGGGGTGCCTGCTTCCTGGGTCTGGCCTCTTCTGGGCCCTTGCTTGTCTTGTCAAGGGGGCTGGACATTGCAGGGAAAGAGGAGGGGGTGCACAATTGTGTGAGGTGGGAAGGGCCTGCATTCCAGCTGTAAGGGAACACCTGGATGGCCATTGCCCTTAGCAGAGGAAGAAAGCTCAGAGCAAATCGCACAGAAACCCTGAGGGGCTGAGTGGGCCAGGCTCAGCTGGGGACTGCGGGCTCTAGGCGTGTCCTGGCAGGGTGGCAGAGCAGGTGGGGCCGGCTTTACCCAGTGTGGGCGCTCTGCCTGGGGTGCTCGTGGCGGGCAGGGCACAGGCTAAAAGTTGAAGTAGCCCTGCCCAGCCTCCCAGCCCACATGTCTGGTTCCAGCCTCTGGGGCAGCCAAGGCCCAGGGGCATTCCAGGGCCAAGGGGTGTGACCACCTTGCTTGGGGAAACTGCCAAGGGCTGGGTGGGTGTGCCCAGCAGAGATCTAGGGCTGGCCAGCTGCTTGGGCCAGGTCTCCCACCCTTTATCCTGCCCTAACCCACCACCCCTTTGTGGATTTCAGTGCCTACAGACCACGAGTAAAGACCTGCTCAAAGAACGCAGGTAGCCGCTGCCCAACCTCATTCCCACATCTGGAGAGGAAATCCACATCCCTTCTCACCCCATGCAGCACACCTCCCACCCCCACCTCAGCCACTAATTCCACCAGGTGGCTGTGAAGCTCCAGGCCTGGGCATGGGAGGAGGTGGAGGCTGGAGACTGGGTGGGGACAGCTTCCGGGATAGTGGGAGTCGGCTGGCTGGGGCCAGCTTGCCCTGGGGATTTGGCAGATGGAACCACCATCCTGAGCCCAGATTTGCTGAGCTGAGCAGGATTCAGGGAGGCACCAGACTTGTGGATCATAGCAATAGAATTGCACCAACAGTTCTATTCTTGAAGGGCAGGAAAGCAATGGGACTCAAGCAGAAATCCAGTTCCCACCCTGCTGTTTTCTAGCTGCGTGACTTGGAGCAGGTCACTTAGCCTCTCTGATTACCATAACAGGGATCATAATACCAGCAGAAGAATGAAATGAATTAATATAAGCACCTTATGAATGATAGGGCTCTGTTCAAATGTCAGGTATCCCACGGCAGAGGGCTGGGGCCATCCCACTGCCTTTTGTGATTTCAAAGCTATCCCCTTTGTTTATTTGAACCAATCTCATTCATACAGTGTCTACCATGTTCCTACTTGCTGGCATCCTGGGAGTAATGCAGAAATACAAGAAATAGACCCTGCCTTGAAGCAGGTGATCTCACTGGGGGAATGGGACTTCCAAATAACCCAAGTGTGCCTGGAACCTCAGGCTGACTCATTCCACTCACATACCACTCGGCGAGATCCATGCAATTACTTCCCCATTTCCTAGATAAGGAAACTGAGGCAGCAGAAGTATATAATTTGCCTACACCAGCACTTCATGTTCCTAGTAAAACTAAGACTAGAACACGAGTCCTTTACTAGCCAGGCAGGCTTGCACCTAGTTGGGGGCACTGTGGTCTAACAGAGGGGACACAGGCTTGGGCATTAACCTATTTATGCAAGAGGTTGAGAATCTTTTTGTGAAAAATCAGACTTTGGCGATGACCTTGAGCAGTAGGCTATAAATAACTCCCACAAGCTTAGTGTTCCAATAATGGAACACTAGGCATAAATGGGTTAAAACATCCTAGTTCTAATTCTAGCTCTGACACTGATTTGCCATGTGGCCTGGGGCATGGGCTTCGTTCTGTGCCTAATTTTCTCATCTGTAAAATGGACGTAAAATTTGTACCAGCCTTGCCAAGCTCTTTGGGTTAGAAGTACCTGAGACAAGGAGGTATGAAAAAACCTTAGAAGATGGTGATGCTCCGAACAGATGCCAGGGGAGAGCCCTGGGAGCCTGTAAGGACCCTTCTCAGGGAGTGTCTTCAATAGCGTAGATCTCTGCAAAACTGTGCAGAAGGCAAATTGGTTTCTGTTATGGCCCCATCCCTGCAAAAACACCCATAAGATGTCTGCATCCTTCCTGGACTTCACAATTGCTAGCATTGGTTGAGCACTGACTACATATCAGGAGGCAATTTGTGTGCATTACCTCATTTGATCCTCATGGCAACTCATCCTCATTGTACAGATGAGGAAACCCAGCTCAAGGAGGGTAATTACCAAGTCCCACAGGTCATGGGGTGGTGAAGCGAAGATGTCAGCCCAGGCTATCTGAGAGCGGGGACCTCACCCTCAACCTCCTCAGTCAACTCCAGGCACAGTGTCAGCACCAGCTGAGGACAATTTGTTTGATCCCACTTGGGGAATCCAGGTTAAGCCTATTTTCAGAAGGGATTTAAAGCTCTCCAGATCCATTCCGGATTCAAATGATGTAGAGCATGTTCTTCCTGCCCCCTCTGCCCAACAAAATGCTTTCTACTCTTCACAGCTCAGACAAGGCCCCTGTTCCTAGAAGCCTTCCCTGACCCCCAGCCCACAGGGATCGGTACCTTTCTGCCCATACCACTCATTTGCACTCCATACTCCTTAGTCACCTGGCAAGCTTGGGTCTCAGCCCCCTCTGCTCATCTTTCCAGGCTGGCTCTGATTAAACCCCTAGACTAAGAGTCAGCCTCCCAGGGGAAGGGTCCAAATCCCCCTGCCCTTGAATTGGACTTCCCAGGGGGCAGCATGGTGAAGGGGAACAAATATGAGCTTTGGCATCAAACGCAGCTGGGTTCAAATCCTGGCTCAGACATTGGCTGGCTGGGTGGCAATGGGCAAGCTACCTGCCCTCTCCATACCTGTTTTATTATCTGTAAATTGGAGGTGCTGATAAAAATCTATATCTTTCAGAGTTGTGTTGCTTGAGAAAGGATTAGAGGTGTGATGACTGACGTGACAAGTGGCATTCAATAAATGGTAGCTATTATTGCAAAAGCTCACTAGCTTGCTGGCCCCTTGGTAGGGAGAGAGGGGAGCACAGTCTCTCTCTGAGAGGACAGATGCTCTCATTTTACAGTTGAACAAACTGAGGCCCAGAGAGGGAAGTGCCATTTTTTCAGACAGGGTTGCTTGGACTTACCCGGGTTCTAGAACCTTCCACTGAAGGCAGAGGCCCAGGGGATGTCCTCTGGAATAGTGGCCACATCTAAGAAGGTTTCAACCCGCCTGCATTCTTCTTTAACCTCTTTCTTCCATTTCTGAGCTCCTCATCTCCTCTTCCCATCTTTCTCCTTTATTTTCATCTCTATTTTTTTTCTAGCTCCTTCCTACCAAAGGTTCATACTTCACATCAAGCCTCTTCTAGCTGTTGAGTGTTTTGTTTTGTTTCTCATGTGTGTCTGTGTGTGTGTGTGTGTGGAATTTTTTTCCTTGTGCATGTTATTCTTGGAGACAGAACTGCCTTAGCTTAGAAGATGGGAGGCAAAGGGATGGAAGGCATGGGGGCAGGAGCATGACATCCCCTTTGGGACACTGCTGTCTACTGGCCCACCAGGGCATGGGAATCTTAGGGTCACCAGGGAAGCTCCCAGCATGCAGGGTGGGGACACTTCTTCCCAAAAAGACAATGAAACAGCAAGTGGCAGCCCTCACCTCCTGACCGCAGCTCACCCCTCCCAATCCCTGCCACTGAGGTTAGTCTCCTGCCTGGAAAAACAGCCTTGAGCTACCATGGTTACATCTGTTTCTCCAGGAATGGAACAAAGGCCACAAACCAAGGCGCAGTGAGAAGTCACTGCTGGGAAAACCAGCCTTCAAGTCCAGGGTCACAGGGTGGGTTCTGTCCCCATCGTCAGATCCACTTTGCGCTTCTGGCTCCTCATGGTCATGATGTTATCAGATTTCTCGTAACCATCCTATCACATGATGAGACAGAAGTCCAGAGAAGTGGAAGGGCCTCCCAAAGTCACACAGCTGTGGTTTCCTGATTGTGAGTCGCAAGTAGACATTGCTCTCAAAGCACAGAAGATCCACACTTAGCACAGGACAACCACACGCCATTTCTCAGAGTGCTCGGATGGTTATCACAGTGGGACGCTGATCACCAACACGTGGACTAACGGGTTCCAGCTCTTCTATTTTAAAAGGCAGAGTAAAGTTTAAGGAATGGTGGGAATTTTCCCTGAAAAGCATTTTAAAACATTTTCATCTCTAAAGGAATAAGCCCTTAGCAAGCAAGAAAACTTGGCTCTCCATAGAGAACTAATTTCCTGGGGTTTTACTGACTTTGGCTTTTTACTTAACAGTGGAAGGGTCGTTTCATTTACACACAGTCTTTTCAGATGGGAAGACCCCTTTGAGGGTCAGGACCCTGCTACCTACAGGGTGGCTTTGTGAGAATTAGAAAAAGGTGTCACTTCCTCAATACATTTGCTTCCATCTATCAAAACATTGTTGTAATACACGGATTTTGTTAAGGTGAGACATTTAACTGCCATCTGCCAGAAAATTATGATAAATATCACAAATCTATAGTGTCTGTGAAATGATGTCACTGGATTATTATCTATTACTGCATAACAACACAAAAATGTAGTGGCTTAAAGTGAGAATAAACATTTATTGCCTCATAGTTTCTGTGGATCAGGAATTTAGGAGATGCTCAACTGAGCAGTCCTGGTTCAGTGTCTTTCATGAGGTTGCAATCAAGATGTCAGCCAGGGCTGCTGTCGTCGGGAGTCCTGACTGGGGCTGGAGGATCCACTCTCAAGGTGGCTCACCCATTCAACTAGCAAGTTGGCATTGGCTGTTGGCAGAAGGCCTCAATCCTCTGCCATGGGGACCTCTCCCTAGGGCTGCTTGAGCATCCTCACAACATGGCAGCTAAGGACAGCCCTTGCCATAGACCTTCCACCAACTTTGTGTCAGGACTGTGCTAAGCATTTAATGATATGATCTGCCCTCAAGCAGCTTACAATCTAGCAGAGACACCAATCATTACAGTTCAAGGCAGAGTCAAATAAATGGCAAGAATCAGGAGACCGAAGGCTGGAGAGATGGAGCCTCTGAATTGAGGGATGGGGAAAGGGTTGTCTAAGTGAGACCTTGAAGTGTGGATGGGATGTGGACCCCCGGAAGTGCGAGATCAGTTGTAATCTCCAGCCAAGAGTTCAGCATGAACAAAGGCATGGCAGCTGAGAACAGGGTGTGTGTTTAGGGATTGGAGAGTAGGGGCTTCAAAGGTACATTTAGGGCACATTGGAGGGGAGCATTGTGGCCACTCAGTCCATCCAGGTGACCACCCACTCAGCTGTGCTCAGAAAGTGGGATGGGAAAGGCTGATTGAGCCACAGCTCTATTTTCTTCTCTCCCCTTCTCTTCTTACCCCCGGCAGAGCTTTGCCAAAACCACCACCAAAACTTACACAGAGTAGGGGAGGCTGTCTGGGGAGCGAGCAAGGGAGAGGACCCCTCTCCAACACTATGAGAAAGACAGTAGCCTGGGGCTGGGGTGGTCTCCACATTCCAGCCCCTGAGGCTGGCCAAGCCTGCCTGGAGGGCTCCAGTCTGCCCTGCCGGCCCTTGCCTGCTTGGCTGTCCCTGGAGGGCAGTGCCACCCAAATCCTTCCCTCCCTCCACCACAAAGGCATCCCTAAGCACCTCTGAACCTGCAGTCTGGGCCACTCATTACGTGTTAGCAGAGACTACTGTCCTTTCTTGGTTACTTTTGTGATCAGAGGCAGGAGCTGCAATTGGCTGTGGTTGGGAGCATGGCCTGGGGAGCCAGATGCAGGCTCAGGTCTCTGTGCCCTCACTCATCCTCTGTGTATCAGCTCTTAGTGGCTTCATTTCCCTCATCTGTAAAATGGGAACGATGGTAACAATAGGAGCTAAATGCGTTATTGTGAGGACTGAGTAAGCCTAAGGGCAGATGGCAGTCCTGACTCCTCTTTGGGAAACCCATTGTTTAGGGAGGATATTTAACCTGAAAAGAGAAGGTGCCTGCTTGTCCTGCCCTATCCTCCCAGTTCGTTTCATGGGTCCTGTTATATAAATGGAATCTGAAGCAAAGAGCTTGGGGCCAAGGAGGTGGGACAGGTATCTGATGGGTCCCCCTTGCCCACTGCACAGATGCTCACACCACACCTGACTCTGAGCATCCAAAACTAAATGTGGCTCAGACTTGAGGCCTCCCATCTGATCCAGGCCTCCAGGGGCTGCTTGCTGGCCCCCAGCCCAGCTGCCCAAAGGCAGCCTTCTTGGGGCATGGCAGCCCCAAAGGAGCCTGCTGGCATGCAACCACGCAGGCTGCCCTGGTTTCCTAAGCCCTCTGCGTTCCCTTGGGTGCCCACCACTACAGTGGGGAACCAGGGAAAGGAGGAAGTCACTAGGAGCTTCTCTCCTCATCCAGCATGGGAGGATGTGGAGATGTAGGAGGTGGCCTCAGAGCTCTCTCTGCAGCACAGCTCATTGAAGCCTCAGCCTGGGGACACCTTCCCTGGTCAGAGAGATGGAGGGGTGTCCATCAACTAATCCTACACAGGCCCTCGAGGGATCTGGGTGGGTATGGTCCATCTGAGCCCCCAGAGAAATGCAGAAGTGGAATGGTTTGTCAATAGACAAGAACCATGTTCAACGGGGCCACTCAGAACAGAACCTGGCCCCTCAGACCAAGGGCACCTTGGTGGGGCTGCCTACTTTGTGCCACTGTTCCCACAGCCTGGTACACTGTTCTCCACATCCTCCCATGCTGGATCCTTCTCCTCTTCTAGGTCTCTGCTCAAATGATGCTTCCTCAAGGAAGCCTCCCCTGTTCACCCTGGGTAAAGCGCCCCCCTCCTCTCCTCCCTTACAGCTCTGTGGTAGATAGCTGGATGAGAGATGGAGAGAAGCGAGGAGATTGATTAGTGGCTTTAGGTTGTTTCCCGTCATTTGCTTCTCTTAGACTTTTTCTTTTGAGATACTTATCGTTTCAGCTACAGTTGTAAGAGATGATACAGAGACATCTCATGTACCCTTTACGCATTTTCTCCAGTGGTAACATCTTGCAAAACCATAGTACAATATCAACCAGGATATGAACACTGGTATAATCAATATGCAGAACATTTCCATCACAAGTATCCCTCCTGTTGCCCTTTTATAGCCACACCCACTTCCCTCCCACCACCACCACCTCCTTAGTCCCTGGCAACCCTCATCTCTTCTCCATTTCTATAACTTTATCATCTCAAGAATGTTATATAAATGGAATCATGCAATATCTAACCCATTGGGATTGGCTTTTTTCACTCAGCGTAACTCCCTGGAGATTCATCAAGGCTGTTGCACATATTGAGAATTCACTCCTTTTTATTGCTGAATAGTATTCCCTGGCATGGATGTACCACAATGTTTAGCCATACACCTTTGAAGGATGTCTAGGTTATTTCCAGTTACTCACTATCGTGCACAAAGTGACCATGAACATTTGTGTATGAGTTTTTCATGGACATAAGATTTCATTTCTCTGGGGTAGATGCTCAAGAATTCAATTGCTGGGTCATATGGCGGTTGCATATTTTGTTTTTTAAGATCTGCCAAATCATTTTCTAGAATAGCTGTACCATTCTACATTCCTACCAGCAATATACGAGTGATCCTTTTCTCCACATCCTCACCAGCATTCGGTGTTATCAGTATTTTTTTATTATTTTAGCCACTATCCTATGTATGTAGTGATGTCTTATGATAGTTTTAATTTGAATTTCCCTAATGGCTCATGATATTGAACATCTTTTCAGATTAGATGGCTTATCTGCCATCTGTATACTCTGTTTGGTGAATCTTGCTGTACATTTTTATTGCAGTTGTTATGTCCCTCTAAGCTCTGTTAGAGCAGAGGCCTTCTTGATTTGTTCTCTGTGCATCCCCAGAGTACAGTACAGAGCCTGGCACAGGGAGACTACCCAATAATATTTAGAGAATGAATGCATGGACTGCCAGGGTCTCTGGCCCTTTTAAAGATGAGAAGGTGGGAAAGCAGTGAGGCCTTAGCTCTGGGAAGCCTCCTGAACACCTGGCCAGTGGGATTGCTTAGGGAACGCCTGGGCTGCCCCATGGTGGAGGAGAAGGTGAGGGCAGCGGAGGGGCACCCAGCATCCTCCATGCCTGCTGCCTTCCCAGTGCCCACTCACACTTTATGAGCGTATACTTCTCACTCCTCCCCTCCCCCTGCCTCTGCCTTCCCAGGACAGAAACATCCAGAAGATAAATGTGTAAGGATCTCCAGAACTCTTCCCACTGGGGCGTGGGGCTTTAGGATTTGTTTTCCTTTTTGTTTTCTCCCCACTTTATTTGTACCAAGATAAGGGCCAGGGCTTTGCTAGGATTTATCTAGATGAGCCATGTTGAAGCTTTGCTGTAAGTAGAAGAGCCCTATGAAGCTTGTCCAACCCACCTTATTTTATTGTTGTTGTTGTTCTGATTTGTTGTTTGTTTTGTTTTAGGCTTTTAGCAGCCTGAAGCCATGGTGTTTGTTTAGTTTCTGTCTCTAGTGATAAGTGGAAAAGAGGGATGAGGAAGGGGCTTTACTGGCCCAACCAGAAACTAACAAACAACCCATGACTATATTCTCTCCTTGGACGCCCCTACCTGCCCTGGCAGATGCCACATTTTGTCCCAGTTGACTGTGTTCACCTGGGCTGTGAGCTGTGCTTCCTGAAAGGAAGGGATGCCAGTTGTCCCCTGTCGTGCCCTGCTTTCTTCTGGTGGCTGCCACTGGCCATACTTTATGTATAACATATACAATGATAAGGTGTCTCAGAAGACGCTTCTCACCACAGGGGTTGATATTTTCATGAGGCTGACAGAATTTAGACATGAAAAATTAACTAACAATGTACTTGAATTTATATTTATATTGCATTATATTTATATTGAATATTGCATTTATATTTGTATTGAATTTAAATATTTATAGGTGAAATCACTCTCAGATATACACATATAGGAAGTTAGTGTTTTTTTTTTAAAAAAAGGATCAAGATTTACAAATGGAAGGAAACTTCAACTGCAATGAACGAGTAAGGTCAGGAAGCAAAACATACCACAAGGCCCCCATTTACTTGCTGAAAATGGGCCACGAAATTTGTTTTAAGCTTCCTAGTAGCCAGTGCAAAGTGTAAGTCTGTTACAGAATCAGAGGATTTGTGAGACAAATCAGAGCATCTTCTCAGCAGAAGCACTGAGAGGTCCTTGCCCCACAGAGGTGGGTCCTGTTCCTGCAGCCAAGGCAACAGCTAGGTTCATGAGGCTTTTCATCCTGCAGTTGTATTCTGCAACTGCATGTTGGCAAAGTGGAAATCAGTAACACCAAGCCTGAGAGAAGGCTTGCAGCCTTTGGTGAGTAGCTGACACCAGCTGCCCAGTGAGAAGCCTATCCCTAAGAGTCTTAGGGGTCCAGAGAAAAGCCCCAGCTTGTAAGCCAGGCTGTGAATTGCAGGTGAGATTTGGCAAGGCTAAGAGGTAGGAGGACTGGCCTTGCAGTGGACAGGGAGCCCTTATGCCAAGGAGGTGGCTCAGAGTCCTAGAGTTGAGACCCCTCCTGGGGCCACGCTCACTAACCCAGTCTTCTTCTCTGTGTGTCTCTGCAGGGCTCTGGCTGAGAACATGGCCAATGACATTGATGAGCTCATTGGCATTCCCTTCCCCAACCACAGCAGTGAGGTCCTGTGCAGCCTCAATGAGCAACGGCACGATGGCCTGCTGTGTGACGTGCTCCTGGTGGTGCAGGAGCAGGAGTATCGGACCCACCGCTCCGTCCTGGCTGCCTGCAGCAAGTACTTCAAGAAGCTTTTCACAGCCGGCACCCTAGCCAGCCAGCCCTACGTCTATGAGATCGACTTTGTCCAGCCTGAGGCTCTGGCTGCTATCCTGGAGTTCGCCTACACCTCCACGCTCACCATCACCGCTGGCAATGTCAAGCACATCCTCAACGCAGCCAGGATGCTGGAGATCCAGTGCATCGTGAACGTGTGCCTGGAGATCATGGAGCCTGGGGGGGACGGGGGGGAGGAGGATGACAAGGAGGACGATGACGACGACGAAGATGATGATGATGAGGAGGACGAAGAGGAGGAGGAGGAAGAGGAGGAGGATGACGATGATGACACGGAGGACTTTGCTGACCAAGAAAACTTGCCTGACCCCCAGGACATCAGCTGCCACCAAAGCCCTTCCAAGACAGACCATCTCACAGAGAAGGCCTATTCAGACACCCCCAGGGACTTCCCTGACTCCTTCCAGGCTGGCAGTCCTGGCCATCTGGGGGTGATCCGGGACTTCTCCATCGAATCTCTGCTAAGGGAGAACCTGTACCCCAAGGCCAACATCCCCGACAGGAGACCCTCCTTGTCTCCATTCGCCCCGGACTTCTTTCCACACCTCTGGCCAGGGGACTTCGGTGCCTTTGCCCAGCTGCCTGAGCAGCCCATGGACAGTGGGCCACTGGATCTGGTCATCAAGAATCGGAAGATCAAGGAGGAGGAGAAGGAGGAGCTGCCCCCACCCCCACCGCCACCCTTCCCTAATGACTTCTTCAAGGACATGTTCCCTGACCTGCCGGGGGGGCCTCTGGGACCCATCAAGGCGGAGAACGACTACGGTGCCTATCTCAACTTCCTGAGTGCCACCCACCTGGGAGGCCTCTTCCCACCCTGGCCCCTGGTAGAAGAGCGCAAGCTGAAGCCCAAGGCCTCTCAGCAGTGCCCCATCTGCCACAAAGTCATCATGGGGGCCGGGAAGCTGCCGCGGCACATGAGGACCCATACCGGGGAGAAGCCATACATGTGCACCATCTGCGAGGTCCGCTTCACCAGGTGCGCATGGCAGCCCTCGGGTGTGGGGCACGGGGCCAGAGGCCATGGGGGACAGCAGAGTTGGGCAGGGAGGCTGGCGGTGGAGACAGAGACCCAGATAGATCCCACACACATGCAGGCTCGTGGCTAGCAGGGGTGCTAGGCATCACCTGGTGCTGTGACTTTCAAGCCCTTTTTAGGGGCTGCAGTATTTTCTCAGATACAATATTAGGTGGAAGCCCATGACATGAAGCAGGTAAGAGCAGGGCTGTTCTGGCTGGGAAGGAAGTGAGGCGCCTCAAGCACCTTGGTTGCTTGGCTTCCTCTTCTCCTTCCAGCTGTAAATTTGTGGAACCCAGTTTGAATGGATGGCCCTCCCCAGATGGAGTGCCGCCCCTTTGTTTGATTTGGAGAAGCAGCCACTGACCTTTATTAAGCATATTCTGCATGCCAGGGGCCGTCCTCGGCACCTTAAGTACATGCTTACCACAGCTAGGCCCTGGGAAGATGGGGAGACGTGGTTGACTTTGTTTATGACACATCTCCCAGTGGCTAGCTGACCAAGCATGTGTGCAGCTGGAAAATGGCAGAGCTGAGACTGGAATCTCAGCCTCTGTGTAATAGCAAAGCCGGTGACCAGTAGACTGCAGAGATGCCTGTAGGTCCTCTCAATCATTTTGGGGTCAGACCTAAAGGCTGGGCCTCTTTTTATGTTCTCCTCTTTGCCTTTCCATTTAAGGAAGGGGGACAACTTTATGCTGTTATAAAATTTGAAATTTGAAATCAATACATTATAAACCTTTCATCTTTCATAGACTCTGTCCCATTCAGCAAACATATGTTATATGCCTACTCTGCACAGCAACTTTTGTACTCAAAACTGATTGGCGGGTTGACGTGGGGTCAGATCTGCCCACTGCCAGCTTTGGCTAGGCCTCACTTTTGGAAAATACGGCCCATTGGTGCTATCTCTGGTTCCTGGTGTGAGGCTGATCTTTTCAGCCATGTCCACAGGTGGGGAGGGCTCTGGTGGGTGGCCTGGCATCAGGGTTTGGTCATTTCAGTGTATCCTGTGTGTACAGAGCCTGGCGATGCCTGCCCTGTGAACATGACTTACTAGACTAGGTCCCTTCCCCACCCTGCCACTGTCCCTCTCAGAGAACTCACCTTGAGAGACCCACACTTGTTCCGGTGGCGGTGCTGCTGCCCCACTTCCTCTTGGAGATGTATCTTTGGGAATTGGTGGCAGCTCATTCTTTTGATTTTCCTCAGTGGGCCCAAAGCTTTGGCCCAAGGACACAGTGCAAGGTTGTGAATGAGACTGGATATCAAATCAGGGACTATGCTTTTCCAGGAAAAAAAAAAAAAAAAAAGATGAGTCCTCTAAAGTCATGAGACCTGTTCTTCTGGGTTGCTTGGAAACTACTGGAAGTTGCCAGAGAAGAGTTTCAGAAATCCATTCAGGTGACACTGGTGTGGCTGAAATAGCTCTGCAGGCTCCTCAGGGGACTGTTTTGAAGGAAACACTGATTATTTCCAAGGTGGCCTTGGGGTCCTGCTCACAGCTGCTTCTGTGAGGGGAACCCCAGACAGCATCTGTCCCAGGTGCTTCCAGTGACAGTAGAGGGAGAATCTGCAGGAGCAGAGGGGAAGGGCCTCACAGACCCAGGATGTGTTCCCTTGCCCTTAGCAGTGAGCTAGGCCAGCCACCCGGCAATGCTGACAGCAGGGCGCCCTGCTCCTGTTACTCCCCAGAGCAGATGGACCCAAGGTTCCTGAGATTCACCTCCCCTTGGATGTCCCTCAGTGACAGCCCTGCCACCCCAATGCCACCGTGGGTGATGCTGCCCCCTACCTCCTCCTGAATTCACCTTAGCCCCACAGAACCAGGCAGAACACCTGAACAAGGCTTGGCAAAAGCACAGGAATACCGAGGGAGATAAGCCAGAGCACCGTGTGAAAGCCAGATTCAAGTACAGCTCACCCATCTTCACGGGGGGCCTGGCTTCAGCCCGAGAGTCCCAGCCCCTGCATATGACTTTAAGGATGCCAGGAAGCTCTTCACAGGCCAGATCAGGAAAGCCAGCCATGTTATCAGCCTGGAGCGCCCTCTCCTGCCAACGCAGGCTCTGCCTCCCTAACTGCCCATGCCTGCCCCCTTGGCAGATGGCTAACAGGAGCACCTCTCCCTTCAGGGGAGACCGAGGCTGGTGACTCCAATTCCAAAAGGATCTATCTGTGTCTCAGGATATCGCACGGTGGCCCTGCTGGCACCCTGAGACCCCATCTCCCTTCTTCCCCACTCCCTTTCCTCTGGGCCTTCCCCACGCACAGCCTTCTGTGAGGTCCACGCCAGGTCTGGACAGTCTGTGCACCCTGTTTTAAGGGAAGGTTTTAACCGTGCGTAGTCACTGCAGACAGACTTCTCACCCTCTGGACCCTGGGACATTCTCTGGGAGTGGGCGTCCTGGTTTGGGCAGCAGTGCTGTGTTGTATAGGAGGGTGACATTCCAGGTTCCTCCCTCCCAGCACATTCCTGATGGTCACTTGGGGTGGCCTCTCTGTCTGCAGTCCCCACTCCCAGCCAGATGATAGGCAGTGGGGCAGCTCTGGTCATCCAGCCATCTGGCCTTGGGTTCCTCCTGCTCCAGAATGACGGCCATCTGGCCCCAGGCCTGTCTCCAGCTGAAGCTGCTGCATTGCAGCCCCCTCAGCACCCCCACCACTTGTTCCCACTGGTCTCTGACCCTCCCGAAAAAGATCAGACAAGCTCTTGGGTCCTTCTCTTCCCAGGAGGAGAGAAACCCCGAGCTGGGGAAAGGCAGGGTGGAGGAGATGGCTCCAGCCTGCCTCCCTTCAGAGGCTTTATTGCTCACTGTGGGCTGTGGCTGTCCTTGTGGGACACTCCCCACTCTCCTCCCCCTCACATTCTTCAGAATCACTGGGCCTTTGCTTCTCACCCCATCTCTGGAACTGCCCGGCAAGGATTCTTTTCCGTGCTTGAAGAGCCCCAAGCGTGGTCTGTCCAGGTTGAGGTTTTCCTGTAATTCTCCCTGTGGCCAAGGCTCCCTGCAGCCTTTCCACGGGGACCTTATTTTTGGCTGAATTCCCCAACGCGATTCCTAACACCTGCCCCTTCCACCTGGAAGCTCTTCAGCAGCCACTTAGAGCAGAGACGGCTGCCTCGTTGACGCAGAATTCCCAGACTCCCTTCCAAGGCCACGCCACTTCCTGAGACTGGGCCCTGTCATGTCACTCTTGTCCCCGCAGCAAGGACCCAGACATGCTGCCCTCAGGTCCTTCTCTCGGACATGATTTCCATTTCCCCTTCTGGAACCCGAGTCTTTCCTTCATCACAGCTGAGCTTCTGCCCTGGCAAAGCCCCATTTCCTCCCTCCTTGATGTTGGGAAGAGCTCAGGGTCTTGTGACACCCTCCCCGCCCCACCCCATGGGGTGCTGGAGAGGCCTGCCCTTCCCCTGCATGGTAGCCCTTCAGCCCAGGCTCTGAGTCACAGCCTCCCAGATGCCAGCTCCCAGAATGTCCACACCCCACGGGGACGTACTAATGACCTCAGCAGCCACAACCCAGGGGGAGGACATGGGAATCCTTCCAGCAGAGCCCCTTCACCCCTAAGGCCCTGCCTGCTGCTGTCATTCTGTGGGTCTAGAGAGGAGGGACAGAGGCCGCCCCACAATGGTATTGTCTGTTCTTTGGTGTCAGGAACCTCACCTCTGAGGCAGCTCTAGATTCCAGCCAGTCCTACCAGGTGTCCCACCACTGATCTGTTCCAAATATGAAATCTCCCTAGGCAGGGCCTCAACGGCATCAACCAAACTATTTCTTTGGCCCCATGCTGTCCCTTCCTAGCTCTGGTCACCCCATAGCCACTTGGGCTCCCTTTGCCTGTGCACTCCCTCGGTTTAGTTCAAAGACACCGTTTTCCTCCTGGGAAAGGCTTGTGCCTGTGCTGGCCACAGAGGCAGCTCCTGTCCCTTTCAGGTCTGACTTGGGACACAGAAACAGCTCCAGGTCATAGGGCAGAGGCAGTCTGGACCAAGATTACCTTAGATCCTCTTCATCAGGAATCCTTTCCCTTCTCTTCCCAGAAAGTCTGGAAGCCAGGAGCCAAAGGTTAGGATGGCAGGCTTCGGCCAGAGGTGATGCCTAGGAAGGGCCTAGAAGAACAGGGAGCATGTGATCTCAGGAAGATAAAGCATTTGTCTTCATGCACAGGGACACTGCTATGCTTGGTGGGTATTTTCCCTGCCCACGGACATCCCAGGTCCAGGTGGCCCCCGCACACCTTTTTGCCCCATCTGCAGCCATCACTGCCAACTGGGCCTGGCCCTGGGCCCTGTGAAAGCCTGTGCATCTTCCGCCTCTTAATTCCCACCACATGGGTCCTTGATTGCAGGCCATAGAGACTTGCCCCTTGCCTCCCCCAGCCCTTCTGTTAGTAGCTCCTAGAGAGCATGGCTGGCTGGTCTCCCTCCTGGAGCCCCTGCATCCTGTCACAGCCTGGCTCCCAGAGATGCCCCAGCCATGCCTGATGGGGACAGTAGTGAAGGCAAGAAACTGCAAAATGAAAACAGACTGGCCCAGAGACAGCAGAGGTCCCATAGAGCACACCGTCCTGGGTGGGGATGGACGACCTCTGCACCGCAGTCACTCTCTGACAAGGCACGCTTTCCAGTTCCGCTGAACCCCGAAGGCTGTGCCTTTTAGTCTCCACCTGCCTCCTCCAGTGCCAGCCGAATGCTGACCACCTTTGTGCCCCCACAGCTGCCTGCTCTCCAGATAAGCCAGCAGCCTGGCTTTTGTCTTCCCTCTATTTTCTTTGTAGTCCTCCCACTCCTGGCAGCTCTGGGAACCCTATTAAGATAATGTAATGGCATTAGCAGTGGTAGCAGGAAGAGTGTGTCTCAAACCATCGGGTTACAAGAAGTCCAGGTAGAGGCTGCTGGGAAAGCATTATCCTGATTGGGAGCCTTTCTGGAGGCCACAGACCTCAGGCCAAGGCCCCACAGCCCTTTTCTTTGATTCTGGGAATGAGCTCATGAGGACTCACATGACTTTCCCGACGATGAGCTCTCCAGGCTGAAAGGAGGCATGTAGACCGAGGCTTGGGTGCATATGTCCTTGGCTGTCCCTGATGCAGAGAGATGGAACGAGATGGCAGACAAGGGGACCAGGGCCAGAGGGGAGCATGTTGGATTTGTAGTCGGAGAGTTCTGAAATTGGCACCACTAGTCAGTCACCAAACGCGCAGTGAGCCTCCTCTCTATCTACATTCAGTGTTGTGTGTTGTGCAGAGTACGAAAGAGCATCCCACAGGTTCTCATCAAAGCAGGTACCAGAACTCCATGCCACGTGCAGGGAGGAGTGCTGGGAGGAGGAGGGCTGGGAGGAAGAGGGCTGGGAGGAAGGGGCACCCTGGCTCTGGGCTTGGCCTTCTGGGAGGGCCCTAAGGATAGAGCATCAGTGTCCAAGCACAAGACATGCACACACGGGGAAGGAGCCAGGGTTTACAGGGCATCCACCCTGTAATGTGGTGGGCTGTGCACTGGGGGACCGGCAGTCCAGTTCATACCTGCAGGTGTTCAAAGATGCAGAGTTGCCCAGAGTGTGGGGCAGCGTACCATGGGGGGCAGGCAGGAAGCTGGCAGAGGAGATGGCAGTGAGCTTGTGAAGAGCCCAGAAAGCCATGCTAAGGGGTAAGTGAGCACACAGGCCATTGGACAAGGGGGCCTTGGGAAGTTTTAAGTGGAACTGCCAGACCTCCATTCCTACAGAGAAGTAACTAAGAGCTCAGCTCTTGAGATTCCAGCTAGAACATATTCCAGCTAAACTCACGCTGCTTCCACAGGCAGATTGAATATGTGAAGCAGCAAGGAAGCCAGCCAGCCAAACAGACTCCAGAAGGAGATTTGGCAGAAGCCCATTACCCAGATGCATACACTCATGGAGCACTAGAGGCCCCAAGGATGCAGCCCAACCCGCATTTTAGAGATCAGGAAACTAAGGCCCAGACCAGGGAAGGGAACTGATCTAGTTCTTGGAGTGTGCCCGGCACCACCTCCAGCTCCAATGCACGTCACAGTATCCACAGGAAAGGTCAGTGTAAAGAAGGAGGCTGTGTGGCCCTAGAACACCATTCCCTCTTTGGTCCTTTCTTTCCTTATCTTGGAAGTAATTAGATCAGTGTTTTCAAGGTCCTGAGAAGTGTACTGCTAATAGTGTCACTTACTGGGCCCACTGACTCAGACCATGAATCAGAATGTGGTAAAGTATGCCTGGTAAACTAGATGATCCTCTGAAGTTTTTTCCAGCACTGGCTTATCATGAGCTTTGCCTACTCTTCCCACCCCTTGCCCCCATTCCCACAAATGTCTCCATTAGGGAAAGCTCCTGCCTAGGGCTGAGTTCCTCCCATTGGCATACCCCAGTCTTCTGGCCACAGAGGCAGAAAGCTGGCTACCGGTGCCCTCTCTTGATTGTTCTGGTCTGCCCTTTCTGCAGCAGTCCTCTTAGGCCTCAGGTTGGGAATCCCTGCTGTGAAAATCCATCCTTTCTCATCCCCAGAATAGCTTACAAACAAACCACAGCCAGGTAGCCCCCCAGGTTCCTTTGCCCCCACCAGCTGTATACCTTTGGGAAGCTCTTAACTTCTTTGAGCCTCCTTTCTGCCTGTGTCCAAGTGAGGAAATTACACCAAGTGTGTTGAATCTAGCTCACGCAAACCCAGATTCTCTCCATCTGCCCTGGACAATGGGAAGTGATGTCTGGTCCTAGGTTTAGCTCTGCACAGAGAGGTTAAATAACTTGCCTAAAGCCACCCAGCAAGTTGGTGGTGGGTCTGAAGCTACAACAGGGACTCCCAGACTCCTGGAGGGGCCCTACCTCTATACCATATGCCTCTGAATAATGAATTCCCAGGGTCAATGAAGTCATGTATTTACCTGCCCATAGCAGATGTTCAATAAAAGGATATCGTAGGCACCTTCTCAGCACTTCTTACATCCTTGGACCAATTGCCACAAAAATGGGACTTCTTTTAGATACACTAATGAGAAGTTTGGGAGGCATTTGAAGATTTACCACTTATATTGTCCATTGTTTGAGAGTGACCCTAAGGGTCAGTGCTACTAATTATGTGTAATAGTGACTTAAAAAAAACCTACCTGGCCAGGGGCGGTGGCTCACACCTGTAATCCCAGCGCTTTGGGAGGCTGGGGTGGGCAGATCACGAGGTCAGGAGATCGAGACCATCCTGGCTAATATGGTGAAACCCTGTCTCTATTAAAAATACAAAAAAAATTAGCCAGGCGTAGTGGTGGGCACCTGTAGTCCCAGCTACTCAGGAGGCTGAGGCAGGAGAATTGTGTGAACCCGGGATGCGGAGCTTGCAGTGAGCCAAGATCGCACCACTGCACTCCAGCCTGGGTGACAGAGCGAGACTCCGTCTCAAAAAAAAAAAAAAAAAAAAAAAAAAAAAACCTACCTTGTCCGGGCACAGTGGCTCACGCCTGTAATCCTAACACTTTGGGAGGCCGAGGTGGGCAGATCACAAGGTCAGGAGTTCAAGACCAGCCTGACCAACATGGTGAAGGCCCGTTTCTACTTAAAAAAATACAAAAATTAGCCGGGCGTGGTGGTGCATGCCTGTAATCCCAGCTACTCGAGAGGCTGAGGCAGGAGAATCACTTGAACCTGGGAAGCGGAGGTTACAGTGAGCCGAGATCATGCCACTGTACTCCAGCCTGGGCAACAGAGTGAGACTCTGTCTCAAAAAAATAAAAATAAAAATAAAAAAACCTACCTCATAGGTTGTGGTGAGGAGTAATGAGATGATGCATTTAAAGCCCTGCTTAGCTGATTCTGAGCTGAGCCCTCTGCCAGGCCTGGTGAGGGAGCCCAGCCGACCACCTAGCATCAGTGTTTCCATCAGAGCCTGGGTGAATTTGTGGAGGCCCAAGACATATCCCTCAGGACTGGGAAGTTGCATCACTCCAGGGGTACAGGCACCCGACACTTCCATTTTCACAGTCACAGTGCTGTGGTGAGAAAAGAGGCCTTGACTCCCGGGCCTGCCATGACCCTCTGGGTGAGTTTGGCAAGTTCCCCAGCTGGGTCTGTTTGCCCACCTACATAGTGGAGGCTTTGCCTAGACCGGTGGTTCTCAGTGTGGGGTCCACGGACCACCACCACCACCAGCATGTGGCAACTGGTTAGAAATGCAAATCCTTTGTCCCTCTCCCCTATCCCAGACCTACTGATCAGACTCTCTGGGAGTAGGGCCCAGCACTGTTTTATTGAGTCCTGATTATGGTTCGAATGCATCCTTAAGTTTGAGACCCACTGGCCTAAATGGTCTCTGAAGTCCCTTCCTCCTCAAAAATCCAATCATCTAGGTGAAATCTGGGTTACAGAGACCACAGCATGCTGGTAGGGGGTGGGATATCACAGCAGAGTACTATGTAGCCTAGGGGTGGCTGGTGGGTTTGAAAAAAGGCAGGAGCAGTGGGATGTGGAGGGGAAGAGGGTGACCCCACTTCCCTTCTCCTCACTCCCAGGGGCTCTCCAGCCTTCCTGTGAGCACAGGTGGGAGGACTGGATCTGTCCTCTCTGATCCTCCTCTCACAGTGCCTGCCAGTATTCATGGGAATGTCCTTTTCTCTCCTGCTCTGCCCCTGGAGAACCATTTTGAAAATGAGAGCTGGTGAGACCTCTAGTGGCCAGGAGACACCAGGAGCCTAGGACCTGCACCTGCTGTCCTAGGATTACGTTAAACAGGGTTTAAATCTGGCCATCTTAGGGAGGACACCTGGACTCCACATCTGTTCTAACCTCAAAGCAGAGCCTGAAATTATAGGCAGATGCTCCACCCAAGCCACACCTGCAGGGAGGAAGTAGGAGACTAGACACAGAGCTTCCTGGCCCCTATGGCCCCACTGGGGAAGGCTGCGAATTATCCCAAGAGGAATTCTTGCAGCCCAGCTGCCTATACCTCAGCCACCTTAAGCTGGTTTACCCAATGCTCAGTGTTTATGAAAACAACCCCCTGATATCAGTTTTCCTGTCAAGACCACCAGGAGGTGTGTGGAATCTAGCTCACACAGACCCAGGTTCTTTCCATGAGCCCTGGACAATGAGAATTGATGTCTGGCACCAGGTTCAGCTCTGGGCAGTGAGGTTAAGTAACTTGCCTGAAGTCACCAGCAAGTTGGTGGTGGGTCTGCAGCTGGCGCAGAGGCTCCCAGACCCCCAATAGGTGCAGGCGCCCCCACCCTACACCATACCTTACCTGTGAATAATACCACTTAAACCCTGCAAAGTTTTGCCCTAGATTAGGCTGCATTCTTTTCGCACCTGGCTCTTTTGTAAACCCTGAAATTGTCTACAGACAAAGAGGAGAGCCCAAGGCTTAGGATAAGAAACCACCATGCAGGAGGTTTGAACAAGGTGTGCCCAAGCTTCTATAGCCTCCCAGATTAGTGCCAAACACAGACAGATCTCAATAGCCCGGGGGCTGGGATGGGACCAGGGACTTTGGGCCAAAGCATATAGATGAACTGGAGGGAAAGCATAAGGTTGCCTGGAGAGAGTGGGTATGAGATTAAAGTGCAGTCCAGTATCAGCAGAAGTCGCTGCACTATCCGAGGACTAAGGTCAGAAATGCTGACTTCTGGCGAAGTATCTTCCCAGTATGTGAGATAAACCCCTAATAGAGTGGGAGTTTCATGACTCTGAGCTCGGGTATAAAAGGAGTTTGGGGGAGTGGGGCTTTCAGGACACTGCTTTTTCCGCATCCCTTTAATCCAGGTGAGTAACCATACCTGTCTAAGGTGGGGCAGCAGTTGAGGGTAGATCTAGCATGAGACCTATTTCTGGGGTTTGACTCCATGGCAGTAGGGAGCCTCGGCTGGTTCTGGAGAAAGGGGGAGCAAAAGGTTAGGAATGGCTCCTGGTGTTCCCTGCGGGACTGACCCCCAGTCTCTGCATTGCAGGCAGGACAAGCTGAAAATCCACATGCGGAAGCACACAGGGGAGCGGCCCTACCTGTGCATCCACTGCAACGCCAAGTTCGTGCACAACTACGACCTCAAGAACCACATGCGCATCCACACGGGCGTGCGGCCCTACCAGTGCGAGTTCTGCTACAAGAGCTTCACGCGCTCTGACCACCTGCACCGCCACATCAAGCGCCAGAGCTGCCGCATGGCACGGCCCCGACGCGGCCGCAAGCCTGCTGCGTGGAGGGCCGCCAGCCTGCTCTTCGGGCCCGGCGGCCCGGCCCCCGACAAGGCGGCCTTCGTGATGCCCCCTGCGCTGGGCGAGGTGGGCGGCCACCTGGGCGGCGCAGCTGTGTGCCTCCCGGGCCCCAGCCCCGCCAAGCACTTCCTGGCAGCGCCCAAGGGCGCCCTGAGCCTGCAAGAGCTGGAGCGGCAGTTCGAGGAGACACAGATGAAGCTGTTCGGGCGCGCGCAGCTGGAGGCTGAGAGGAACGCGGGGGGCCTCCTGGCCTTCGCGCTGGCCGAGAACGTGGCGGCGGCGCGGCCCTACTTCCCGCTGCCCGACCCTTGGGCCGCCGGCCTGGCCGGCCTCCCTGGGCTCGCCGGCCTCAACCACGTGGCCTCCATGTCCGAAGCCAACAACTAGGCTGGTCCCTGTCGGCTCCAGCCCACCAGCCCTCCAGTCCTTCTCCCTCCAGGCCCACTCTACCCTACCCCATGGATCTGAACTTTTCATTTTAAAAACACAAAGGGAAAATGGGAAAATAATAATAATACTATCAGTGATGGCATTTTCCCGGGCTCCTAAAGCAGCTGCCTCCTTTTGCTGGTCTGAGACGGGCATCTTTTCCCAAAAGGCCAGGAGCCCGGGCCTCCCTCCCTGTCTCTCTGGCTCTCATATAGAAACTTGCACCGGCCCATGCCACAAAGAACTGGGTGCCCAGGGGCACTTAGGAGCTGGGTGAGTCATGAGGGGTCAGGGGGTGGTTGGCCTGGTGCCCAGCCAGCCACAGCAGGAGGAGGTAGGGGCTGGGCATGCACCTTGGTTAAGCCCCACCCCCTATGGCAAAGTCTCTGCCAACACTCCTCTGAGGGCTCATTTTCCAGTCTCCAGTGGCCCCGGGGTCTTTTTGAGAACTACCCACCTGCCACATAGAAAGAAATGCTCTGTTGGCAGGGAGGCCTCCTGGAACCAGTCAGGAACCAGGCTCTGGAAGGCCCGGGCCATTTCTTCCCTGACCTGTCCTGTGACCTTGACAGGTCAGCCCTCTGTAGCTCAGTGTCACCTGGCTATGGAAGGGGCTGGTAACTGAGGTTTCCGCCCTCCACCTCTAAACACATACACACCTATCCCCCCAGAGAATCACAGAGATGGTAGAAGCTTTGTACTCCCCAAGTCCATGGGGAAACAGTTTATCTTTCTGGACTTAGTTTTATCACATCCAGCTCTATATTAGCATATTAGCATAGGTGAGAAATATGGCCAGACTAGACAGAGATCAGGTCATCAGGGGAGCTTCCGAGCTTCAGCAAAGCCCACAGGTAGCTCTGCGAACTCAGAATGCTACCCTACCTTCCCTGCAGGCCGCTGTTCATGTCTGGACTCCTGGGGGCGCTATTTAATGTTTACCCCCATCTCCAGTGCCCCCTCCAAGGCTGTGCAGTGTCTTGGGGCTCTCAGGGCCAACATCGAAGAGATGGGGGCCACCTCTTAACACCTGGCAACAGTCTCCCCTCATCCTGATTCCTGACAACAGACAAAACACCGGTTTCTAGGGTTTATCTGTTTGTTTTTTGAGTTGAGGGTTCCTCAGGGCCTTGGCATTGCTAGTGATGGTCCCCTTTGCTGTGTGAGAACCCCCTCAACCCCTTCCTCCTCCCTCTGGGGATGAAGTGGGAGTATTTGGCTCCCCATTTTTGACAAAAGGGCTCAGTGCAGGGAGGTGGAGGCCTCTGAGGTTTGAAGGGCTCTGTGAGTTAGAGTTGTCACATGTTCTCCTGGTTCTTGAATTTGCAGCAGGTCCTGAAAAGGAAGGCTCTGCTGGCCCCGTGCCTTCCTGACCTTCTCTCTCCTTCCCTCCCCTCTCTTTTCTTGCCAAGTTTGCTTTGGTTTCTGAGCAGCCCAGAGAGGAGGAGGGTTCGTCCCCAGGGAGAGCCCAGGGCTGGAGTCCCCAATCC
Source organism: Homo sapiens (assembly GCF_000001405.40). NCBI lineage: Eukaryota > Metazoa > Chordata > Mammalia > Primates > Hominidae > Homo > Homo sapiens. The sequence goes on along the minus strand of NC_000018.10, from coordinate 48,027,727 downwards.
CTGTGCTATGGGCACAAAGAGACTTCAGCTCTTCCTGTTGCCTTGGCTTTTTCCTGAGCAAAAACACAACAAACAAAAAGGCCAGAGAAGAGCACAGACTCTGTCCCTCTCACAACTCTCCAGAAGAGACCCCCTGATTCTTCACACCACCGGATGCCACTCCAGCCAGCAGGATTGCTACACACACCCTCTGTTCTCAGAAGTCATCTGCCTGGGCAGCCGCCTCTCAGATTCCTGTCTTCGTTTCAGACACTTTTCTCTGAAGCATGCCCATGTCCACCAGCCAACGTGCCCCCGTGTTCCCCCCCATCAGCCAAGTGATTGGGGCTGAACCAGACTTTAAAAGAGAGGAAAAAAAAAAAAAAAGGAAACATGAATAAATTGGAATCCAGTGGTGTTGGGGCTTTTGTTTTTATTTTGTAAAGGTGATGACTTCTTATAAACTCAATTTTTCAGATGACTGGTTAGTTCTTTCTGTTTTTTCTTGGCTGCAGTTTGGAATTGTACATTGTAAAATATCCAAAGATGTTGAGTACTGTATGATCAAGAACTTGAAGCAAATGGGTTGTGGGGGGAGGGGTGGTTGTGTTTTTGTTTTGCTTCAATTTTTTTTTTTTTTTGATGTTTCAATTTCCCTGTCTGTCTGTGGGAGAACTTTGGAATTTTTTCTATTTATAACTCTTTTTTTATGTGATTGCTCTACGTAAAATGACACTCAACAAAGTTTGCCTTAGTGATTCAAGGGACAATCTTCCATAACTTCGGTCGCACGCCACATCCCGCCGAGAAAAACTCTCAGCTAATTTTCTGGCCTATTTATTAAACAGTATTAATTGACTTGATTAAATTATATTGAGAGTTGCACTTCTGTGAGATGTGACTTCTGAAAGTTCACAGGACAGCAACAAGCCAGTCTTAAGGTTTTTAATTGTTGGGTGTCATAAACTTAAAATAATGTCAAAGACACCTTAACAAAGAAAAAAAAAAAAACCTTTGACCCTTATTTTATACTTTAAAGGACAGTGTTTTGAGTAAAAGTGAGCTATGCTTGCTTAATGACCTGGTGAGATTGATTCCCCCTTCCAATTGCCGTTTCAGTTATCTGGGGGTGTTGCATGGTAGGGAGGGCAGAACTCAATTCTCAGTAGTCTCTTACATTCCAGCTTTGTAAGGCATGGTTGGATCTTAAGCTTTGCAGCACCTGTGGGCCTGAGTGCGAGGTGTGCGTGTGTGTGCGTGTGTTCACAAACGTGTGCAGCTACACCCCAGGATGTGTGAGCAAGGGAAGTCCTGCCAGTTCCCCAGCCTGGCATCCGGAATGGGCTCCGGCTGGCCCTGCTGCTATCTGGGTCTCCTTCCTCTCACTTCCCGGTGCTGGCATCGGCCTCCTCCTTTCTTCACCTGAGCCTCTTTCCCAAAGAACATTAGATCCTAAAAGAACCTAAGGTAAAGGAATATACTTCTGTCATTGAATGGAGTCAGCTCTACTTACAACCCACAGCCCAGACTCTTGGTAACACTGTTCTTCGAATTGCATTTCTGGAAAACCAAGGGTCAACCCAGAGCCTCTTTTCTATTTTTGATTCCTTTCTTGCTGTAGTAGGCAACGTCTATGCAGCGTTTCTTGGTACAGAGAAAAGAACAGATCCGGGTTTCCAATTTAGACTCCTCCAAGCTGTGTGTCTTCAGTCTAATCACCCCTCCACTCTGGTCTTCCCTTCCCTCACCTCTAGTAATAAAGGAAATGGAGTAATCAGAGCTTCTCGAAGTTCTCCATCTAAACACCCCTCAGCAGAGGGGGCCAGCTGATTGGCAAATTGGGGGCAGAACACTAAAGAAATAGCCCAAAGTAACCTATCTGTAGTGTAAAACTCTGAAGTCTCCTGTTTTGGCTTTGAAATTCATGCTTCTGCATTCTATTACATAACATTTGTCTTAATATAAAAACATCGTTTTGATCGACTTGCCAGTTAAGTGACTTGCCTTTTCCCCAGAATCTTCTAGTGAAGTCGAACTGTTCCTTGGCCACCCTACAGCTTTGGGAGGCCCCAGCCCATGGCTGAGGGCTCAGGGGTAAGCATAGCCCAGTGCAAGAAATGCAAGGCCAGCTGCTCGTCAAGATTCTGCTCAGCTCGGCCATTCTAGGATCATGTGGTCCTCATTCTGGGGGTCAGTGTCCACTGAGTGACATAGGTGAAGATGGAGAAGGGGAAGGGAACTGGGCCCAGTGGGCCTTGACCCCTGGGTGCTCCTGATCTCCTGTGAGTAAAATCTCCTTCTAGCCCTGGCCAGGTGGGAATTCCATGGAGCCCGGCCATGTGTGACCTGCACCCTGGGACCCCAAGGTGCTAAGGGAGGTGGGGTCCTGACAGCAAAGGAGCCTCCAGTGGAGGGAAGAGGGAGTGAAGGAAGGAGGATGAGGCCTCCGAAGACAGGCCAAAGAAACCTGTGCAGCTTACCTGGAGAAGAAGTCTTAAGGAATACATGAACAGGCCTTGGGACTTCAACAGGTGTGTTGGGGAGGGGAAACTTTCACCAAAAATTTGGCCAACCCAAGCCAATAGGAGAGAGATTGCAGGAGGCAACTGGGTGCCCAAAAAAAGGAAGAGAACTTCCTAACATCTGGAGTTGCCCTAAAGAGGAACGAGGTCCCTCGTGAAGGAGTGAGCTCTCAGTCAGCACAAGAGTTCAACACTGCCTCTCAAGAATGTTGGAGACCTGGCGCAGTGGCTCAGGCCTGTAATCCCAGCACTTTGGGAGGTTGAGGAGGAAGGATTGGATTGCTTGAGGCCAGGAGTTTGAGGTTCCAGTGACCTGTGATCACACCACTGTACTCTAGTTGGGGTGACAGAGCGATATACCCTGTATCAACAAAAAAAAAGAATACTGGAGAAGAGAGTCTCTAGGGTTCCTTCCATCTAATTTGTGAAAAGGTGAATACATATCCACCATATGACCATGGAAGAAGAATCATGCCAGAAGGAGTTGGGTGACGAGTGAAAAAGAAGCACTGGGCAGGTTCACAAAACTCAGCGTGGTGGCCCAGGGCTGCTGACCCCATTCTCCCTAAACCAGTCACCTGCAGCAAGTTGGGGCCAGAGAAGGGGACTCCATAGAAAAGCCGTGGTTCTTATTTAGAGCCCCCAAACATGTGACAAGAGAACAGTAAAGACCCAATGGGAAATAAGACCCTCATCTCAGGCCTTTATCTGACCCAGAGTCTGCCCCTTCCTGAAGAACAGAGCCCTTTACAGACCCCACTCCTCCTTTCCTGGGGCCTGGACAGCTTTTCCTCCCTGAGGGAACTCTGAGCTTACTGCAGAACAGGCAACCAGCATGTAAAGGGCACTTCCGGAACAGGGCACAGCCGGGTGCCCTGTACGTGGCCCTTCCCCTCTGAGAATGGGTGAAGTTGGGACTTCATAAGGGCAGCAGGGTCAGTGCCCCAGCTAGAAGCATGAGCCAGCGGGTGTGGGGGGCCCTATGGAAGGGAAGTGCCAGGCAACACTCATGCCAAGGGACCTCCAAGGACCTGGGACATCCTGGGACAAATTCCAGAATGAGGAGGTTTGTATCCAGTGAATTTCCCTCCCCAACTCCCCTGTGTCCTCCTTTTCTCTGCTCCTAAGTCCTTCTTCCTAACACAACTACCCCTCTGGGTGTAGACACCCTTTCTCTCTGCCCTCCCCTCTGTCCAAACCTGCCCTGAAAGGAGTCATCAAATGTGAACGTGATTCAATGGCTCCCTCTCCTGGCCTTTGCCACCCTGCTCCTCATTCAAGGTGGAAAGAAAGGCCCCTCGGCAAAGCACTGTCAGATTGCCAGCAGCAGACAAGCCTGGTTTCTCTGGGCAGAGGAGCCTTGAAACTGCACCCTTGAACAGTTACTGGCCTCGCAGCTCCCGCCCATCCCTCCTTCATCCCACTTCCTGGCTCAGAAAGGGATGGGGAATGTGGGACCTTTCGCTCCTTTCAGGTTTGAAGGCTGAGGACTGAGTCAGACAGGAATTTCCATAAATTGATGGAAGGAGGATTCCCTGGGGAGATCCTGCTCCTTTTTCCTCCTTGGCACACCCTAGGCAGGGGCTGCTATGACCTTGAGTGGCAGTGCCCACGTGGCCTAAACCAAAACGTATGGGTCCAGAAAGGGCCTGACATATAAAAACAAAACATCTCAAATTTGCCCTGGAAAACCTGGAACCTGGCCACATTATCTGCAGCCAGACACACACACACTCACACACACACACTCAGTCACTGGACAAATGGTGCATAGGCTGATGTCATCTCTCCTTGTAACAATAGGAGACACGACAGTGCATGAGCAAGACCCGGCAAAGCCATTTTCCCCACAGGTCACCCTGCTGGAATATGTATAATGCACACTCACATTTTCATCCTTGCGCTCCCGTCTTTAACCATGAACGCTGACCCTGACAACAAAAACAAAAGAATAAACAAATAGGTTTCCAGAATAAGGAAGGAAGATAGCGTGAATTAGATCATTTTCCCATGTTCCTCTCACAATTAATAAATGAAGTACAAACCCTCTGAGTAACATAGGTGCCTTATGCCTTCTTGGAGACCCTTGCTTCCATGAGTCATCTGGTTTCAGCCCCAGGAGGCATGTATCAGCATCCCTATTCGTATCAGTCGGAGTTATTCGTCAAACACCAGAAGCCACTTCAGCTAGCTTAAGTAGAAAAGGCATTTACTATAGGAAATTAAGTCTCTTTCAGAATTTTCACAAAAGCCAGAAGAGAGTCAGGCCGGCAGAGCCACCAAGATCAGTTGTCCAGGTTGCATACTACACAACACCACTACATTTAGAGGCTGCCATTCACACCCTAGACAGATTGGTACATTTGTGTACTAAAGAATTTTCCAGCAGAGGGCAGTAAAGCATCTTGAAGGGGTGCCTAATCGTCTAATTTGCACAAAGTCGCCAAGTGGACTAGGGGTAGCACACGGCCTGGAAACAAGGAAGCCCAGAACCACCCAAGCCACACTGTGTCAGATCGTTGCAGCTCAGGCCCTGGGCATGGGGACTCTGTCTTGTGGCCCCCCTCTCCACCAGTGTCTCCTGGGAAAATGGGTGCCACACTCTGTACTCCCTCACACTGCTCTCCGCAGCGTGAAGTCTAATGCTGGCGCATCTGTTTGGAAGAGCCCAAGACCCATGCCCCCACCTGATCGCAGCTGCCTGGGAAAGCAAGCGCCTGGCTCCGCTGGCCTGAGAAGGAAAGATTCATGATGTCAATTCTCCAACAGAAGAAGAGTTTCATTAATGCTGGGGGGCCTCAAAACGTGATATGGCCATGCCGTATTCTGCAGATGAGAGGCCTGAAGCTCCAAGTGGCAAAATGGTGAGGATAAGGCCACCAGGCAAGCTCTAGCAGAGCCGGAACTGGAACCCAGAGCCACTAACCCCAGAGCCAGGACTGGAACCCAGAGCCACTAACCCCCGGACCACGGTGCCGCCCTGCCCTCTTTGAGGTGGAGGACCAGAATGAGGCCCACTGTTCCCACTAGGAACAGAAGTCTATTTAGACAAAGCACATTCCGGCGGTCTTCCTCCTGATACCTCAGCCCTTTACAGATATTGGTAAATACTCCTTCACGGTGTCACCCACCCCAAGTCAAGGGAACACTGCCTTCCTAACTGTAAGCGCTGGTCATCGTGGTTCATCAGCATGGGTGGTCTAGGTCCCCTCTCTCCCTCAGCAGCAAGTACAGCCATAGAGGCTTTCTCGTCACATTCGGAGCCCAGGATGCCTTTAATCCATACCTCCCTGCTGTTGCTGAGTAGTCAGCTCTGTGCTGAACCTCCCTCCCCAAAATGGGGTTCCTGAATTCAATCAGCACTGCAGAGTCGGGTGTGTCTTGTAATTAAAATTTTTTTTATTCTGCCATTTCAACATCCTTCCCATAGGAGCCACACTCGGAAATGCAAAAGTGCATTTTCATTTCCAAATGGCTGGGACTCCCAAGCAGGGGGGCCTTTGTGGGGGTAGCAAGGACATAGCAAAATGTGCCACTGTGGACATCCAGGGAACACAAGGGTTCACTACTTGACATCCTCCTCCAGACCGAGAGCTCCTGTCAGCTGGAAAGTATTTGGGAGGCTCCCACACTCCCAGTCTCAGTTCAGGTTTAGCCTTCCACCCTGGGGGGTGCTGGCAGACTGACCCAGTGCTTCTGTCAGGGTAAGAGTCCCAGTGTCACTCAGTGTTCTGGCTTAGCCTCTTCTTCACTCATAAAAAGGAGGTGACAACACCTACCTGGAAAGTCCCCGTGGGGTTTGGGTGGGACATGCGCAACACTGGCCCTTCCTGCCACTCAGTAGGTGCCTGAAAGTGTGGGTGTCTTTTCCTTTTTAACATCAATAACATTTAAAGTAATTATACCTATTGATCTTTCCTTCCCCTTTTCCTTTGCTTTTCTTGTGTTCTTAAAATGGAAAAAAGAAGAAAGGGAGGGAGGGGAGGAAAGAGAAGGGAGGGGAGGAAGGGAGTCAGGTTAGAAGGGAGTAGAGGAGGGAGAGGAGGAGAGGAGGAGGAGAAGGGGTAGAAGGGAGGAGAGGAAGGAGGGGAGTCAGGCTAGAAAGGAGGAGAGGAGGGAGGGGAGGAGGGGAGTTGGAGTAGAAGGGAGGAGAGGAGGGAGGGGAGTCAGGTTAGAAGGGAGGAGAGGAGGGAATGGAGGAAGGGAGTCAGGTTAGAAGGGAGAAGAGGAGCGAGGGGAGGATAGGAGTCGGGCCAGACAGGAGGAGAGGAGGCAGGAGAGGAGGGGAGTTGGGGTAGAAGGGAGGACAGGAGGAAGTGGGGAGGGGAGTTGAGATAGAAGGGAGGAGGGGAGTCAGGTTAGAAGGGAGGAGAGGAGGGAGGGTAGGAGGGGAGTCAGGTTAGAAGGGAGGAGCGGGGAGGAGCGGAGTCAGGTTAGAAGGGAGGAGAGGAGGGAGGGGAGGAGGGGAATCAGGTTAGAAGGGAGGAGACGAGGGGGAGGAGGGGAGTCGGGTTGAAGAGAGGAGAGGAGGGAGGGGAGGAGGGGAGTTGGGGTAGAAGGGAGGACAGGATGGAGGGGAGGAGGGAGCCTGCTTACAGTGCACCTGCAGGAGCCTCTACCCCAGATCCTGCTCCTGAGGGCAGACTGCTACTGGAGTCTTCAACCCGAAGCTGAGGCACAGACAAGGGTGGCTGTTTGCTGGGGATGTACAGGACGAAGCCAAGGGTGGAGAGGGAAGATGATGGCTGCAGGCTAAGGGCTGTAGACTGGTGCTGCCCCCTATCCCCAAGATGACTTTCTGGCCCAGAATTCAGAAGACCCTGAAGATTGGAACTAGAACCTGGCTTTCCAGGTCTTTCTGAAGGTCTGCTTGCCAAGGTAGGAGGATAGAACACAGTTTAATGAACAGCTTGTTAGCTTGGCTTGTATGTTTAAATATGTAGCCCTGTGATATGTGGACCTCTGGTATTCTTGCTCAGGCCCTGCAAGTGTTGGTGAAGGACTGACACTGGGAACCAGGACCCGGAGGTTCCGTAAGTTCTATTTAGGAAAGATGTGATGTGTGGAAGTCTGGATGGAGGAGGGGTGGGCTGGAGGCTGCATTTGCATTTTGACTTCATGTGATTAAAGGAGCTGACCTCTGTAGGCGGCCGGCAAGAAGTGTCCTCATCTTCCCACCACTTCCCTTCACCCCACTCTGCTGGTTCTCCCTTCTCCAACTCTCTACACTTCTAGAGGATTCCATACCTTTTCAGGTCACTCACATGCAGGTATAAGAAAAGCTTCACTTTCAGTTACTTAAATAGCTCGGCCCAGTCTAATATCAAAGCTTCCATCTCTCCCCCATCACCACATTCCCATTCTACACTCCTTTGTGCAGCTCAGGCCTGGAGCAGGCTCAGGCAGGTGCAGTGGGGACAGATGTGAGGTCTCTTTCCACTCTGCACCACGTCCTTGTACACACAGGCTGCTCTGGGGACCAGCAGAGAGGAGGGATTCAGGAGAAGGACAAGGTCACACCTGCAGGTGGACAGGGCCATCTGAGAGGCAGGTGTCCAAACACTGGTTTGTTCCCTCCCCAGTGGGACCCCAACCCCTACACTGTCCCCTCAGGCTGATTTCCTACAACACCTGTGGAATCCCCATAAACCAACCTGGGTCCTGATGTCAATTACATGGGGGAGGATGGTCAAGCCCCTCCCTGTGACACTGGGAGCTGCACTAAACATCCTCTTGCCTGAAGGTGGGTCTCATCAATTGTATAACTAGTCCTGGGCCCCAACATTGGTCCCTCCTTGAATGGGGACCTATGACAGAAGAGACACTTGTGCCCTACAGACAAGTTTCTGCAGGCTCCACCGGGTAACCTGCTGGACATTGAGATGCACTGACCTTTAAAATGCCTTTCCCTGGGGCAAGGCTGTAGGTCCTGGGGAAACTTAATTATAGTCTCCAACTTTATTTGATTTGGACATCAAAGACAAGCGTCTCTCTAATCTTTATAGTGAGACATACATAACAAAGAGAGCCCAGCAAAAGCACTACATGCAAAGACTTGTAGAGGGTGTTCATTCTTCCAATGCATCGGCCAAGGCTCTTGTATACAAGTGAGGAGAGACCAACTCTTAAGCAGAAAGGGGATTCCTTTAAAGGATACTGTAGCTCAAAAGACTGACAGGAAGTTGGAGAGCCAGCCTCAGGAAGCAGGCAGTGACTGAAAGAGGCAGGACAGGCTGGGCACAGTGACTCACGCCTGTAATCCCAGCACTTTGGGAGGCTGAAGCAGGAGGATTGCTGGAGCCCAAGAGTTCAAGATCAGCCTGACAATATAGTGAGACCCCATCTCTACCAAAAAGTTAAAAATTAGCATGCACCTGTAGTCACAGCCACTTAGGAGGCTAAGGTAGGAAGATTGCTTGAGCCCAGGAGGTGGAAGGTACAGTGAGCCGTGAGCCGAGATCATGCCACTGCACTCCAGCCTGGGCAACAGAGCAAGACCCTATCTCAAAAAAAAAAAAAAAAAAACACACACACACACACAGAGGCAGAATATCAATAAAATGGGTCAAGGTGATGGCCCAAGAATAGCCTTGCTAGGGGGCTGCCCTGGCACCAACACCAGCAGCACTAGAAGCATGACTATTGTGTCATCTGCACTACTCTCTCCAGATGCAAAGTCCCAGATAGGAACATCCTAATGGCCAGGGCCAAGACACAGGTACCCCAACTTTAGCTGCCAAGAGACTGGAAAAGGATGTTCCTGACCCTCTTAGCTTCTGCCTCACACTAGTACTCACTTAATGGATGTGTCTTCACAAACAGAAGTGTGAATGAATGCAGGATAACCCAAAAGTGACGCAGCTTGAGTATACTGTTCGATGTATACAGAGTATACAGTTTGGAGTACATGGTGTGCTCTACCTGAGAAAAATGGTCACATCCCATTACTCTCATCCTTTCGTATGAGAAAGAAACGTGATTACGGCTTCTAATGCCAATAACAGGATCTAACCATTGGTTTAGAGTTTCATATTTCAAAGCCTCTTATTATGATTTGGGGATTTTGAAAATTTCCTTAATCATCTATTATTTTCAATCCCTTTTTATCATTGCTAAGGATAGACTGATAGGGTTACCAGAAATTAGGAGGCTGGTTTCCAAGACTTCCCCTGCCACTGATCCTTTGTGCAACCCTGAGAAAGTTACCTCAACTCTCCAAGCCTGCACTTTATGATCTGGAAAATGAGGGGGTGGACAAGATGATCTCCAAGATTTCTTTCCACTCCCACACTGCAAGATTCCATGCCTCTGCCCGCATTTGAAAGAAGCTAATTTCCCAATCAAAGGCCATCCTCATCTCTTTCCAGAATTGAAGTTGCTCAATAGGCAGCATGGGCAGGATCCAAGGTTGCTTGATGTAAACATTGTTGAGAATGACTGCACTCCAGGACCAAAATAACCCACTGGAAAGGCCATTCAAGCCACATTACCAAAGAGCACACAGGTCTGTTTCCACTTTTGTCTTTCCTGTATGGGGGAGCTTGCTAAATATTCTTTTCTATCACATGCACACATGCATGCATGCAGACACGCACGCATACACCTGCAACATTATCACTGAGGCTTGGAGTTGCATCTGCGGTGCTCTGGGTAAGAAGCTTTCTTTTTCATGGATTTTACCTTACTTGCAGATACAGAACAAGTTTGTGGGCTTTCTTTCAGTTTCCACTTCATTTTTCACTTTATTCTACATGTTGGATAGATTATCTGTCTGTAGACGTGTCCAGTTCATGTCCATATGCTGAATAGAATCTGGCTAGGAATGTCCAAATACTGGCTTTCTCTAGGGTGACCATCCTCTCCGCACTCAACTTCCTACTGGAGAGGTGGGAAAGAGGAGAAATGAGGGTGAGAGTGCAGTCTGATGGAAAGTGCCTTTGAAGTGAACACTTGAGGGGCCTAAGTAGATATATGTGCCTGGTTCCAAGTTTTGCCTAAAGATAAATTAAATTTCCATGACCAGACACAATGTTGTACCTTGATTTATGAAGTGAGGCAGCTTCCCAGAAGCCCTGAGGGTGCTGTGGAGATGGTGATGCAGAGGAGTGTGGCTGGGCAACAAGCGGACAATAGGTCTGGGATGTGTGAGCCTGGCGAGTGACCCCAGTGTCTCCTCTCAGGACCACTCTCCCGCCAAGTCCAGAAACAGAATTCCTAGCAAGAAAACATAAGCTCACAAAGCACACATACTACTTTATGTAAAATACACAGACCTTTCTCACATTAGTAACTGGAAAGCCTCCCTTACAAGTATTTTTTAATCCCACACCACAGTATTCTGAGGCTCTCTAAGATGCTCTGACACTGGCCCTTGTAGCAGCTGGAAGGTGGGAGATGCAGCATCCTCAGATGTACCTGGAGTAGGACTAGGAGAGAAGGATCAAGCAAAAAGCATGGTTGTGGTGGCAGGGCAAGGGACAGAAAAAAGGAATGGCAAGGTAATCCAGTCACTCACAAGTGAAGGGAAACAAAAGCAACCTGTCAACCTGCCAAGTGGGTATATATGCTTCAACAGCTACAAAAAAGTAAGATTTAAATGACTGAGTCAGTTTTTCAGTATCCATGATGTCTAAGAATTCATCAGGGATCTTTCCTTATGTGGAATTTCATGGAAAATTTGCCACCGTATGTCCCCAGCCTTTGACCCATTTTGGATCACTTAAATATAATGGAGCTGAAGATGCCACTTCCATCAGTTGCCAGTTAGGATATCTTGGACCAACTTTTCCATTGATATCATTTAGAAATTCTAGAAAAAAATAATTTTAAAAAAACAATACTGCTTGAAGGCATCAGAAAGCAATTGAGGAAGCAAGAATTTGTGGGGAAAAATCCAGAAGTAAGCCAAGAAAGGTGAGCCAGAAATGTGGGACCACTTTTCCCCTTGACTGATGGGGAGCCAGCAATTTGGGACCAAATTACCCTAGCTGACTTGCCAAGAGACTGAGAAACTGAGCAGAGCATCTCACAGTCTCACGAGGTTCAGGACATACAAGCGAAGTTTAGAGACAATTTAAGAGGATAGCTCTCTGCCAGGCGCAGTGGCTCACGCCTGTAATCCCAGCGTTTTGGGAAGCTGAAGCGGGTGGATCACTTGAGGCCAGGAGTTCAAGACCAGCCTGACCAACATGGTAAAACCCCGTCTCTACTAAAAAATACAAAAATTAGGCAGGCATGGTAGTGCATGCCTACAGTCTCAGCTACTTGGGAGGCTGAGGCAGGAGAATCTCTTGAACCTGGAAGGCAGAGATTGCAATGAGCCAAGATTGTGCCACTGCACTCCAGCCTGGGCAACAGAGCGAGACTCTGTCTTGGGGAAAAAAAAAAAAAAAAAAGATAAGTCTTGATTTTAAAAACCCAGGCTTTTGGTTGAAATACAAAAGAGCTACACCCTAGTGGTATGAGTGAAGAGAAAATAGGCCAGTACTCATGATGACTAAAGTCATATTGAATCCTGAATGAATTAGGGTGAATTGCTCTTAGCCTCAGGCTGGCAGGAAGTAAAAGCAAATCCTCTCTGAAGGAAGACAGCATTGTTCAGAATTTCAAATTAATTTCTGCTATTTTTCATATGACATCCAGCAAAACCAATAAGCCTTGCCAAAAGACAAGATCCAAACAAAAGCCAAGAGAAAAAATAAATAACATAAATGAACTCACAGTAACTATGTGAGATGCAGATAAGTTAATTTGCTTCACTATAATCATTTTACTATCTATATGTATGCCATAACATCATGTTGCAAACCTCAAATATACACAGTAAAATTTGTTTTAAAAATAATAAAAATTTAAAAAAGAAAAGAAGTTCACAGAATATCCAAATTTGAAAATTACTGGAAACAGATTTTAAAATAACCATAATAGATAAATTCATGGAGTTAAATAATAAGATAAAGAATTCTGGCAGAAACCAGAAAGTATATTAAAAAAACTAAATGTTAAATTTGTAACTAAAACCACAGTATATGAAATTAAGAATTTGATGGCTGTGTTTATAAACAAATTACATTCAGTTGAAGACAGGATTAGTGAACTGGAAGATGGAAGAAAATTTCCAACTGAAGGACAGAATCAAAAGGATAGAAAATGAAGAAAAGAGCAGAAGAAACAAAAAATATGTGATGAAAAGGTATTATACATATAACTGGTGTCCCAGAAGGAGAAGAGAAAGAGAATAGGACAGAAGTAAATTTTAAGGGATAAACATTGGGAATTGTCCAAAACTAATTAAAGAAATCAAATTATAGATTAAGAAGCTCTGGGTACCCCAAAAGAATACACACACACACACACACACACACACACGCACACACCCCTAGGCATATCAGACCAAAACTGCTGAAAACCAAAAAGACAAATCCTAAAAACATCTAGAGAAAAAAGACATGTCTTAAAAGAAGCAACCATAAGACAGACAGCTGACTTCTCCACAGAAATAAAGCAGCCAAAGGTCAACAGACTAGTATTTTCACAATGCTGTAAGAATATAACAACCAATTTAGAATTCTGTACTCAGTAAAATATCTTTCAAAAATGAATCTGAGATTAATTCATCATGTAGACACCAAAAATCAGAGATAATCTGTCACCAGTAGAACCAAATTAGGAAATGCTAAAGGGAGATGAAAATGATCCCAGATAGAATCACAGACATGCAGGAAAAAGTAAAGAAACCCAGAAAAATTATATATGTAAGTAAATCTAAATGAATGTTGGCAATATGAAATAATGCAATAACACTTTTTAATGTGTTTTAAAATATAAATTAAAATATGCCACGATACACAAAAACAGAAGAATAAATGGAATTAAAGTGTTCTAAGATCCTGGGCATGGTGAAAGTACCAATTTATATTAGACTTGTGGATGCATGCTTTTATCTCTAAGAAAACCAATCAAAATAGTTGAATAATGCATAATTAACAAACTACTAATGAAGAAAATGGAATAACAACAACAACAACAAAAACCCAAAGACAGCAATAGACTTACAGTAGACATGAAGGGCTTTAAAGTAAAATAAGATCAGTTACAGAAAATCTGTAAAGTTTTGTAAGTAAATCTGTTAAGTAAGTCTTGGCAAGTAAATGTTGACGCTCATCTTTCACACCAGTAAACAGGGAATTGTATTACAGTGTGATAAGGTACAGTATGGGCAAATTTAGGAGGAGTTTTTCTATCAGATATCAAAATTTACCAAGCTACAATAGTTAAGTCATTGTATTATTGGTGCACAGATAGACAAATAGACCAGGAGAACAGAATAGAAAATCTAGAAACAGACATATAGGTACAGTTGATTGATAATAAAAGATGCGTAACAGAGTGGGAAAAACATTGTCTTTTCAGTATCTGGAGTTGGGTAAATTGGATACCCATGTGAAAAAAATGTGAAACTTGACCCTATCTCACACCACACATAAAAACCAATTCCAAGTGAATTGTAGATTTAAATGTGAAAGACAAAACAATAAAGCTCCTACAAGAGAATACTTTCATGGCCTTGGTGTAGGGAAAGGTTTTTAAAACTTTCCGGTAAATGCTTCAACCATGGAGGAAAAGATAGATTAACTGAACTGTATTAAAATGAGAAACTTCTGTTGATCAAAAGACATCATTAAGAAAGTGATGTCATGGAGCAGAAGAGAAGAAAGAGAAGTAAAAGAGAAGGCCACGGAGCAGAAGATGTTTACTACACCCAAAAGAGACAAAGGGCTTGTATCCAGAACGTTAAAATAACATTCCTAATCCCATTAGGAAACTGAATGAGAGTCTTGAACAGGCACCACACAAAAGAGAATACCAAGATGGCCAATAAACAGGAAAAAGTGGTCAACTATTTCAGTCATCAGAGTAACACAAATGAAAACCACAATGAAATGACACTACGCCAACACCAGAATAGCTAAAAATTTTAAAGCTGACAATACTAAGTGTTCAAAACAGTATGGAGCAATTGCAACTTTCACAGACTGTTGACGAGAACATAAATCAATACAATCACTTTGGAAAACTGTTTGTCAGTACCAACTGATGTCAAACATATGTGAACCTTGTGACCCCACAATTCTACTCCTAGCTATATGCCCAAGAGAAATATATCCATATGATCATCAAAATACAATTATAGAAATATTTATAAGCAGCATTATTCATAATCGCCAAAAACTGGAAACAGTGCAATGGCAAAATAGATGCATAAATGGTGATAAGTATAAGAGGGGAAGAAAGAATGGAAGGAAGGAAGGAAGGAGGGAAGGAAGGAAGGAGGGAAGGAAGGAGGGAAGGAAGGAGGGAAGGAGGGAAGGAAGGAGGGAAGGAAGGAAGGGAGGAAGGGAGGGAGGGAGGGAGGGAGGGAGGGAAAGGGCTAGAGGGTGGAAGATAGGGAGAGAAACAAGTAAATAAGCTAGCTCTTTCCTAGAAAATAATTTCACCAACGTTTCTGTGACATTCAAGAAAACAACTGGGACTTGGAAACAATTAAAAATAAATAAACAAAAGTATGCCACTAGACTCTAAAGTCAGTGGTGTGGGAAGCAGAGGTTATCAGTGTTCAGAGGAGAGAAGACTCCCACAGAATAGGGCTGTCAGGAATGAGCTCAGGGAGGAAGGGGCTCAGAGGGCCCAGGATCCTGAGAGGGGTTTAGTAAGGTGGGTACTGAGCCCCGCAGATTCCAATTCTAACATTATAGGAAGTCTCCTTCTCTCCATACCCATGCTCCTGCCCCAATCACACCCTTGTTAGCTAACCTGGACCATAGCAGAAACATTCCCCCTCTAGATTCCCAGCCTCTTCCCCACCTTGCGTCTGTAAACCTTGACTTCAATGGAAACCAGAGTGATATTTTCAAACTGTCACCCAGATGCTGTCACCTGCGTGCTTCCTCCCTGCCTACAGGAAACAGTTCAATCTCCTGGGGGCCAAAGCATTTCAGTGAGACATCTGCTCTTGCCTGGCAGCCCCCGCCCAGGCTCTTATTGGCCCCTGGCCTCCCCTCCTGCCTGCCAGACTGAAATTCCCTTCCCACTCTGCTCCATCTGCCGACATCGCCCCACATTTGAGGGCTCCATCCAGCAACACTTCCTGGGTAACCCCTTCCTGACCTCCCAAGGAATAGGGACAACTCCCTTCCTCCGATCCCCTTGGGGCCCCCTGCCTACACCTATGTGACCTGGTCACAAGCCTGTCTTCCCTACCAGACCTGGGCTCCATGGGATCATTCCAATTCCCTGCAGACTGACACAGGGTCTGGCCCCAAAGAAGAGCTCCATACACACTGAGTTAACAATCAATGCTATCTTGTACTTTCTAAGTACACTTTCCCCTTGCAAGTTGCTTTTATGCATGATTTCATTTGATTCTCAGAATAAACCCCCCAAATTATCTCCATTCACCAGGTGCAGAAGCTGAGGCTTAGATACATGGAGGGTGTGGTCCAGGCCCATCTGGGAGTGTGTACAAGAACTCCCACCTGCCCAGAACATTGCCCTGAGGACAGTGGCTTCTCTCTTCCAGGTAGCTCCTTTAAAAGCCACTAGGATAGACTGGGACTCCAATTCTAAAGCAGTTCAGTGAGTCCTCCACAAAAGATTTCCAGAAGTCATTCCCAAACATTCACCTTGGCCTTTCCACCACATCCACCACCTCCTCCCTGAGCCAGCTCTTCCCCTTCCAGTGAGAGCTTCCCTCACTGCCCTGAGTGACCCCACTGATCTGCATGGGCCCAAGCTCGGGGCAATGGGCACCAACACCAAACCTGCAAGAAACCTACCCTCTGTGCCTCAATAGGCCATCTGCCCGGCTTCCATCAGATCCTGCCTGGCTTCCTTCATGACCTGGTCTGCAATGCTAACTATGGTGACGTGAAAGGAACATTTCAGCCAGGAAAGCAGGCTGCACAACCACAGTGCACTTTCACCCTGGCAGTGCAGGGATTTGCCGCTGTGTCCCTCCTGTCCCCCCATCTCTCCCCAAAACCTCTCCCCATACCCCTGACCTTCTTTAACCTTGGAAGGACCAAGATGGAGGCAGCAGCTGCAAGCTTACTTTCCTGTCCCCATCCTACCTCCCCACCTCCTCACACTATCTGTTGCCTCCCCAGCCTTCACCCAACACACCTGCATTCCAGAAGCTTCAATGGCAAAGTTTATTGTCAAACCACCCTGGTCTCCTACTGAGCGGAGCCAGCTCCTGACAAGGACCTTGTTCCCAGGACCCCTAGAAGCCAGAACCTTGCTGCAATTTCAGGATATTGAAACATGCAGCCAGGACAGCCTCAGCACAGAGGACTGAGGCCCCTGCCCAAGCCCCATACTTTTGAGGACTCCACTCGGGTCCTCCTCCTGCTGTCTCTCTCCCCACGGGTCAGGAGTCCACAAGGCAGGGTTGGCAGATAAAATACAGGATGCCCAATTAAATTTGAATTTCAGATAAACAAATAATTTGGGGGGTATAAGTATACATTTGGGACATACTACTATTAAAATATTATTTGTTGATTATTGATATGGTTTGGCTGTGTCCCCACCCAAATCTCATCTTGAATTCCCACATGTTGTGGGAGGGGCCTGGCTGGAGGTAATTGAATTATGGGGGCAGGATTTTGCGTGCTGTTCTTGTGAGAGCCAATAAGTGTCACCAGATCTGGTGGTTTTAAAAAGAAGAGTTCCCCTGTACAAACTCTGTCTCGTTGTCTGCTGCCATCCATGTAAGACATAACTTGCTCCTCCTTGCCTTCTGCCATGATTGTGAGGCTTCCCCAGCCATGTGGAGATGTAAGTCCATTAAACCTCTTTCTTTTGGAAATTCCCCTGTCTTGGGTATGTCTTATCAGCAATGTGAAAACAGACTAATGCAATTATCTAAAATTCAAATTTAAATGGGTGTCCTGTGTTTTAATTCAGCGGTCCCCAACTTTTTTTGGCACCATGGGCCAGTTTCACGGAAGACAATTTTTCCACAGACAGGGCACAGGTTTGGTTTCAGGATGAAACTGTTCCACCTCAGATCATCAAGCATTAGTTAGATCCTCATAAGGAGCAGGAAACCTAGATCCCTCGCATGCACAGTTCACAATAGGGTTCTCGCTCCTATGAAACTCTAATGCCTGATGATCTGACAGGAGGCAGAGCTCAGATAGTAATCCTCATCCACCTGCTGTTCACCTCCTGCTATGCAGCCCACTTCCTAACAGGCCATGGACCAGAATAGGTCCACGCCCAGGGGTTGGGGACTCCTGTTTTAATTTACTAAATCTGGTAACCCTAGCACAAAGTCAAGGGACATGCCCACCTGGAGCTCATGCCCTCCCTTTCGGATCATGCTTCAGGTACCCAGGGCCCTGCCCAAAGGTCCTGGGGCCCACATGGACGAAAATTATTATCTGAGCTCTGCCTCCCGTCAGGGGCCCACTTTAGGGCCTCTGCAGGTCCTCTTCCCGCAGCTGTCTGCTCTCACCAGTGTACACACTACCGGGCCTGAGGATTAGCCTGGGGGGTGTTTGGCTCTCGGGTGGGGATGGAGCTTGGGCTGCAGGCTGGGTGTCCATGCCTGCTCTGCAAGATCCTTACGGCGAAGTCAGAGCCTGGGCTAGGGAAAGGAAGGGGCAGACCACCGACCAGGGCTTCCATCTGTACTTCCGCCCAGCCTAGTAATGTTTCAGCAGGCCTGGCAGCAGGCACAAATGGCTCCTCCCAGAAGCCAAGCAAGGCAGTCCACACCTGTCACTCCTTACCCACTTCCCGCCTGCAGAAGTGTCCAGGTAGAGGAGTGGAGTCCCCTGAGGGAGCCTGTTTGCTGGCCAGGGTGGGACAGCGCTGTGGTCATGCCATTACTGGCTTCATTGTTCAGGAGAGTATCCCAGGCCAGGGTTGCAGGAAAACTGGTAGCCGATTGGAATTTAGTGGCTTTCCTATCAGGAAGCTGACAGGGCCCTGGCAACATCCCTGAGCCTCAGTGTCTTCAAGGGCAAAAGGGGAAGAGTTCCTACCTCTTGGATGGTTGTGAAAATTAGCATGATTCCATAAAACTATGGAGACAGTAAAAAGAGCAGGAGTTGCCAGGAGTTGGAAAGACGGAGGGTTGAATTTCTGGAGCAGTGAAAATGCTGTGTGATACCGGAATGACATGGCCTTACACATGTCATACCCATGGAGTGTACAGCACCAAGGGTGAACCCTAAAGAAAACTGTGGACTTTGGGTGACCCTGATGTGGCAGTGTAGGTTCACAATGGCAACCAATGCATGCCCTGGTCTGGAGGTCGAGAGTGGGGGAGGTTGTTCGGGGGTGGGTACAGGGGGGAAATGAAACTTTTTGTACTTTTGGCTCAATTTTATTGTGAATCTAAAATTGCTTGAAAAAAATAACGTCCATTAACTTTAAAAATGAGGTGTGGTAAAGAACGGACGAGTGCTTACACACAGTCATTCAACAGACATTTACTAAGTGCCTACGACGCGTCTGTATTTCTACAGGACCACTAAGCGTGAAGCAGGTAGAGTGAGACTTAGGACCCCGGGAGAAAAACCGCCCCTGGAGGGCGCGCCACGGGTGTGCGGTGTAGACGCGGGCGGGCCGGCGGCGGAGGAGGAGGTCCCGGCGCCGACCCCTGGAGCGGAGGCAGCAGCCGGGCGCAGCGAGACAAGTAGGCTGGGCTGGCCTGGCCGGCCAGGTGCGGGGAGGAGGCTCACAGACTGCGGCTAAGCCTGAGTCCGAGCCCAGCTGCGAGGCGGGGGCCGGGGCATGGGAGGAGGAGCGGGGAGGAGCCGGGAGGGGCGGGGGAGGTGGCCCGGGGGCGCGCCCCACCCCCAGCCCTGGCCCCCGCCCCCGGCCCAGCGCCCCCGCGTGGCCGCCGCTCGCAGTGCGCAGCGCAGGGAACAAAGCCCGCGGCGGGGCGGGGTCGGTTCGGCGGCTGGGTCCGGGCACCGGGATTCTGGGAAGCACCGACGCCCGAAACAAAAGCAGCTGTGCTTCTAGGCACGCTGTTGGAGATTATTCCGAGGAGCGCAAGCTGGGAGGGAATGAGGCGCTGTGACACCCCCTTCCCATTGGCAAAGGTTGCTTCCCCAGCCCCACAAAGCTCCATTCCGAGCGCTGGGCTGGCAGAGACCCGACTCCCGGCCGAGATGGACTGGAGAGGGGAAGAGCACAGGGCTAGGGAGCGGAAGCTTCGGGTCACTCTACAAAGTCCCGCAGAATGGTGCTTGCGGAGAGCACAGAGGGGATGGCCCCAGAAGCCCCACTCTCGGAGGCTGTGATGTGGACTGAAGTTAGTAGTGGGGCAGAAAAGCACATGGAGGAGCGTCCGGGCCCCCAGGCTCGCGGACCTGCAGTCAGCTGGAGAGGGTCAGAACAAGGGAGTCTCTCTGCTCTGAGACCCCTCAGCACCCCTCACTCTGCTGGGTCCCATGGTCCCTGCCATCTCCTGCCCGCAGAGGCTACCTTTACTCAGCACCACCCTCCTCATGGGCAGGGGAGGAGATGCCACTTTCCCCTATAAAACATCCCAGAGCTGCCTAAGGTGGCAAAGGAAGGAGACCCTGGTGAGGACAGGCCCTCAGTGCCACTCCTGCTCCAGTGCCCTGGCCCGAAGCTGAGCATGGACCTCAGCCTGAACCCAGGTGTTTGGCTGAAACCCGGCCGGAGCATCCACTAACACCTCAACGGGGGTCAAGAATGATGGGGGGAAACAGAGGCAGACCCTCCTGAATCCAGACCAAGCTTGTCCAACCCGCGGCCTCTGGCCGCGTGAGGCCCAGGATGGCTTTGAATGCGGCCCAACACAAATTCGTAAAATTTCTTCAAACAGTACGAATGTGTTTTTTTGTGATATTTAAAAAGTTACTCAGCTATCGTTAGTCTTAGTGTATCTTATATGTGGCCTAAGACAATTCTTCTTCCATTGGGACCCAGGGAAGCCAAAAGACTGGACACCCCTGATCTAGACCCTCTGCATTTGCAGACACTGCCTGTCTGGTCAGCTCCATGGGCCCATTTATCTTTGCGCCACAGCCCACTTCCCAGTGGGCCACAGCAGGTCCCCTTCCGCCTCCCAAGGCCAGTCCCAAGAAGGAGACGTCCAGAGAGTCTCCTAGGATTACCCACCTTTTTCCCAGAAACTGACACGCTGAGGGTGGCCTTGTAGAGTCCAGCAGGACACTCACTTCAGCCCAGGGAACACACGGAGTCGGCCAAATCAGTCAGGGATGTGGACTCATTCCTTCCACACAGTCCTTGGTGGTGGGGATCCGCTCTTCACCAACTCACTTGTGCTTCTACACAGGGCACCTGTGGCCAGCATTTCCAAGGAGGATGCTGGTGGTGCACCCCCTGTGGACAAGACGCTGTGGGAGCACTTTACATCATCCTATCCAGCCGAGTGGCTTCCCTCCCGCACAGCAGCCAACCTGTCTCTGGTCTCATCCTAAGCCCGGGGCAGTTTCCCTCAATCCTGCCTGCTATCCCTGTTTCCACTTCTAACCTCAGACACAAGCTTCTTCATCTGGTGGTGGTTTTCTTAAAATTACGACCCATACCTCATTATCTGCTGAGGCTGCAACTTGAAAGCTTTGGAGAAAGCACCAGCAGGGTGGTATTAACAGTTGATTAAATACAGTTGTTGTCATTTGCATTATTGCTGCAAACTCCTAGACATCAGGTCTTTGGTTAAGAAGTCATCTCCCTACACTTATATATTGTTAGTGGGAATATAAATTAGTCCAGCCACTGTAAAAAGCAATTTGGGCCAGGCACAGTGGCTCATGCCTGTAATCCCAGCACTTTGGGAGGCAGAGGTGGACGGATTGCCTGAGGTCAGGAGTTCGTGACCAGCCTGGCCAACGTGGTGAAACCCTGTCTCTACTAAAAATACAAAAAAAAAAAAAAAGAGCTGGGCGTGGTGGTGCACGCCTGTAGTCCCAGCTACTTGGGAGGCTGAGGCAGGGGAATTGCTTGAACCAGGGAGGTGGAGGTTGCAGTGAGCCGAGATCATGCCACTGCACTCCAGCCTGGGCGACAGAGCAAGACTCCGTCTCAAAAAAAAAAAAAAAAAAAAAGCCATTTAGAGATTTTTCAAAGAACTTAGAACTACCATTCTACTCAACAATCCCCTTACTGGGTATATATCCAAATAAAATAAATCATTCTACCAAAAAGATGCATGCACTCACGTTTACCACAGCACTATTCACAAGAGCAAAGACATGGAATCAATCTAGGTGCCCATCAACAGTGAATTGGATAAAGAAAATGTGGTACATGGCTGGGCGCAGTGGTTCACGCCTGTAATCCCAGCACTTTGGGAGACCGAGGCAGGCAGATCATGAGGTCAGGAGATCGAGACCATCCTGGCTAACACGGTGAAACCCCACCTCTACCAAAAATACAAAAAATTAGCCGGGCGTAGTGGCGGGCGCCTGTAGTCCCAGCTACTTGGGAGGCTGAGGCAGGAGAATGGCGTGAACCCGGGAGGCGGAGCTTGCAGTGAGCCGAGATCCCGCCACTGCACTCCAGCCTGGGCGACAGAGCGAGACTCCGTCTCAAAAAAAAAAAAAAAAAAAAAAAAAAATTAGCCGGGCGTAGTGGTGGGTGCCTGTAGGCTCAGCTACTCGGGAGGCTGAGGCAGGAGAATGGCATGAACCCAGGAGGCGGAACTTGCAGTGAGCCGAGATCGCGCCATTGCACTCCAGCCTGGGCGACAGAGCGAGACTCCGTCTCAAAAGAAAAAAAAAAAGAAAATGTGGTACATGTACAACCTTGGGATGCTATGCAGCCATAAAAAAGAATGAAATCATGTCCTTTGCAGCAACATGGATGCTGCCAGAGACCATTATTCTAGGTGAAAGAACGCAGGAAAAGAAAACCAAATACTTGTGTCCTCACTTATAAGTGGGAGCTAAACACTGAGTACTCATAAAAATGACAATATATACTGGGTACTATTAGGACAGGGCAAGAAGGGGGCAGGGGTTGAAAAACCATTGGGCACTATGCTCACTACCTGGGTGATGGGATCATTTGTACCCCAAAGCTCAGCATCATGCCATATACCCATGTCACAAACCTGGACATAAACCCTCTGAATCTAAAGGATGAAATTATTAAAAATAAAAATAAAGAAGTCATCTTCCTGATGACCTGCTTTCTTGAGGAAATCCAGGTTGATGTAAATATTCCAGACTAGGGCAAATGTTTTCTGTAAAGGGCCAGATAGGAAATATAATAGGCTTTGAGGACTTTGTGGACCATACAGTTTCTGTTGCAACTAGTCAGCTCTGCCATTGTAGTAAGAGCAGCCATAGATCATATGTAAATGAATGGGCATGGCTGTTCAAATAAAACTTTATTTACAAAAACAAGTGCTGAGCTGGTTTTGAAGCAGGCTGTTCATTGCCTACTCCTGTTTCAGACTATAATATGTATTTTGGCATCATGACTTAACTGAGCAGATGAGTGAGTGAGAAACACGTCAACCTGGCCTCAGAACGTTTGAGTGGCAAGGCCAGGCCTGTGTCTCATAGCTGGGTAACCCCTGAGTCTCAGTTTCCTCACCTAAAAATGGGGGTAATCATGAATATAGAAGGTAATGGTGATCACTCTAGATACCCCCTTTTATAAGCCTCTGATGTGGGATGAAATTAACCATGTGAGTTCAATGCTGCAGGGCACCTTTATAAACTCAAGGTGTTCTGCCCCTTGTGAGTCTGAGGACCATCTGGGTGCTAAATCATCTGGGGAGAGGGCAAAGGGTCCTGGTGGGACAGGCCTGGACGCCTGTGCTTGACCTATGGGTTCTCACAGAAGCTGGAGGCTTGGGAATATGATCACCTGCTTTCTCGCATTCTTTGAAATGTGGTCAGCAAGCTGATGATCTTTTGCAGCTTTTTAATTGCTTTGTTACTGCAGTTTCCACTCTTTCAGCTCCAGCTGGGCTGACTGCAGCTGCAGGGCAGAAATTCTTTCCAGAGCCTGAGCAGAGCAAGAACCTCTGTGATGTGGCTGACCTCAGACACTGGACCCAACACTTCCTCCCCAGCCTGAACATTTGCGTCACTCCATCTTATGGCACCAGGCACCATGAGGCTATAAGGAGGACGGGGACGGGCTGTCTTTTTGTGCCATTCCTTTTGGGGCCCAGGACCTAAGCAGGAACTTCAAAGGGACCCTGTTGGCACCAGCTCTTCTGAGAAGCACATGGAACTACTGCCCTCCCTTTCCTAGGGGCTGGGCCCTCAGAGCTGCAGGGTGCAGGCCTACGTGAGCATTTGGGCACCACTCCAAAGGCTTCTGTGTCATTTCCTGGTGACCTTCAAGCAACAGAGATTGTTAGGTGGGGCAGGATTTTAAAGACCCAACTTCACTGGGGACCTGACGGTAGCATCCAAGGAAAGGCGTCAGCCTTCTGCTCTAGAATTCATGTTCTCACGGTTTTGCCTCTAGCCTCAGAGGGATCTGCACTCCCAGCAGATTAAGATCCTCGTTTCTAGGCCAACACACCCATTTCACAGATGAGGAAACTGAGAGTCAGAAAAGGCATGGACAAGCCCTGCCAGTGAGCAACACTAGCTCTAGACTCTGGGTCTCTCCCAGGCAGCTTGGCTCAAACCAAGCCTCTTACATCAGCATTATTTTATTTATTGCTTCCCCTTCCCTACTCTTCCACACCCCTCTGTATCAACGGAACAGCTACTTGGACCCTCCTGGAGGAGGGCCCCACAGGGCAGGGTCTCAGAGTTGTTGGCAAAGACTTGGGGAGCTGGGGCTCCCTGGCATGAAGATGGAGGTTCTGCCCTCTCCTCCCAGGGGCCAGAAGGGGGCCCACAGTGAAGCAAAAGAAGAGAAAAGCAGCCTGCTCACTCTGCCTCTCCAGAGGGAGGTGATGGGAAGTGGCAGCCATGGAGGGAGCCCGCAGGGTCTGGCCCCCAGGGCCCTGGGGCACAATTACCTCATCAGGCATTTCCAGCTTTTATGATCTGCCAACAAGGCCACAAGTGACGCAGACACCTCCCCTGGCAGCCTGTTCTCCAGGGCGATGGGTGGTGATCTCACCCTTGCTGGAATGCCACTGCCATCCGCATGCCCCTGGCCAGGCCAGAGGCCACCAGGCCGAGGCCCAGGCACTGAGCAGGGGCCAGAGGGAGTGAAGTGGCCTAGATGAAGAGAAGGAGTCAGCAGGTGAGCTGAGGATGCCACCCAGGAGGCCTGAAACTGGGGCTGGGAGGCTAAGAGAGCTCGGCCCTAGGGAAACAAGAGAGGGCTTGAAGTGCATTCAAGTCAGTGGGACAGCTACTCCCGGGCCCTCCTGCTTGGAATCCCCAAACTGGGCAGCGTGGGGCACCTTCAACTGCTGCTCACTCTGTGCTCACCTTCCTCAGCTCAGGGATCTCAAACAGCCAGTGTTTCCCTCCCCACACACCAGACACACACACACACACACATGCACACACACCACACACATGGCCTGTGCATCTGTGTAACAAATCACTAGTATTGAGTTCAAATCTTGAATTGGACACTTGGTAATGGAAAGACACCTTGGGCAAGTTACTTTCCCTCTGTGTGCCTCAGTTTCCTTGCAAAATGGGAATCACACCAATAGTGTTTTCTTCATAGGGCTACAGTGAGCCAGTGCGTAGTGTCTGGAATGTGGGACGTGCTCAGAAAAGGGTAGTTATCACTGCTGCTGAGTAACGAGAGCAGGCTAGAGGAGAATGTTCATAGCCCCCTACCTCTACCTTTGCCCCCAAGTCAGTAAGCGGCAACTAAAGGCAGGGAGCCATCTCGGAAGTGCTGGAGGCCCACACTCAAGGACTCCAAGTGTGACTGATATTAAAGAACAGCAACGTAGATTTTAGGGCATCATCTGTCTACCCCATTGGTACTTTGAACACTTCAAGTAATTATTATCTCTGTTATAATAAATAATGCAATTGAGGTTGAGAGAGTGTAAATGGCTATGGCTATTCAAAGTGACACAGCTAACCACAAAAATCAAGGTTTACACACAGTACTTCACTGGCCAAGGCCCCCCGCCCCAGAGGTCACTGACCGCTAGTGTTCTAGTGGTTTTGTTTGTTTGTTTGTTTGTTTTTTCTTTGCTCTGTCGCCCAAGCTGGAGTGCAGTGGCACAATCTCAGCTGTCTGCAACCTCTGCCTCCCAGGTTTAAGCGATTCTCCTGCCTTAGCCTCCTGAGTAGCTTGGACTACAGGCGCGCATCACCACACCTGGCTAATTTTTGTATTTTTAGTAGAGATGGGGTTTCGCCATGTTGGCCAGGGCTGGTCTCGAGCTCCTGACCTCAAGCCATCCCACCCACCTCAGCCTCCCAAAGTGCTGGGATTACAGGTATGAGCCTCCAGGCCTGGCCTTTTCTAGTGTTTTGTACTCAATTATACAGATTTGTATTAATTCAGCACATATGAACTGAACACTTAGTCTCTACCCAACCCTGATCTAGATATTGTCTATATGCAAAAGAGGAAGAGATGGTTAGGGAGACCAACTAACAGAAAACCATTTATATAAATGCAGAAAACAGAATATGTAACAAACCATTTTCTCTCTGGGTATAGGAATTAGGATATAGGCTAAATTGCTGTAATAGGAACTCACTATTACAATGGCTTAAGTAAGATTTGTTTATTTCTCTTTCATAATAGTCTAGAGGTGAGTGGCCCAGACTGGCAGGGCAGCTCTGTTCCATAAAAACATTCAGGGATCCAAGTTCTGTTCATCTTTTTGCTGTCCCATCCCCTAAGGCAGTGGTCCCCAACCTTTTGGGCACCAGGGACCGGTATGGGGACATAGCCCACACCAACAGCCCACACCAACAGCCTTGGCCCATGGGCTTCCTAAACGGAGGCAGCCCCAGTTTTGTGGAAGACAATTTTTCCATGGACCAGAGGGTGGGGGAATGATGGTTTGGGGATGATTCAAGTGCATTACGTTTATTGTGCACTTTATTTTTATTGTCATATAATATACAATTTACATTATAATATATAATGAAAAGTATAAAAATTATGCAACATACCATTATGTAGAATCAGTGGCAGCCCTGAGCTTGTTTCCCTGCAACTAGACAGTCCCATCTGGAAGTGATGGGAGACAGTGACAGATCATCAGGCATTAGATTCTCATAAGGAGCCACAACCTAGGTCCCTCACATGCACAGTTCACAGTAGAACTCACGCTTCTATGAGAATCTAATGCCACTGCTGATGTGACAGGAGGCAGAGCTCAGGCGGTAATGTGAGCGATGGGAGTGGCTGTAAATACAGATGAAGCTTTGTTTGCTTGCCCACTGGTCACCTTCTGCTGTGCGCCCCAGTTCCTAATAGGCTGCAGACCAGTACTGGTCCATGGCCTAGGGGTTGGGGACTCCTGCCCTAAGGCAAGGGTTCTCAACCTGGAGTCCATAGATAGAAATCAAGGGATTTGTGAACTTGCATAGAAAAAAATTACATCTGTACTTTCAAAAACTTCTACATGAAATTTAGCATTTCCTTCAATTATGCAAACGGCAATAAACCTCTGAAGTACTAGCAAGATCAAAGACTTTGTGGCCAATAGAAATCATAAAGATTTTTCATCTCACATTACAATGTTGAAGATATCTCAAAATATCACTTAATGTTTATTACCATTTTAAAATTACAGTTGTTATCAGCCCTGCTGCTAGATTTTATTATTTAATGTCAATAAAGAAGTACATTTTTACTGTGTCACAAATTTAGGTGTGCTTGTGTATGTGCTTATGTTACAGTTATTTTAATATCTGTATTTCAGTATAATTGGTTTCTTTTGTAACCTTCTGTATTTTATTTTATACATTAAAATAAATGCATATGGAGTGATAAAGTCCATAGGCTTCACTGTACTGCCAAGGGAGCTCATGTCACGAAGAAAGTTAGAGACCCCTGGCTCAGGCAGTTGTCCCCACAGGCATGGCCCAAGCTGAGTCACTGCCCATTTGTGACCCAGCACATGGGAGCCCAGAAAGAGGAAAAGGGAAGGACACGCTATTTCCTCCTAAACGAGTGATGCAAAACTTGCCCCTGTCACTCCACTCATTTTCTGTTGGTGAGAACTTTGTCACATGGCCACACGGAAATAGCTGCAAGGAAAGCAGAGAAATAAGGTGTCCCACATGGGGCCCATTTGCCACAACTCTGCTACATGGAAGGGAGGAAGGGAGGAACCA
Organism: Homo sapiens; assembly: GCF_000001405.40. Taxonomy (NCBI): domain Eukaryota; kingdom Metazoa; phylum Chordata; class Mammalia; order Primates; family Hominidae; genus Homo; species Homo sapiens. The sequence goes on along the minus strand of NC_000018.10, from coordinate 47,999,961 downwards.
AGGAAAGAAGGAGGAATTTTGAGGTCTAAATAAGAGTTGAGGTTTTCTTATCTGTAAAAGCAGGAGGTGGAAATAGAGCAGTGGTTTTTCGTATTTTTGACCAGTTAACATCTTGTTTCAAAGGAAGTCACATCCTACAGATGGAAGCAGGGCATCTTGTTTAAGTGGTGAGAGGAGACCCAGGACTCTTCCGGCATGGGCTCCCCTTTCCTGACCCTTTCCCCAAGGGGGCTCCCTGAAGCACCTCCTAGCAACCCTAGGCCAAGGAGAAGTTTGCCATCTGCATTAGTCCGTTTTCACACTGCTGATAAAGACATACCCGAGACTGGGTAATTTATAAAGGAGAAGAGGTTTAATGGACTCACAGTTCCACATGGCTGGGGAGGCCTCTCAATCACAGTAGAAATCAAAGGAGAAGCAAAGGCACATCTTTACCTGGTGTCAGGTAAGAGAGAATGAGAGCCAAGCAAAAGGGGTTTCCCTGATGAAACCATCAGATCTCATGAGACTTGTTCACTACCATGAGAACAGTATGGGGGAAACCGCCCCCATGATTCAATTATCTCCCACCAGGTCCCACCCACAACATGTGGGGATTATGGGAGTACAATTTAAGATGAGATTTGGATGGGGACACAGCCAAACCATTTCACCATCCAGGTCTGGGTAGCATCTGGGCCTCTTTCAGCCTTGTCCACTCCTAAAGACACTGCAAGTATGGGAGCTCCCAAAACAGGGAGACTAATCTATGTGTGTGAAGGTGAAGGGGCAAGGAAGACTGGGGAAAAGGTATGTCTTGAAGAAAAAGAATTGAAAGTAGCCCAAACTGAGGTGGAGAATGGCATTCTGGGAGGGGAGAATGGCAGGGGAAAGCTCTAGGATGGGAATACAGAGGCCTGCTAGTGAGCAAATGAGGGGAATGCCTAACTGCTGAGGGCCACAGGACAGATCCTGGAGAGGCCTGGCAGGGCCAACACAGCCCACACCAACAGTCTTGGCCCATGGACCTTAATGGAGGCAACCCCAGAAACATAACTTCTTTCTGGAGCTTCCTTTTGTTGGTTGGAAAACCTGGAATGTTCGTCATTTGGAGGGAATATTCAGACCAAGCATAACACTCATTTTTTATTCCACTATTATTGATTAAGCTTCTACTTTATACCAGGCACTAGGAGAGACAGTCAATATACAGATAAATGTATATAAATAAGCGAGGAATAATGACTTTACTATTGATATAAAACTATAATAGCAAGCATCAAATAGATGCTAAAAATTCCCAGGTGTTAGTCTGAGGAATACCAGAGAATGCAACGTTCTGTAAACACTGCTTTTTTTTTTTTTTTTGAGATGGAGTTTCGCTCTTGTCACCCAGGCTGGGGTGCAATGGTGCAATCTCGGCTCACTGCAACCTCCGCCTCCCAGGTTCAAGCGATTCTCGAGCCTCAGCCTCCCAAGTAGCTGGGATTATAGGCACCCGCTACCACACCCAGCTAAGTTTTGTATTTTTAGTAGAGATGGGGTTTCACCACATTGGTCAGGCTGGTCTCAAACTCCTGACCTCAGGTGATCCACTCACCTCGGCCTCCCAAAGTGCTAGGATTACAGGCGTGAGACACTGTGCCCGGCCTAAACACTGCTTTTACGAGGCAGAATTTTAAAGTCAGGTCAGGTTTATGTCAAATCTTAACTTTTTCACTCCTAGTTACATGTAACTTTGTGCACATCACCCCCCTGCCCTCAGTTTTCTCATCTGTAAAATGTACCCACCTGATAAAGTGTCTGTAAATATTCAATGAGATAATGCATGTAAGAATTTAATATAGAATCTGGCATGTAGTCAGTATACAGTTGATGTTTTGTTGTTACTATTATTATAATTATTAACTAAAGCTAGGGACGTTAGCTAAATAAAGCTTTCAAAGTTATGCATAACATATTTAATTCAGAACTATTAAGGACTTCAGCTGTGATTGTTCTGTATGTATTTATAAATACGTGTTTTCAAGGATATAGACTAGTATCCCTTATGACCAGCTTTGAGTAAAGGGCAATTCTATTTTATGGTTCAAAATAATTAAATGAGCAATTGCTGCCCAAAGTAACAGAAAATCCCACATATCCCTCCAGAGACCTTTTGCTTTACCCAGAACAGCCCAGGATTTATTTATTTCAAAGTCAGTTCAGGTTGCAAATACCAGCCAGAGAGAGCTCCCAAGTGTGCTCGACTGAGTATTTGTGCTGCTTCCATTGCAGCCACATGGGGGCGCTGCTGGTCACTATTCCTGCACTGCCGGGTTGTTAACCTATTCCGGCTTACAAGTATGGCTAACAGTAATCAGCACTGTCAGAGACCACAGACCCTACATCCTGAGCTCTGCTCCAAGAGTGATCCTTTTTCTGCTCACACTCTCCTAAGCTCAGCTGTTGTTTTTGCAGCACAACCTTCTATGCCAAGGAAAGCGAGGTCAGGAGGGGATTCCAGTGACAGCCTTCCCTACAGTCTCTAGTCCCAAGTGATGGGGTGAGTCACTAGTCTCTCCCTTTCCTCCAGCTTAGTTCCCTTGACTTCTATGCAGACCTGCCTCCCTCCCTAGCCACCAACTAGCATGCTAGGAAGTATCAGGAGGCAAACAGATCCAGCCACAAAAGATCTTACATGCTCTCGCCCAGGGCAATTGGTGCCTTTGTGACTTTCGATATTTGTATGCAAGTAACAGCCCCTGAAAGGTGACTTTCTGCCTCAACTTAAACCAAGAATTAACTGGCATTCTCTCATATAATAATAATAGAAGAAGAAAGGAGGAGGAGGAGGAGGGAAAAAAAAGAAGAAACTAGCTAATATATATTGAATGCCATGTGCCAAGCTCTCTGCTACCTCACCCCGACCTGTGTGCTAGGTCCTATTATTGACCCCATGCTACAGATGAGGCAATGAGACTTTATCATTTACCCATGTCACACACACTCAAGTTATTTTTCTCACCCTCCTGTGCATATGCACCTGCCTCTGTAATATCCCACCTAGGAAAGACAAGTAGTGAAATTATTGATTCTACTTTTTTGGTCTTGTTACTTATGTTAAATATTTCTGTTGCTCGCAGCTAAGTAAACTTAGAAAAATACTAGAGTAACCAATGGCAACTAGTTAGTAAAACAGTATTGGACTAAAAGTTGGAGACCTGGGTTCTAGTCCTAGCTCTGCCAATATTTTGATGCATGAAATAGGAAAAAAATCATATGACCTATCTGAGCTTCAGTTTCCTCGTCTGCAAAATGACAGATGGACTAAATGCCGTTTAGGTCACTTCTAACTCTAAAATTCTGTAATTCTGTAAAACAGTCAAACTTTAAATCCTGAATCAATGAGGCATGACAATGTATATGCTCACCCATGTATAAAACATTGCAGGAGTAACTATTTGGCTAAGCCATCCATTTATTCATTCCTTCCAGACGGCTTGAAGGGAACCTCTCAGAAAAGATTAGCAGTTTGAAGCAAATGACTGTGAAATCCCCGGGAGAGCCAGATGCACTTAATCCAGGGCTGGTTATTGGATCACTTCTGATTCATCTCCCTTGTCTGGTCTTAATTTGCTTGTTAATAGCTTGTTCTTTTTCTCCTCCAGTTCCTGCTATTGTCCATCCTTTGTTCCTTTCAGGAGCTGTGATCACAAAATGTCAGTCTTCTATTGTGAGAGATGGTTCTGCCTGGTGGCTCTTTGGTCCTCTGTTCCCTGAGCACTGTTGGGTGCCCCAGCTCCTCCCACCCTCTCTGCTTCAATCAAGACACTTACGTTGTAGAAAGCATAGCTGACTGCAACAGCTGCAATTTTTATCATCTCCCTGCAAGCCAAATATTAAAGTATTTTAGTGGAACTTTGAAGTTCAGCGGGGTGGTACCTTCATTGATTGCCTGTCTTATATTTGAATGCCAGTCAGTTTCTTGCGACATGACTCTTTCATTGTAACGTAAAAAACAAAAGCAAAAAACAAACTGCCTCACTAATACATTTGAGTTTTAAAACCCACTGTGGGTAAGAGGTTGATGAAAAGGGAGCTTGCAAATGCTGCTGATGGGAGTGTGAACAGCGATGGCCTTTCTGGAAGGCAACTTGACACTATGAATCAAAAGTTTAAAAACATGCACACTTGTGCTTGAGTCAGTGTTTCCTATTAGACAACTGAATTCCAAGAAATAATCATATTTAGATATGAGGCCATATTTAGATATGAGGCTGTTCAGCAGAGCATGTTTGTAATTAAAAAATGTGGGACACAAACAAATTTCCAAGAAGAGGAGATTCAATAAATAAGTGGTGATACATCTACATAAGGGAATACTCTTCACTTATTAGAAATTGTGCTATAGAACATTTAATTACATGAGAAGGTGTTCATGATTCTCTATTACATGCAAGAATCGGGTTTCAAAACAGTATATGTAAGACAACTCCATAAAACCTGTGTGAATAGTTACGTGTGTGTGTGTATACATGTTAAACAAAATAGAATAGAAACCCACATATTAATAGTGTTTATTTCTGCACAGTGGAACAATATATGATGTTTATTTTCTTTTTTTGTACCTCTAAAATTTAACTTTATTAAACATAAAAATATGTACATATATGGTTTTTTTTGACACGGAGTCTCACCCTGTCACCCAGGCTGGAGTGCAATGGTGCGAGCTCTGCTCATTGCAACCTCCGCCTCCTGGGTTCAAGCGATCCTCCTGCCTCAGCCCCCCAAGTAGCTGGGATTACAGATGCCCACCACCACGCCTGGGTAATTTTTTGTATCTTTAGTAGAGACAGGGTTTCACCATGTTGGCCAGGCTGGTCTCTAACTCCTGACCTCTAACTCCTGACCTCATGATCCACCTACCTCAGCCTCCCAAAGTGCTGGGATTACAGGCATGAGCCACCCCACCCAGCCTAACTTTAAAAAAAAAAAAAAAACACATGTAATAATTTTTTGTGTCCCAGGTCAGCAGGCAAAAGAAGGGCCGGCAGGCCAGATGCAAGTCTCCTCTCTCTTAGAGAAACAAACCAGTGTTTTCTTCTGGCTACTCCACTCCCATACTTTGTGCTCTTCATTCTTCCAGTGAGAGGCCTCAGGACTTTCCCATAGTGGTGAACAGCCCTTTTAGTCATTCCAGCAGACGTGCCAAGCTATAGGCCTGTTCCCCATCAGTAACCCTCTCCTCCCTGATGTGCTGAAAGAGTGAATTAGGCACATTTTTCCTCAGTGTTCAGTAGCATCATATTGGTAGCTTGAAACTGGCCGTGATAGGAGTATTTACACCACAGAAATTGGAAACAGCTACAATCAGGGCTTCTTTTTTCCCTCCTTGGATAGCCACTTGTCTGCTTGAAACCACTGACACCTCCACAGATTCCGGCTATGGCAGCCACTGTTGACCTAGTGCCACAAATGTTCCACACTGTCTGCTCACCTCAAGAACTGCATGTCAGCCCACTCAGCTTGGGTCATACCATGTTCCAGGCCAGTGGTTCTGAAAGTATGGTCCCTGTCCCTGCAGCATCAGCACCTCTGGGAACTTATTAGATATGTCCATTCTCAGGCCCGACGCTGCACCTGCTGAATCAGACGCTCTCCAGTGGGTCCCAGCAATCTGTTTTAACAAGCCCCAGAGGTGATGCTGTTGCTCACTCAAGTGTGCACTGCACAGGCCACTCCTAGGCCCCAGGAAGGACTATTTATACCCACAGGGAGATGGGCCATGTTCTGGGCTATTGTTCTCTAGATCTGGCTTTGCCAAACAAAGAACTCCTAAATCAACCTCCAAGAACGTAAAATTCTAACACAAATTCCTGATATCCCACCCTCTCCCATTCTCCACCTTTCCATGGGGGCAAGGGTGTCTGAGATCATAAAAATCCCGCATCCTGAACAGATGTTGCAGGCCACTCCCCCACATACATCGAAATTCAAATGATACAAAAGGAAAAACTACCAGTGTTCATATTTTTCCACATGGAAGGAAGGATCAAATATCAAAAGTTTAGTAATTCTCTTCCATTTTTTCTTTTTTACCCCGCTTTGCTGTTTTTCTAAATAAATGCTTTGTCTGCCTCTTGCATGTGCTCAACTTGCCACCAAGTCCTGCCACCAAGAAGTGGCATATATTTTCACTGAAGTCTCCCCAAAGCAAAGCTTGGCAGCTCAAGTTCCCCAGACACATGCTTTCTGCATATTCCAAGGAAGTGGTAAGGACAAAGGGTCTGTTTTGACACCAGTCACTTGCCTCTGGGCAGCGGCAGAGGAGCTGCAACACAGAGACTGACAATTCTGGCCTTGATCTGACATGCCACAGGCTGGATGGGACTTTGGGACAGACATTTGACCAATGTTCTGGAGAGGAGGGCAGCCACAAAGCAAGCCCCACCCCTTGCCAATCAGGACATAGGCATTTTCTTCCTCTTTCTTCCTTCCAAAGCTGAGGTATGGCTGGATGGTCTTGGGATCTATTTGTCTCCCAGCAGTCACTTCCTGGCTGTTTGTTTGACAGTGAGGAACCCATTGCCTCTACTTTCAAAAGCAGTCATCCTCCTATCAGCACCGATGGAAGAGAGCAATCACATAAATAACTTGCGTAAAAATAAAATCACTTACATTTGGCTCCGTTGTGCACAGCATGTTTCAGGAACAGCAGATTTGTTCTAATTTGCTTTGGCTGCAATTAGTATTAAAACGAGGTGGCAGGGAACAGGGACAGAGCCTGGCTTTAATGATGTGTCACAAGCAGAAAACTGAGAGCAGTCAGCAACTGGAATGGAGCCCTGTGACTGGGAATGGCTGGCTCAGCTGAAGCGAGATAGTAACGTCCTGGGCAGCCTCCCCAACAACTGCACCCCACACCCTTCCCAACCCAGGATCATGGCATTACCCTTTGCAAGCTGGTTCTCAATGAGATCTCTGCTTGCAACTGCCTGTGTGCAGAGGAGAGGCCAGAGCTTGCAAAGGGGCACCATCCCACACAGTGGCAGCAGGTCTCAGATGGGGAGAACTGCTCACATTCATGCCACATGGACAAGGGCAGGACTTGTGAACTTGGGGCCCATTGATCCTACTCTCCCTGGCTTAAAAGACAATCAGCAAAGAAGTAAGGGAGAGAGACATTATTTTGAGATAAGCTGCCATAATGTAGGAAAAACGAAATAATCTCCACACGTTAGCACAGACCCTTGGTTGGTTCCTCTGGTGACCAGCCCCCATCCTGAAGCTATCTAGGGGCGCTGCCAAGAATCATCTCATTAGCAAAGACTCAGATATGTTCAAAGGGGGCTCGTTATAAATGATAAAAGATGCTCCTGTCTTTCAGGGGGTTCCACAAGTTTTAGGAATATCTATGCCAGGAATGGGGCAAAGAGCAAATATATTTTTTATTCGACCACACTTGGCTTTCCCCAGCTCACTGACTGGTGTCCACTGGATGCCCTTCTCTAAGAAGTCATGTGCTCACAACTCCTCCTGCCAGGCATTCTGCTACCAGAAAACGCGACCTAGGATAGAGACTAAATGCAACCACTGCTTGCCAGCAATCTCAAGGCCTCACAGGGGCATTCAATGATTCAGTTATCCACTCACTCATCCCATCATTTCACAAAAATGTACTGAGGTACCAGCAATGTGCTAGGCCCTGTACATAGAGTGGTAACCAAGATTCCTGCCCTCACAGGCCTTCTAATCTCACTGGGAGGACTCACAGTAACTAGTAACTACTGTCACATTTGCTTGGTAATCATGAGATCACAGAGGGCTTGTGAGCCATGCTCAGGGCAATACAAAGCCATTGAAGGCTTTTCGGGTGGGGGACAGGGAGGGAGACTTGAGGTCACAATGTTGCTTTTTAAAGATAGCCCTCTGGCTGGTGAATGATGGTGCCATGGCAAGAGTGGGCACAACAAACCATTTAGAAGGCTCTTGCAGGGGCCCAGGGTGCAGAGGATGGAGGCTGGGACTGGGTAAGCAGCCATGTGTTGGACAGAGGTGGGAAAGTAGGAAAGGACCTGTGGGGACTTACTAACTCGGGGGGACAAGAGCTCCTTGTGTGGAAGACAGTCCAACAGCACGTGTGTGTATAAACACAGCCTAAACTCAGAACTCCAAGGGCAGTTGGAGGTCAGGGGAGAGGCTGATGAGCTGGGCTGGAGTAGTCAGGTAAGGCTGCATGGAGGGGGAATACTTGAACACCTTTGAAGGGATGAAAAGCATTAGGATTGGCCTGAGGGCTTGCCCATACTGTCAAGGTAGTACACTGGGGTCAGGGTCTGGATCGGCAGAGGAGCAGGACTTGAGGTGATGTACAGTTGAAGGCAGCCAAGAGTGTCCCTGGTGAGACTCCTTCGTTCCAGAGGAGAGTCCTGTATGCAATCAGGGCTAACCTGAATGGCTACAGCCAGATTTCCTCACAGCAGAGGCCATAAGCAGGGCAGAAAAAGACCACTCTAAAGCCATCCAAGGGCTCGTGACCTTTCTCCTTGAAAGGTGGAACTATCCTGGTCTGGCCACCCCTAGGAAGTGAATGGCTTCCATGTCTGGGATCAGAGGTCTTCAGCTGGGAGCTGGTGTTGCCAGTGCCCCGTGAGTGCTAATTCTGGTGTTAAACATCTGCTCCAAGCTCCCTTTTTTCTCTGGGGAATCTGACAAAGTGGGTTTTAATTTTCCACCAGGGCTCAGTGTTTCAAAGTCAGGGGAAGAGAGGATGAAGGAAGTAAGCATTTGCCCTGACAAGTGGATTAATGCCGTGGAGGGTCTGTGGAGGCTGATCTGACACCTGCTGTCCCCTGGGGCTGAGTCCCTTGTGGCCACTGACCGGCTCAGGGATGCATGCACGCCTCTCCCTGAGGCAGAGGAAGGGGTTAGAAGGCTGGGTGCCTGGGTTCCTTGGCCGCCTGTGCTGGTGCTCTGCTGTAAGAACCCCCTCACTCACATATTCAGCTCTCAGGTTACACAATCCAAGGATTTTCATTGCCAAACCCTGGAAATCCAGCTCACCTTGGGACTGGGCTTCAGAGAGTCCCATTCACAAATATTTATTGAGCACTTACTCTGGGCTTAGCTCTGGGCTAGCTACTCCGGGATCAATCATTGTTTAGGACCTACTAAGACAGGCATTGAACACTCGTTTTTCCTGATGCTTGCAACATCCCTTCAAGGTGGGTGTTATAAACCCATTGTACAGGTGAGAAGAAACAGAGCTCTGGCAGGTAAATGACATTCCCAAGGTAACAGTCATGGTAGCACCATGATTTTACCCAGTCTGATCCTGGCCTCCTCTCTTTCTTCTCTCCCCTATTGTGACCCATTCATTGGAGAGAGAAAACCCCTTAAGGTGCTTCCATCTCACTGGAAAGAGAAAAATGACATATGTGAAGCAGTGACTATGGTGAAACGTGGCAAAGCTACAATTATTCAAGATGACAGCAGGAAGAAAGGAGCCAGCTCTGTGCCTGGAATTTCATATTTATTATCATATTGAATTCTCCTGCAACTCCATGAGAAAAGATAAATAATATCCTCTTTTTACCAGCACCACTTAATACAGTATCACATAAATATGTCACATAAATACAAATTGGCAGTCATATGGATAAGGCATTGTAGTGACATTATTTTAAGTTGAATTTCGATATTTCCATTGGAATACCGGCTCTTCTGGGTTCTAGCTTGCTGGCCCACCTTGCAGATTTTGGACTTGCCAGCCTCCATAATCATGTGAATCAATTTCTTATAATACATCTCTTTCTATATATATTTTAAAGCCCATGCTCTTTCCTTTGGCATACGACTTGTAAAAAAGAGAAAGAGAGCAGGCATGGTGACTCACGCCTGGAATCCTAGCACTTTGAAAAGCCAAGGTGGGCAGATCGCTTGAGACCAGGCATTTGAGACCAGCCTGGGTAACATTGTGAGATTCTATCTCTATAAAAATATAAAAATTAGCCATGCCTATAATCCCAGTTACTCAAGAGGCTAAGGTAGGAGGGTCACCTGAGCCCAGGGAGGTTGAGGCTTCAGTGAGCTTGATCAAACCACTACACTCCAGCCTGGGTGACAGAGTGAGATCTTGTCTCAAAAAAATAAAAAAGAGAAAGAGCCATCCACACATCAGGCTGGTAGCTCATGGCCTTGACAATATTTCCAGGACCATCCCCGCCACCTCCACCAGCCACACCTCTCTGACTCCCATATACTCCCCAAATGGCTCAGCCCCCATCTCTGTGGGCACCACTTTCTTCCTTCTGCAGGGCTGTGCATACCCTTGCACCAGGTTTTCACCACTCTGTGGGCCCGTGAAGCCCATTACAGCCCCTTTCTCTTACAAATCAGACATCCTTAAGCAGCTTCTTTCTTCTGGCTTGCTTTGCTGTTTTTTTTTCTCAAAAGACGTCTCTCTGGTGCTTGAGTTTTCTCCATTCCTCCTTCATTACCCTCCCTCTCTCTGTACTTCCCCTCCCCTCCTTCACCCTCTTGCTGTCTGTCTTAGTCCATTCCATTTGTAGCCTCCAAAGACCATCAGGTCAAGGTTGATAATGTTAAGTGCTGTGCTATTAATACTCTACCTCTAGGGAAAGGTAGGTTTGAGCCATCAGGCACTCAAGCCCTGGACAGTGCCCTGCAGTTTCCTTCTGCTTATCTGTCCAGCTGCATCCTCTTCCATGGAAAGTTAAGCCTGCTTTCCTCGCTCACCTTTCTGGCATGCATCAGAGTGCAGGAATGTGCAACACACAGCCCACTTTGGTCTTCTGTCAGGGTGAAATATTAGAAAGCTGCTTTCTTTCAAAATGTCCAAATACAGCATTTTGGTCACTAAAAACAAAAGGCAATTGGCAATTTACCATCAGTAAGTTGGGTAATTATATTTTAAATACATTTTCCCCATGAGATTCAATCAAATTATTTTCATTTTGGATTGAAATGAAATGTAATGGTCAGGCGCGGTGGCTTATGCCTGTAATCCCAGCACTTTGGGAGGCTGAGGCAAGCGGATCCCCCTGAGATCAGGAGTTCAAGATCAGCCTGGCCAACATGGTGAAACTCTGTCTCTACTAAAAATACAAAAATTGGCCGGAAATCACTTGAACCCAGGAGGCAGAGGCTGCAGTGAGCCGAGATCACACCACTGCACTCCAGTCTGGGTGACAGAGCAAGACTCTGTCTCAAAACAACAACAAAAACAACAATAAAATGAAATGAAATGAAAAGAAATGAAAATATGCAGCCCATTTTTTTTTTATTGAATTGGCCCTAATGCCAAAAAAGGAAAAAAGCTTGTTCACCACTGGTATTTGTTGTCACATAGACTTTGATTTAACTCCTGTCTCTGCTGCTTCCCAGCTGTGCAACCATAGACAAGGTATTTAAATGCTTTCTGCAAAATGGGGGTCAGAATAATCAATTCAGGAGGCTGTAAACCAGGTACATGTCATGTGACACCTACTGTGATGGTTACTTTTATGCATCAACTTGGCTCAGCCAGGGGTTGCCCAGATATTTGTCAAAAATTATTCTGGGTGTTTCTGTGAGGTGTTTGTTTTCGAAAGAGATTAACATTTCAATCAATGGACTTTGAATAAAGTATATTTGCCCTCCTTTATGTGAGTGGGCCTCATCCAATCAGTTGAAGGGCATGAATTAAACAAAACAAGCAGCATTGCCCACCTAGCAAGACAGAATTCTTCAACAGGCTGCCTTTGAACTTTAGCTTCAACATCAGCTCTTCCTAATTCTACAGCCATCTGGAATATTGGCTTTTCTGGGTTCCAGCTTGCCTGCCCACCCCGCTGATTTCGAACTTGCCAGCCTCCATAATCATGTGAATCAATTTCTTAAAGGACATCTCTTCCTATATATATAGACATCTTATTGGTTCTGTTTCCCCAGATGGATGACTATAGAATGATTCTGTTTCTCCAATATGATGACTAATATGATCTACCTAGCTCAATGCCTGTAGTATACCAAATACTTAGCAGGACTCTGCAGTTTTCAGATTTTGAAGTCCTCACTCTCAGATTTATCTGGCATTAGGTGGATTTCAGCTGAGCATAACTGGCAAACTCAGAAATAAGTGATAAAATGATAAAGCAGGAAGCTTATAATTGGCAAATGAAATAGAATTTTGTAAGGCCAAAATTCCTACTCAATTCAGTATATATAGTGGTTATTTTTCAACCTTTTAATTGTCAAAAGCACATAAATGTATAGCTTAACAAAATATTCTAAAGCAAACAGATGTGTAACTACCTCGAGGTCAAGAAATGGAACCTAGCCAGTGCCCCAGAAGTCCTCAGTTCTGTCCCTGTGACTTTTATAATAATCCCATCTCATGTTCCTTATGGCTTTCTCACACAAGAATGCATCACTGAATCATTATCGTACATATCCTTCTGTATCTGACTTCCTTTCTTTCAACATTGCATTCGTGAGATTCATCTATGTTGCTGAGTGTGGCTGCAGTTTGTTCAGTTTTATTCCTGTTTTTTTTTTTAAGACTCAGAGTCTCACTTCAAAGCACTGGGATTACAGGCATGAGCCACCATGCCCCGCCCAGTTTTATTCTTGTATACTATTCTATTATATGAATCAACTACACTTTATTTATCCACTCTACCGTTAACAAACTTTCAGCATGAAAAAGATGACGTAAGTGCAGAAAATTGGGTGTGTAACTGAGCTGTGGTAAATTGTAAGGATGTTAAAAGTTTATAACTGCATCTGAAAATATTGGTATAAAACCAACAAAAAAGAAGACAAACCCTGATCTCTCAGCAATGGATCAGTCGGATGTGACATACTTCTGTTGCCATGAACCAGCTTTAAAACTCACCAAAAAAATGCATATTGAAATGTAAAATATGAGGACAGCTTGTTACAAAGGAAGTCACAGATGAACAAACACAAAACCATAATGAAGTCTAGTAAAGAGGCAATTTAGCAGCCAATGCAGCTGTGCTATAGATCATGTAACATTAAACCATCATTTTAATACACAGGCCCAACATGGCTGAGCATTCATGGGGAACTGACTATGGGGCTCTCTGGGTGCAGGAGAAGGTATAAGGAACTGGGAGAAGACCTGATCATTCATGGCCATCTAAGCAGTGGTGGCTCTTTAGAGCAAACCCTGCCAGCCCCATCCATAGGGGGCAGAAAGACATGACAGATAGAGTTCAAGGCTGGGATGCACATTTTTGATCGGTTCCCCTATCTATTTCATAACAGCCAGTGACATTTGTCCCAGATCAGCAGGAAGCATTTGACATCTTCTCAGGGTTCAGGTCAAGGCTAGCATGGCCCTTCCTCATCACTCCTTTCCTTCTAAGCCTATGCTATTATAAAAATAAATAAAAATCCTTTTTTATTCATTAATAAGTTTTTGTTTAATTATCACTATTATTTTGTACTATATCTTTATTCATATATACACACACACACACACACACACACACACACACACACTCTGGTGCATTATGAGCTAAGGAAGTTTTTGTGGGTTAGTCTGACATTTTTTTTTTTTTTTTTTTTTTTTGAGACAGGGTCTCCATCCAACACCCAGGTTAGAGTGCAGTGGTGTGATCTTGGCTCACTCCAACCTCCGCCTCCTGGGTTCAAGTGATTCTCCTGCCTCAGCCTCCCGAGTAGCTGTGATTACAGGTGCCCACCACCACACCCAGATAATCATTTTTAGTAGAGACGGTGTTTCACCATGTTGCCCAGGCTGGTCTTGAACTCTCGGCCTCAAGTGATCTGCCCATCTCGGCCTCCCAAAGTGCTGAGATTACAGGCGTGAGCCACTGCACCCGGCCAGTCTGTCATTATTATTTATAAGCTTGGACTTGAGGTTTCAGGATTTCAACAGTGTTTGCTGGGTGGGGACTGGGGGATTGTTTCTACATCGCACCAGGGAAAAGGGAACCAGCACTGCATGAGCTATTGCTCAGTGCCCAGAGCATGTGTGAGCCACCTCATTTAATTTTCATAAACTACCATCCATACCCAGTTCCTTTTCTGTTTTTGTTTTTTGAAACAGGCTGAAGCGCAGTGGTGTGATCACAGCTCACTGCAGCCTCACCTCCTGGGCTCAAAAGATCCTCCCACCTCAGCCTCCCTAGTAACTGGGAATACAGGCACACCCCACTACACCAGGCTAATTTTTTTTGGATTTTTTATAGAGATGGGGTTTCACTTTGTTGCCCAGGCTGGTCTCAAACTCTTAGGCTCAAGCGATCCACCCGCCTCGACCTCCCAAAGTGCTGAGATTACAGGCGTGAACCACCACACCTGGCCCAGTTCTATATTTTTATCTGCATTTCACAGTCGAGGAGAGGGAGGCCTAGAGAGGTTAAGAACTTGCTATGGTGACACAGCCCTGGGTTCTTTCCCCAAAAGGACCAGTTTGCAGGGAGCCATTCTCGTTCTTCTGTCCTCAGAACACAGCACCATCTCCTCCTGCAGACCCCATCCCCTCCGTTTTTGTGCAAGCATCCCTCCAGAAAAGCAGCCCCTCCCTGACTCCAAAACACACCCAAGCCTCTCTACCTTAGACTGCAGCATCCTGGACATCTCTGCTATTTCCTTTTTACCTTGGTGACTCTAAGCCTGTTCAGAACCCAGTCGCAGCTCCTCGGCTGAGAAGGCTGCCTGCACCCCCAACCCACCCTGAGCAATGCCTTCTCTGAACTCCCTCACTGCCTCAGCAAGTCCTGGCACTCACCCATGTGGCCTTACAACACATTGTGTGAAACTATTTTACTAACACACCTGCACAGGAGGCCGGAGACTGTGTCAGACTCATTTTTGTTTCCCTCACAGAGCTTAGAGCAGCCTTGACTACATAGTAAGTACCCAATGTAAAGGTGAGGACAGATGAAGTATTCCCGGCTTCAAGTCCTCAGCTTTCTATGCAATAAAGACATAAATTCTTTGATGACTAGCTGGAGTTAGGGGGCATCACAGGGAAGCTAAGAGGCCCCCCTGGAAATCAACAAATATCTATTATTATTATCCTTGACTGTTCCTTATCTTCAGAACGATTAGCAGTGCTGAAGAACTCCCTCCCCATTTGTGGTTTGTTTTCATCAGCAGGGAGGGTGGAGTGATCATTCTTAGGGGATGCATCCTTAGGCTGGTCTCACTAGAAGCAGAGCCTGAGGCAAGGATTCAGCACACGATTGATAGGCATGTGTGCTCAGGAGCAAGGGGAGCAGGGCAGGCCAGGAAGGGGCTCAGCCAGGATATGGTCTCCACTGAAGTCTAGTCTCAGCCTGATCTCATCAGAGGCTCTGGAAAACAAATAGTGAGATAGTGGTAGGGTGACCAGCCATCCAGGTTTGCCTGGGACTGTCCTTCATCCCAGGAAACCTCTCAGTTTTGGGAAAGCACTTTGCAAGGGGCCCAGCTTTTATATTCCAAGTCAGCCAGCCCTTGGCTTCAGGCTGCTTCCCAAGCAGGGGAGGAACAAAGCAAGGTAGGGCTCATTCACTCCAAAGAGCAAGTCTCTGAGAAGGAGGATGGAATGCCAGCCTAGTAAAGGGGCTCTGGTGGTGGAAACGAGGAGTTCACTAATGACACCCGCTACACCAGACAGGCCCCCACAGAGCATCTCTGCCCCACTCTGCACAGTGGGGCAGCCCTGAAGTGAGACAGGTCCCTTCCTCCTCCTGCAGTTGGCCTGCAGATGCCAGCCTCAGCTCAGGACCTAACCCGGTTGCTGGTTCTGAGAATACCTAATAGGTTTCCCACAAACCCTGTTGGCTTCCTGCTTGTTTGCAACTCAATTAAATTAACAAATTGGTCTCTGCCCAGAGTCTTTCTGCCGCCTGTATTTTAGCATATGTCAGTCAGGGTGGCCCAGCGTCTCCAGATGGCTGTGAGCTTGCTGCACAAATCCAGAGCCAGCTCATCACTAGGGACGTATGTGCACGTGGAGAGGCCCAGAGACAGACGCAGAGCCATAGCAGGGAGAGAAGGAAAAAGGCAAGGGAGAAAAAGGAGAGAGGGGGAGGGAGTGAAAAGGGACAGGAAGCAGGACAGCCTCGATTCTTCCTCATAGATGAACCTAAGCTTCTTGCAGGGAAGCCTTCTACTCCAGAAGGTTGAGGAGGTGCATAGAGAAGACTCTTCCAGCCTCAAGTTTCTCTGGGAGACAGAGATTGGTGGTTCTCAAAGTATGTTCCCTGAGCCAGCATCACAGCTTGTTAGAAATGCAAATTATCAGAACTCACCGGATCCCTACTGAATCAGATTCTGGGAGTGGGGCCCAGGAGTCTGTGTTTTAACAAACC
Source organism: Homo sapiens (assembly GCF_000001405.40). Lineage (NCBI taxonomy): Eukaryota > Metazoa > Chordata > Mammalia > Primates > Hominidae > Homo > Homo sapiens. The sequence continues at coordinate 47,983,645 of NC_000018.10, read as the reverse complement.
TCCAGGTGGTTCCAATGCCCACTCAAGTTGGAGGACCACCATCCTAAAGTTGTGGGGCTCAACTCTTCTCCCAGAACAAGGAGGGGTTGAACCTGCTCTCAGACACAGCCACGGGGCTGTGGCCTTCCAGGAGGAGTGAGGGGGGTGGTCTTCAGAGCCAATCCATAATACAGCTCCAGACTTCAATTTAATGTAGGAATTGCAGAAGCAAAGAGAGGAGTCAGGGAAGAGCCCAGAGGTTACCAAAAAAAAAAAAAAAAAAAAAAAAAGGCAACCTGGGAAAAGAGTGCTTAAAAGGAGCCAAGCTTCAGCTGGCCTGTGATAGTTCGTCAGCAACAGGCTCTCAGCTCCCATCCCAGAGGACCATGATGAAACGCAGGCACTGATGGAAATGCACTCTGACCCCAGCTTCATGATGGAAGGTCAATTTGGGGATTGTGGTTTCTGCTGGGGGAGGAGAAGAAGGAGGAAGGGGAAAGGGGAAGGGGGGGAAGGAAAGGGGAGGAGGGGGAAGGCAAAAGGAGGTTGGGAACAGGTGGCCCAGTCCTGCTCCAGACCTGGAGTTTCCAGAAGACTATCACTGTTGTCTAGTGGAAACTCCGGCCTTTTGATTTCTGAAATGGTTTGGCTCTGTGCCCCCACCCAAATCTCATCTCCAACTGTAATCCTCACGTATTGAGGGAGGGTCTTGGTGGGAGGTGATTGGATCATAGGGTTGGTTCTCCCCATGCTGTTCTCGTGAGAGTAAGTTCTCACGAGATCTGATGGTTTTATAAGAGGCTCTTCCCCTTCACACTTTCTCTCCCTCTCCTTCCCTCCCTCTCTCTCTCCCTCCCTCTCTCTCTCTCTCCCTCTCTCTCTCTCTCTCTCTCTCTCCCCCTCTCTCCCCCTCTCTCCCCCTCCCTCTCTCTCTCCCTCCCTCTCTCTCTCTCTCCCTCTCTCTCTCTCTCTCTCTCTCTCCCCCTCTCTCCCCCTCTCTCCCCCTCTCCCCCTCTCCCCCTCTCCCCCTCCCCCTTCTCCCCTTCTCCCCTTCTCCCCTTCTCCCCTTCTCCCCCTTCTCCTTCTCCCCCTCTTCCCCTCTCCCCCTCCCTCTCCCTCCCTCCCTCTCCCTCCCCCTCCCTCCCTTTCTCTCTCTTTCTTTCCCTCCCCCATCCTCTATCCCCCCATCCCACTATCCCCCCATCCCCCCTCCCTCTCTCTGGCTCTCTCTCACTCTCTGTCCCTCTTTCCCACCATCTTGTGAAGAAGGTGTCTTCTTCCCCTTCTGCCATGATTGTAAGTTTCCTGAGGCCTCCCCAGCCATGACAAACTGCGAGTCAACTCAACCTCTTTCCTTCATAAATTACCCAGTCTCAGGTATGTCTTTATAGCCATGTGAAAAGGGACTAATACAGTTTCTGAGGCTGGATGCCAGAGCAGATAGACTTGGTGCGCCCCTTGGTGAGAGGCTTATTCTCATTTCAACAGGTATGAGTATTAAGTTTGGTCTGTGTGCCTGGTATGGGATAGGATGGTCAGCGGCCTCAAACTCAAAGGTCTTCAGGGTCTGGACAGATAACCTAAGAGAGGAGAGCAGGCTGGTTGGAAGGGCAGATGTTGTGTGAGTGGGTGTTTATGTGAACTGGTAGTGCAGGCCTCATGTAGCCCATGCAGCAGCCACCAGACTCCAGCCTGTTGGCAGCACCCAGAAACATAGCCCTCCACCACCAGGTTGGCTGACTTCTCGAGGGAAGCCCTAGATCCAGATGGAGGTCTAAAGCCAGCATGTCCTGCGAGAGGAGCTACAAAAAGCTCTCATTTCCTTAGGCAGGGATCCACCTGGACTGGAAGTAGATAATGGGGTTGTGAAGAGTCCGGGATGCCAGGACTCCATCCAGCAGCACTGGGGAGCAAGGAGGCATTTTACAGAGAGGACCACCGTGAGAAGATCCCTCTAAGAATAGGTCTCAAATTTCCTCTATTCTGATCCCTGTTCCCTCTCTCCTCTCTCCAGGGCCTCTGTCATGCTGGGCACTGCATGCCTTCCTCCATAAGCCCCCTGCCTTCAAGAATATAAAATATTTATCTTCTCAGACAGGCGGTGGGGGATTAGAGACAAGTCAAGAATATAATGGCTGTCTAGCCCCAGGGCTCCCTTCAAAGGTTTGTGTGGAGAGGGAGAGCCTGCAGCTGCAAGCAGGGTGCTTCCCGGTCCTGTGTTTATCAAGTCCTCCTTGGGTGTTAGCCTTGAGTAGCAGCTTCTGCTCTTCTCACTGTTGCCGCCTCCAAATATCTTCAAATATCTCAGATTTATTTCTACTTGAAAACAGCAACAAATCAATGAAGGGGTGTCAGGGAGGCAGCTCACCTTCCTCTATGAGGCTCAAAGGCCTAGTCCTCACTTTCCGATTGGTATGTCTGGGCCTCAGGGTATCAGTCCACTGTAGTTTGAAAATCTGAGGTCTAGGGCAACCTGCAAACTATTAAAAGTGGTTTCTTTTGTGTCTAATTTTCAGTTGAAGAAACATGGTTCTTTTTACTTCATGTATGCCTGTATGAATTTAGGGTGTGTGTGTGTGCGTGCGTGCGTGTGTGTGTGTGTGTGTGTGTTTTAAACAAAGAGTAGGTGCATCCTTTTTTTAAATAAAAAAAAAGGTGCATCCTTTTTTAAAAAAACAACAAAGAAAAAATAAAAGATGTCATAAAATGCAGCTATTTGTACCAAACTGTTGACTCTTTGCTTATTTTAGTTTCATTTCTGGTGGTGGTACTAAACTCTAAATGAATCAGGAGCAAATAAATGATTTTGTTGCTGGAGCTACTTTGAACACCCTTCTCAGAATTAACCCTTTCCTGGGAGGCTTATCCTGGGAAGGCTGAAGTCACTCTTGCTGGGCTTTGGCTGGTGAACGGAGAGCAATGATTGACTTCTCCATTTCAGTGATCAAATGAGGTGGGAGTAGAGATTAAGGTGGATTAAAGGATTACATTTAGGAATACTTCCTTGAATGCCAGGCATTTACAGAGTTGAATTTGAGATTGGGGTCAATAGCATGTTCCTGTGAAACCAGGTAATTATTTTAGTGAGCACCTGTTTAATTCAGTGGGAAAACGGCTTTGGTTTACTAAGCACTTGCATGTGTCAATATCTTGAAAGCAGAATTGACAGGGACTGCTTTAGGAATGACCCTAGGTGGGGTTTTTTTTTTCCAAGCCCTATTGATTAACCGGGTTTTCAGCAAGGTTTGCTTGTCTTTACTAAAGTTAGAAAAAGGAAATGATATTCTGACATAAATGTCCCTGAAGCACAGCCATTTATTAAAACAAAACAATTTGTCCAAAGTATGGGAGATGCAAAACCCTATGATGATATGCAAAATATAGACAGGTTGTAGGCAGGCATGTGGCAAGGAATTGGAGTGCCCAAAATACTCTTTGTTAAAAGCAAAGTAAATAGATCTTGCCTAATATAGAAGGAAAGAGAAAGAAGATAACCCTGATGGTATCTCCCCTCCTTTTGACCCCCTTTCCTCATCCCCATCTCTACCCCACCACTTTGTAGGTCATTAATCCTTGACAGTCCCTTTCCTAAGCAGGGCTTAAAGGGCCCTGCATCCCTGAGGGAGGTGTGGGGGATGTCATGGGCTTAGGAAGATGGATGCCAGAGAAGGTGGCCTCGACTTGAGGTAAAGGAGATTTACCGAGCTGGAGAGAGGAGGGAGACAAGGAGGAGGTTTCAAAGGGTTGGAACTGCAGGAACCTGGCCCCGGGACTGGATACACAGCAGAGGGCCAAAGGCAGGCTGGGTCTGTTTCCTCGTTGGTAGTGTAGGGCTGCCAGGTTGAAAGTTCCTGAAGGGGGAACCAGTCTGACCACATGTTGGAGGCTGGCTGTGGCCTCGTGGGAGTGAACTGGGTCAGGCATCTGGCTTAGAGGCAAGGGACTCTGCTTCTTCCCAGGGGGATGACATTGACTCACCTGGCCTCAGGCAGCATCAGATGTCAGGTGAGCCCAGAAACAAGGACCCTCTGTGGCTGTGACAGACACCCCCAACCCACTGTCTCAAGGGCTGGCAGAGGGGCAGTGCCAGGACAAATCCAGCCCTGCTAGGAGATGGGAGGTGCTGCCGATACTCTTGGGGAGGCTGGATGTGAGGTGGAACTTCGGAGAGAAGCAGTAGCATTGGAAACCCCAGCGCTTTCGTGGGGATTCAGATAAACTTGCTTTGAGGCACAGAATCCACTGTGGTAAAGAAGATGGTCAAGACTGAAGAGACTGGGAAATGGAGGGGGCGAGTGGAGCCCACTGTTGGGATTACTCTGAGGGTAAGGTTGCCAGATAACAGGCAGGGCACCCAATGAAGTTTGAACTAGAGATAAACAATAACTTTTGGTATGCATATATCTCCCAAACATTGCACGGCTATTTTTCTTTGCTAAATCTGGCAAACTCTAGCTGAAGGAAAATTACAGATGACTTTTATTTCTTCCTTTGACTCTTTTCTGTATTTGCTAAGTCATCTCATGAACAGGTATTATTTTGATATTGAGGAGGATAATCCTAATACTACACTCTGTAATTCCTGAATAAATGGCTATTTCCTTGTTGGGTCAGGTGCAGGATATGGAAAGTCTGGGAACAAGGAGGGGCCCTGGAGCAGCATGAAGTCCCCAGCACCCACATGTAGGTCCAAGGGCCCCAGAATGCACAGCAGATTCCAGCCTTACCATTGTGTACCAATTCCTGTCACATCCAGGATCCTGAAAACTCTATATTCCTTCCCCCTCCTTCCTCAGTAAATCCATTAACAGCCTCTGCACCTTGAGTCACTAGGCCTTATAGATCTTTCCTGTCCATCAAGCCTTTCCTAGGAGAAAAGGGGCCTCAGCGCCATTGTCTGCTAATCTTACAGATTAAACACTCACACATCTTTCCTGTTCAGATGCTAATCTCTTGGAACATCCTTACCAAGAGGTTATATGTGAAATTGTATGGATACCAAAATTTGTCATATTATTCCAATGTTCAACCTTTGCTTGTTTTTTTAGCCTATTTGAATGTTTAATGAAATTGTTTAAAAATATATATACATATATACATATCCAAAGCATCTTAAAATATTTAAAATCTAGACTATTATCAGATCACTCATCTGAATCTCACTCTTTAGCACTAATTATAAACAGTGCAGTCTAGCTGTTGTCTTTAAAGGTTTTATAAGTGCTAGGCTTGTCTTTTTAATTAGACTATAAATTCATCTTTGGCTTCTCTAATATCTTTCAGAGCACCTGCTATAGAGTGGAGCACGCTCAGTAAAAGTTTAATGAGGTGTCTGCCTCCACTTGGCTTGGAGCTTCTGTTTGCTCCTCCTCTTCTCCCTGCCTAAGTCCCTCCTCTCCCAGTCCAGTCCCCTCACCATTAAAGACAGGCTCAGTTTTGATACCCGTCACTTGAATGTCTATATCCCCTGATGGACAAGTTATATTCTTTCAAGTTATTTGGCACATCATTCAGAATCACACATCTTTAGTTATTAAGTATGCCCAGAATAAACCTCCACTTATCTCAAAACGGGTACAGAGGGCTGGAGTAGTGCACTCTTGCTGTCTGTGAGGGTATCTGTATTAGGTGTATTCACCGATGTTGTTGTTGATATAAACTTCCATATAAAACGTTGCCATATGATGTCATTCAAAGGAATAAAATATATTTTCCCCTGAATAGAGAAGCAATGCAAACTTTTAAAATATGGAAAAGCAGGCCGGGCATGGTGGCTCACACCTGTAATCCCAACCCTTCGGGAGGCCAAGGCACATGGATGCTTGAGCCCTGGAGTTAAAGACCAGCCTGGGCAACATGGCAAAACCTCGTCTCTACAAAAAATACAAAAATTAGCCAAATGTGGTGGTGCATGCCTATACTCCCAGCTACTAGGGAGACTGAGATGGGAGGATAGCTTAGCCTGGGAGTTCAAGGCTGCAGTGAGACAACACCATATCACTGCATTCCAGCCCAGATGACAGAGCGAGATCCTGTCTCGAAAAAAAAAGGAAAAAAGTACAGAGACAAAAAACAAAAACCAGACTTTAATTCTCTTATACTGTAATCATTTCATATGTATCTTTCCAGTGTTTTTCCATGCATATAGGTATACATATTTGTATGTATCTACATAAATATATATATGCACACACATATATCACAAAAGAAAGGCATGTATCATTTTGTCTCACTTTCCTCATTAAGCAACATATAGTAAATCTTTTCCTGTGACCAATACCTTATTAATAAACACTTTGGTTGTTCACAATTTTTCTGTTATAAATCATGCTGCCGTAAAGTCCTTATTTATTCACCTTGTGCTTACTTGCTATATTTCTTTAGGGAAAAAGTTCTTAGACAGGAAACAGTTGGTAATGCATATTGGAAGGCTATAAATACTTAGCTAACCCATCCTCCTGCAAGGTTTCACTATTTACACTCTGCCCTTGGGAATCTCAATGAGAAGAAGGTGGAGAGTTTGGGATACCTCCCTTCTCCTACTTCCAGTCACTTACTCGGGGGGGCAACAACAGCTTGTTCTATGAGTTCCAAAATATTTCTGTATTTCTAGCCACCAAGTCCCAGTTTAGTCTTCCTTTTAGGTGCATTCATTCCTTCATCCAACAAATATTTTTTGAGTACTTACTATGTGCCAGGCACTGTTCTCGGTGCTGGGGACATAGCAGTGAACAAAACTGAGGATTAGGAGCAACTTTTTCCTACCTATCCCACAGAAATTGTCTACATCATTATTCCTTTACAGAATTGTCCCATATCACAGACTGGATGTCCAGTATGCTGTGGGGCACAGTGATACAAGGTGGGTCTCTGTCCTCAAGGCTATTTTTATCTCCTTAGAAGAGACAAGCCCAAATTCTGTCTTTGTCTCTGTCTCTGCCCACCCCCGCCCCTCCACACACACACACACACCCCAAAACAAAACAACAGAACTCATCTTTAGGTGAGGATGTATTAATAGCAAATGTTAAGTCATTGGGTAAGGTAATATAAACACAGCAGGAGTTCAGGAGAGGAGCTGTATTTGTTGGTAACTTTCCAGCTGCATCCAGAGACCCTTCAACAAGAGCTAGCCCAGCACCTTCATTTGCTGGATGTGGGTGCTGAGGCCCCTCTATGGGAAGGGAAAGCACAAGATGTGCAGCTTTGCATGTACCAGAGTGTATTAGTCTGTCCTCACCCTGCTGACAAAGACATACCCAAGACTGGGTAATTTATAAAGAAAAAGGTTTAATGAACTCACAGTTCCATGTGGCTGGGGAGGCCTCACAATCATGGTGGAAGGCGAAAGGCACGTCTTACATGGTGGCAGGCAAGAGAGAGAATTTGTGCAGGGAAACTCCCTTTTACATAACCATCAGATCTTGTGAGACTTATTCACTATCACGAGAATAGCACAGGAAAGACCTGACCCATGATTTGATTACCTCTCACCAGGTGCTTCCCACAACATGTGGGAATTGTGGGAGCTACAATTCAAGATGAGATTTGGGTAGAGACACAGACAAACCATATCATAGGGGCACACCTTTGTCTGAGGCAGGGATTTCCTAGAGACCAAACTCAACAGAGGGAATCAAGATAAGATAGGAAGCAGGGCAGGGAAAACATCTCTGAAATCTAAGAGAAGAGTAACAATGCGGGTGCTACTTAACCCTCGGGGCTGAGTCCTTGACTGCAACTTCCTCCAGGCTGTACTGCAACTCTGGTGTGCCAGAGCAGCTTTTCCCTTGGGGCCTGCCTGGTAACGTCTCTGCAATTGCCTGAGGTCAGGCCTGAAAGGTCACACATAGGATTTTGCCTTTAGTAAATGCAAGTGGAAAAAAAAAGATGACAGCAACAACAGCTGCAGCAACTCAACTAGCTGGTCTGGGTGTTTCCAGATCACCTAGACCTGTGGGGTTCGGCCCCACTTGTGTGTGAAAGGAAAAGATACAGTTACTCTGTATTTGATACATTAAAACACATTTTTGTTAAGTTTCTATTTTTATTCTATATACACACAATATATTTTTATAAAACCAAATACTTCTAGTTTTGTTATTAAAAAAAACCAGCAGTCCATTGTTCACCACCTCTAATTTCTCTCTTTCCAGAAGCAACTATTTTATCCTCTCTGCTGATTATTTTGGTATTTACATTTATGCCTCTAGATAATATCCCTGAGTTTTACTTTTTGCTTTTACCTGTTTTAACCATCATTTAGGTACGTTCTATTGTGGATGACAGCACTTAGCTCTCTTTCCTCCCTGCTGTGCCTACAACATACAGGCTGTCTTCCCAACTCCCTCCTTCTCACTTCAATAACAATGTAATTTGGGTCAGAACAATAGAGTTATCCCTCGATATCCTCAGGGGATCCGTTTCAGCATCCCTGAGGGTTCCAAACTCCGCAGATGCTTAACCCCTGATAGAAACTGGTGTAGTATTTGCATATAACCTGTGCACATCCTTCCGTGCAGTTTATATAATCTCTAGATTACTTATAATATCTCATGCAAGGTAAATGCTATGTAAATAGTCGGTAAACTGTATTGGTTTTTATCTGTATTTTTTATTGTTGTATTATTATTTTTTATTCTTTCTATTGCCAGATATTTTGGATCTGCAGTTGGCTGAATCCGCAGATGCAGGGGATAGACTCTGTCCTTTACATTATTATGATGAGGCAAAAGCTGTCTATACCTGAGCCATGAACTAGACTGTGGTTACCTTTACTTTCCTGTGCTTTTTGTTCTTACAAGAATAGTTACCTCGTTTTCACATTTATGTAATTGTCCAGGTTCCACGAATGCAACCCCTTTTGCCATGTTGCCCAGGCTGGTCTCGAACTCCTAGGCTCAAGCAATCCACCTGCTTCAGCCTCTCAAATTGCTGGGATTATAGGTATGCGCCACCATGCCAACTTCCATTGCCTTCTTGCTTCTGCTGTTGCTGTTGAGTGACCTTCTGCCATCCTGATTCTCAATTATTTTACACCTGATTTTCTTCTCCCTGGAAATGGCAGGATCCAGTTGAATCCAGTGTTTTGAAATTTCCAGTCATCTACCTCTGTGTGGGTCCATTTTGACACTCACGGCCTTTCCAGTCCAGAAAATGTATCAGGTCTGGGAAATGTTATGGAACTAATTTCTTTGATTTCCTCTCCTCTATTTTTTCCTTCCTCTCACTTTCTGGAGTTTCTATACTTGATTATCAGAACTCCTGGACTTGTTTCATTATTTTCTCTTTTCTGTCCAATTTTTTACCCTTTTAACTTTTTGCTTTGCTTTCTGGGAGATATCCTCAATTTTAACTTCCAAGTTCCTGTTAAGTTTCTCAGATTTACTCTTGTCTTTTAAATTTCCAGTAACTCTTTGTGTATATGTGTATGTGAATATGTATTAAATACACACACTTTAACATATTATGAATATCTATTTCCATATAAATATATAGCTGTATTTATATGAATGAGGATGGGGTGGTGTTGGTTCTTGTTCTAAGTAGCAGAGCCTCTAAGCAACTTTATTTTCTATTTGTTTTGGTCTCTATTGTTCACATTAGAGGATTTCTTTAGATGTCTGGTAATTCTCAGCTTGTCCATTTATCCGTCTCTATGTGAGAGATGGATCCATCTCTCGCATCCATCCATCCCTATGCGATAGGGACATTGTTATCTCCATTTTAAGAAATAGGGATGTTGTTTGTGTTTAGGTCCAGTGGACAAATAATCTTACTGGAAGCTCTGGGCTGTACATAAACTTGTCAGCTGCAAACTTCATCTTAGTGTGTTTGAATCTTTTCCTTGTGGAACTTCCGTATCAGTCTCTTTAGGTCTATTCTCTGGGGCAGGTCAGATGATCAAAGAGGACTCTACTGAGCTCCTGCTTAAAGGGTGAAGGTCTGGCCAACAGATTTGGGGGAGTGGAGACATGGCTTCTGGGGACTTCACCATCCTTGTTCTCTACAGTGCCTGCCTCTCCTAGACCAGAGACCCTTGGTGTTACTGTCTCCCATCTTTGTCCAGAATGGGGGAGAACCTGGCTGCCCGGACTTGGGGAAGAAATGTGGAGATGTGACTGCTTCATAAACAGACCATAAACCAATTCTCCTAATTTTAGCACCCGTCACTCTCACCTCCACTTCCAGAAGTGCCTGGTGCCGCCTACTCTCAAGCCTTATGGGGGTTCTGGCTCACAAAGTGAGTTGGTTTCTCACATTCTGCACTGTTGGCTTAGGATTCCATTTTCTCTCCGTTTTCTTGGGTCTGCTAAGTAAATTACCCCTTATCTAGCTGCTTTTCCAGTGTCAAGTGTTGTTGCTGTTTTCTACTCTCCCATTTCCCCACTGATGTGGGTCTGTGCCTTTAAAAATCCCTTTACTGGCACTCTCATCGGGTTTCAGGGGGGAATGAAAACAAATGTTTGCATCTTTACACAAGAATCCCTGCTGTTCAGATTCTCCCTCCCTTCTCCCATCTACTTATTCTTCTACCTAGAAATCACAATAGAACAGAGAACAGAAATGCATAGCCTTAATCATAAGCTACAAAGCCTTACATTTGGTGAGAGATACCAGAAAAGGGGCAAAGAGGTAGAATGACATAATTATATGGTATGTATTAGAAAAGTATGGCAAACACCAACATATAATCTTAATCTTGGTACTTTTATAATGAACATTTTAGAAAACAAGGCTGAACGGTCTTAGTTTATAAGGTTACACTGAAAATACAGCACTTCTCTCTTGGGGATTACACTCCACCAAGGACTTTATTTCAGAATATCCAGAAAAAGATGAGGTTTTAATTTGGATCCAAAGGGGCGGGACATGAGTTTTTAAAAAGGTAGGGGGAGGAGTACTGCATTAAAGGATGGGCTTAAGCAAATACAGATGGCCTCAGAGGCACACTGGACCTTGTCTCCCAAGGCTGGAAAGCCTTTTAGCACAGGCCACTGGACTCTAAATTCTGAAGAGCTCAGTGCAGGCCTTTGGCTAGGTGTCTTGTAGGTATGCTTGTCTTTCTTTGTAAGCCTTCTGTAAATTACATTTGTCTATTCTTTTCTTTTTTATAATGTGGGTTAAAATCAGACCCTTTAGAACAATGTGCAGTAGAATCGCCAGTGGAACTTAAAAAAATAAAGGCTCTAAGACCTCATATCAGTACTACTAAATCACACTTTAACTGGGCTTGAGAGCCACTGCTAGAGAGTAGCTCTGTGGACAGGATTCAGAGGATATATGACCCTCTGGAAATTCTAGGCAACATTGAATCCAACTTCTTTTTTTTTTTTTTTTTTTAAGCCAAGAACCATAACTTTTATCATACTCTCATAAGAGAACTTCATAGCACTTATCACTACTCTACATCATATATTACATTACATTATATAATTGTTTGCTTTCTGTTTTACCTACCATAATAAAGGTAGAAAATTTGTCTATGCATGGAATCAACCCAAATGCCCATCAATGATAGACTGGATAAAGAAAATGTGGCACATATACACCATGGAATACTATGCAGCCTTAAAAAGGAACAAGATCATGTCCTTTGCAGGGACATGGATGGATCTAGAAGCCATTATCCTCAGCAAACTAACACAGGAACAGAAAACCAAACACCACATGTTCTCACTTATAAGTGGGAGCTGAACAATGAGAACACATGGACACAGGGAGAGGAACAACACACACTGGGGCCTGTCAGGGGATGGGGTAGGGGGAAGGAGAGCATTAGGAAAAAGAGCTAATGCATGCTGGGCTTAACACCTAGGTGATGGGTTGATAGGTGCAGCAAACCACCATGGCACATGTTTACCTATGTAACCTGCACATCCTGCACATGTACCCCAGAACTTAACAGTAAAAATTAAAAAAAGAAAGTTTGTCTATTGTTAGTGTCCCAAGAACAGAAATAATCTCTTTTTCAGCATTAAATAATATTGGTTGAATGGATGAATGAATGAAAAGAATTCATAAGCCCCCTTCTCCCCCAAAAAGGCAAAAGCACTATCTACAACAAACTGCAATGGAAACTCCAGATGGAAATTCAATCTTTATTCAGATTCCACAAGCACAGTGCTGGACTGGACACAGGGGGATGAAAGGGTGGTGGTGGATATGGAGGTCTGTGACGTCGTTCCTGGCCCTAGATCATTTGCATACTCTCCTTCCACTCTCATTCAGGAAGCTTCATCAGTGGGGATATTTTTTTAACAAAGAAGAGTTCTCACTGCTGTTACATTACATCTCCCGGGCTTTATTTTTAGCTCTTCTGGTCTTATCAAACAACAGAAGGGACCTCTATAGCTTAACAAAGAAACAAACATCTCTTCCCTAACCCTTTACTCCATGGCTGCTAAGTGCAGACTCATCACTGTAAGGCTTTGTCTCCTAGAAAAGCTTAACTGACTTTGTCCCATGACATAGACAAAGCTGTTTATTGCTTCAGCCCCAGCACACTTTTTTCCTATCTCCAGATTTGCAGGAATGATGTCTGGCAAACGCTGTGAAGGGTATGTAAGAAATAGTGGGGAGGGGTCAAGGTAATTCATAGGAGAAGTACACTTTGATTAACAGCTTATTTGATGGTTATTCGATCATCCGATAATATCATTCTAAGAGTCTGAAGCTCCTGTTGGAGACACTTGAGAATGTGTCAGAACAGCCAAGATGACATAAACCGGCACACTTCCTCTTTTTTCTTAGCTTCCTCTTGATGATATCACAGCTAACACCTTTACTTACTGCCCTTAATCAGCTCTCAATGACACCATACCTTCATGGGTACCCAGCCCTGGCAGCCTGGATGGGAAGGCCATACAACTTGGGGTGGAGTTGCTCATGGCAGAATTGAGGCAGAGCATAAGGAATTGCAGTTGGCGGGTGGGGTCGGGGGAGGCAGGTAGCAAAGAGAGTGCAAAGGTTTTCTAAGACAGGTCAAGCCAGCATGTGTCACACCAAAGCGTGTTGATAGTTAGTAGTCACAAGGAGGTGGTGGAGGTGAGGAAGGAATAGCTTCTACCAGCTGCTGCTAATGAGAGACCTGAGGCTCCTATACGTACATGTAAGGATTGCTCCTCTGTTACTCCCACCCCTCCTCTACTCTACCCTTTCATGACATTTTCTGCTTCAGTGTTATGACTGGCAGAATTTTCGAAGGCCCTCAAGATTCCTGCCCCATCCCTGACCCCCTTGTATGTGCACGGCAAAGATGAAGAGATTTTGTAAATGTAATGAAGATCTCTGATCAGTTGACTGTCAATTATTTAAAGGGGAGATCATCTTGGGTGGGCCTGACTTAATCAAGTGAGCTCTTCAAAAGACAGTCTGGAAGTCAGAGGCTGAGAAGTCAGAGATTTAGAGCAGCAAAGATGCTCTTCTCTTGGCCTTGAAGAAGCAACTGCAAGACCTATAACCATAGGGAACTGAATTCTGCCAACAACCAGTGAGCTTGGAAGAGGACCCCGGCCTTGGATGAGATGGAAGCTCAGGCTGCAGCTTGCTTTCAACCTGGCAAGACTTTGCAGAGAGGACCCAAGCTAAACCGTATCTAGACTCCTGACCCAGGGAAGCTGTGAGATGACTCATCCGTGTTGTGTTAAGCTGCCACATTTGTGGTCATTTGTTACATAGCAATGGAAATCCAACATATCCTAAATGTTTATTTTAATGTAATATAACTGGTATTACAATCATGAACATGGGCATGGTGGGAAGAAGAGAAGCAATATATTGGACTTAAACTGAACTGCTGGTGCTTGAATCTAGATCTATTTACCAGCCGAGAAAACATGGATGAGTTACGTAACTTGTCTGTGCTTCAGTTTCCCCAGCAGGGATGATGACAATAACAGCAGCTTGCAGGTCACTGTGAGGAATAAATGGTTCAATATCTACAAGGCACTTATGATATTGCCTGGCACATAGTAAGTGCTGTGCGAATGTCAATCTTGCAGTTAGTTTTGGGTCAGAGATGTGACAGGAACCTCAGGAGACACTGATGGTTGCAGGGGAACAACCCCATATACAGCAGTCCCCAGTCTTTTTGGCACTAGGGACCAGTTTCGTGGAAGACAATTTTTCCCTGGACCCAGGGTATGGAGGGATGGTTTTCGGGATGAAACTGTTTCACTTTGGATCATCACCATAAGGAGTGTGCAACCCAGATCCCTCACATGCACAGTTCACGATAGGGTTCGCACTCCTATGAGAATCTAATGCTGCCGCTGATCTGCCAGGAAGTGGAGCTCAGGCAGTAATGCTCCCTCGCCCACCGCTCACCTCCTGCTGTGCCACCTGGTTCCTAACAGGCCATGGATGGGTACTGGTCCATGGCCCGGGGGTTGGGGACCCCTGCCATGTAAGACACACTATGTTAATACCTTTTATTCTGGACTCCTGAGCTTGCTGCTACTGTCTTTTCATTGTAATCTTAACTGTCAGGTCAAGCATTACCTTTAAAAAGTCCTTTTGAAGAATGTACCTGATGCCAAGAGCTTGGCTACTGACCCAAGCGGGAACTTCTCTTTTAAAACCAAAATACAATGGAACACTTGAGAGATCCAGTTAGACAATCAAGTCTCAAAATAAATGCAAACACGATGAATTGCCAGTGTTCAAAGGTGGAATCAGTGTCTAGGCCCTTAGCGGTTTTATTCTACTCCAGCCCTGGAACTGATGGATTTCTGACTCATTAATACCAACACCACAGGCTGGCTGGGCAACTGCAGGCTGTCCCAGCTGAGGGAGTTTTGCTGTCTGGTAACAAACTCATTAGAGAGAAAGAATTTTGTCATTTTTGTAAGAAAAAGATAAACTAAAGCATTTGACTTAGAGAAATTTTAGAAGTTGGGGGAAACTTCTGTTCTAATCCCATCTCTGTCCCTCATTAGTGGCCCGGTGACATCCTTTCTGAAGTTAGCTTCCTGATCTGTAAAACAAAAGGATCCCCTTCGAGAGACAGGGCATCACCACTCCCTCTGAAATCCACCAAAGAACAAAGGCCAAAATAAAGAAAAAATTATTCCACCGTGATATTACTAGAGAATGGCCACAATCTCACACCACGTATTTAAAAGATATTCATTCATACATACACATTTCATCCATTCAACAAATATTTACTGAGTGCTGCTGAGGTGCCAGCACCGTTCTAGATGCCAGGAGCTCTGGCTGCCAGATACGAAGAAATCTGATCCAAAAGAAAGGAGAGGACCAGGGTCTGACATCTTTTTCCTCTGATTCAAAGCAGGTACAGATTTAGAAATGCAAATGGAAGCGTACACAGAGGAAGTGTTGTAAAGAATGTAACCCTGCCCAAAAGAGGTCTCCTCTGTGTGCTGGGCTTCTGGGAGGTAATCTCTAAACTCCTTGGAATGTCATGCCTGATAGGAATGTTTTTGTTTCTCTGAGTGCCTTGGGTCACTCCAGATAGTCTAACAATGTGATTTAGGGTGGGGCTTTGGGTCACATGGTATCAGCTCCACCTCTGGAGGGGCTAGAGACTGAGATCCGTGACATGCGTATTCCACCGGGCCTAGTGATACAGCCCTAATAAAAGCTCTGAACACTGAGGCTTGAGTGAGCTTCCCTGGTGGGAAATCCTTTGTGTATATTGTCAAACATAATTACTGGGAAAGTCGCACTCTACCTAATTCCACTGGAAGGAGACAACCAGAAGCTCCATGCTTAGAACTTTCCTGGACTCTGCTGCATGGGCCTCTTCCTTTGGCTGATTTTAATCTGTAGCCTTTTGCCATAATAGATCATAATTGTGAGTATACGAGTTCATTGAGTTCTGTGAGTCTTTCTAGTGAATTATCAAATGCAAGGGTGGTCTTGGGAACCCTCAAACTTGCAATTGTTGTCAGACGTGAGGGTAGTCTTTGGACAACTGCTTCCTAATGTTACAGGGTCCCTTTCCATGCATATGGAATAAGAAATGATATATTAGTCTGTTCTTATACTGCTATAAAGAACTACCTGAGGCCGGACGCGGTGGCTCACGCCTGTAATCCCAACACTTTGGGAGGCCGAGGTGGGCGGATCACGAGGTCAGGAGATCGAGACCATCCTGGCTAACACAGTGAAACCCCGTCTCTACTAAAAATACAAAAAAAATCAGCCGGGCGTGGTGGTGGGCGCCTGTAGTCCCAGCTACTTGGGAGGCTGATGCAGGAGAATGGCGTGAACCCGGGAGGCGGAGCTTGCAGTGAGCTGAGATCATGCTACTGCCCGAAAGGCTCCTTCTCAAAAAAAAAAAAAAAAAAAAAGAAAGAAAAGAAAAAGAAAAAGAAAAAGAAAGAACTACCTGAGACAGGGTAATTTATAAAGAAAACAGGCTTGGCCAGGCGCAGTGGCTCACGCCTGTAATCCCAGCACTTTGGAAGGCCAAGGCAGGCAGGTCACCTGAGGTCAGGAGTTAGAGACCAGCCTGGCCAACATTGTGAAACCCCATTTCTACTAAAAATACAAAAAATTAGCCAGGCATGGTGGCACGCACCTGTAATCCTAGCTACTCGGGAGGCTGAGGCAGTAGAATCACTCGAACCTGGGAAGCGGAGGTTGCAGTGAGCTGAGATTGTGTCATTGCACTCCAGCTTGGGAAACAACAGCAAAACTCTGTCTAAAACAAAAAGGAAACAGGCTCAATTGACTTATGGTTCTGCAGGCTGTACAAGTAGCACAACAGGGGAGGCCTCAGGAAACTTTCAATCATGGTGGAAGGTGAAGGGAAGCAGGCACATCTTCATGTAGTGGAGCACAAGAGAGAGCGTGAAGGGGAAGGTGCCACACACTTTTAAACAACCGGGTCTCGTGAGAACTCACTCACTGTCACGAGAACAACAAAGGGAAAATCTGCCCCCATGATCCAATGGCCTCCCACCAGGCCCTTCCTCTGAAACTGGGGATTACAATTTGACATGAGGTTTGGGTGGGGACACAGAGCCAAGCCATATTAAACAGTGAGCAAGACACGAACGAAAAAGGAGATGTGTTGCTTGGGGCCAGGAAGGTAGGGTTGAAGGAGATCTCCCAAAGCTGTCTTCATTTGGCCTCACTCAATTTCATAACTGGAAAACCTTTCCAGATGACCTACTGGTCCCAAAGTGGAGGGACAGCCAAAACCAGAAGAGAACCCCCCTTCCGTGGGATGAGAGGCGTGCAAAGAGGGATGATCAGAGACAATGCATTTAGGATCCTTTCTACTGCTACCTCCTTCCCATCTTTCCATGCAGGCAGATATCACTGTCAGAGGCTGCCATCAATGACCTGCCTTGCAACTTAAATTCCAAGTACATTTTACACACCACTCAGGAAAAAAAGGCAAACAATTCAGGATAATTTTCAAACAAAATTATTGGGCAAATAATAAGCTGGAATAGAATGTTTCATTGAAGACGAATAATATGCCTCACTATCCACCTCCCACCCCAAAAAGATTTCTATTCATTGAGAAAAGAGAAAGAGAAAAAGAGAAAAGAGATAGAGAAAACAGATAAAGATAGGAAAAAATAAAGATCAAGTATAAATTAGATAAAGAACATTCTAAAAGAAGAATCTCTCTAGGAAACAGGATACTTTTTTTGGTTAAGCTTCTCTATAGATTAAGACTGTAAAATTTTACAAAGCATACTTGAAAAGAGATAACACCACAGGCTGATAGTAATAAAATCTAACGGCCAGGGATGGTGGCTTATGCCTGTAATCCCAACACTTTGGGAGGCCGAGGCAGGTGGATCACTTGAGGCCAGGAGGTCAAGACCAGCCTGGCCAACATGGTGAAACTCCGTCTCTACTAAAAACATAAAAATTAGCCATGCATGGTGGTGGGCGCCTGTAATCCCAGCTTCTCCAGAGGCTGAGGCATGAGAATCACTTGAAGCCGGGAGGCAGAGGTTGCAGTGAGCCGAGATGGCGCCATTGCACTCCAGCCTGGGTGACAGAGCAAGTCTTGTCTCAAAAAAATAAATAAAATTAAAAAATACAGAAAACTAACATCTACTGAGTATTTACTATGTTTCAGATACTGTTCTTAGTGGTTTACATGTATTATTAGCCATTTGAAACTGGCAACATTATTGCTATCCCTCTATTACATATGGCGACATTAAGACATTAAATAACTTTCCTGGCCAGGGATGCAGTGGCTCACACCTGTAATCCCAGCACTTTGGGAGGCCAAGGTGGGTGGATCACCTGAGGTCAGAAGTTCAAGACCAGCCTAGTCAACATGGCAAAACCCCATCTCTACTAAAAATACAAAAATTAGTTGGGTGTGGTGGCATGCGCCTGTAATCCCAGCTACTCAGGAGGCTGAGGCAGAAGAATCACTTGAACCCAGAAGACAGAGGTTGCAGTGAGCCAAGTTTGCGCCACTGCACTCCAGCCTGGGCGACAGAGGGAGACTCCCTCTCCAAAAAAAAACTTTCCTAAAAGTCACTTGTTAGTGGTGGAACTGAGCTGCAACCCCATATGGTTTGATGGTTTGGCTCTTAACCTCTATCCTATCCTACCTGAAATGTTAAATTTTTATCAAATAGATCACAATAAAAACCTACATGAATTCCAAGAAGAATCTGTACTGGTTACATTGTCTGACTGTAATGAAATAGAATAAGTAGTAATTATTGAAGAATAACTTCACTACTCTATCCCAATAACTTAAAAATCTGAACAAAATAGACAATTTTCTAAGAAAATATGTTATTCAAAATAAGTTTTAAAGAAGAAGGCAAATTCAAGTTAGTAACAACAAGGAAAACAATGGGATAAATTGAGAAGGAAAATTGTCAGCCTGGCGTGGTGGCTCACACCTGTTATCTCAGCACTTTGGTAGGCTAGTGCCGGAGAATCACTTGACCCCAGGAGTTCGAGGCTGCAATTAAGCTATGATTGTGCCACTACACTGCAGCCTGGGCAACAGAGTGAGACTCTGTCTCTTAAAAAAAGAAGAAAAGAAAAGAAAAAAAAAAAAGAAGAAGGAAACTGTTAAAGTGCCAGGCCTAGAGAGTTTTATGTATGAATACTTCAAGGAACAGATTAATTTTGATGCTATTCAACTATTACAGAGCATTACAAAATAAGGAAGACTTTTTGCTCTCCTAATAGCCTGTTAAGCCAGAATTACAGTGATGACGGTGATGCTAAAAGCTGATGAGTGTGGCAGATGTACATACTCACCTGTGCGTGCACACAGCCTATGTGTCAGATCAGATGCTCTGAGCTGTGTGTAACAGGATCCTTGAGTAAGAGTCACTTAAATACCAGGCCGTTTCTGGTCAAACCAAACACCACTCAAAGCCTAGGAGTAGGTGTTTTCATTGTTAGGTCAAGCATTTAATGAGGCCCTGTGGGACCACAGCTCCAGGAGTTCTGCTCTTAGAGGAGATAGGATAGCAGGACTAGATAGGTGGATGAGGAGCCACAGCCAAGTCCAGAAATCAAGCTGTGTGGCCCATGCCACACTGACTGCCTGAGCCTACCACTGTCCCTTTCCATGGTTCTTTTGCCGTGATGTGTTGATGCTCTGTTCCGACTGATTGGGGAGTATATCTTGTATCTGTGTTTAAAAAGTTTGATATCACCCTGAATATACCAAGTAGTTTTGGAAATGTAGTATCCTAAAATTGGCATCTCAAATCAGCAGAAAAAAAGATGATTTATACAGATAACTGTTTCATTGTTTAGGACAAAGTAAAGCTAATTCCCGGCCTTACCTGTCCTAGTGATCATTACTAATAATCCAAAGATTAAAATGTTAAAAAAGAGAAAGAAAACCTCAGATTACTAGAAGAAAACAAGGATGAATCATCTTTAAAATCTTGGAATGAAAAAGACCTTTCTAAGCACAATGTGAAAACTAGAAGCAATAAAGAAAACATTTGACACATTTGACAACTTAAAAAAAGGAAACTTTCTGTATGGAAAAAATGGCATCCTAAAAAAAGTCGAAAGCCAAGAAATAAAAAATCAAAATATAAAAACACTGCAAAAATGTATTTGCAATACATTTGACAGCTAAGGAGTTAATTTCCCTTATGCACAAATCCATGAGCGCTCTTACAAATTGGGGTCCAATAATTAAGAAAACGTCCACACCATCACTAATACTTGATACATTTAAATCTCATCTTTGTTTTATTTGTTTGTCCACTAGATAATACTCAGTGTTGGATAGGGTATGGGAAAGTGGGCACATTCATATGTTTGCTAATATAACTTTTTAGGAGGATAATTTGTCGAATTCATTACAACTTAAAATATTTATACCTATTGGCAGATTCATTCCCGGAAGCATCGTGTGTAGCTTCACAAAATTGGAAACAACTCAAATATCTATTGACAGGAGATCAATGAGACAAATTAGAGTACATATATTAATCCAACCAAATGTTGATTGTCTACTATCTGATGATACTTGCATTCTCATGGAAGGAAATGCAAACAGCTAAACAAATAGCCACACAAGGTTTGTAATAACTGCTTTGAAGGAAATCAACGTATTATGTTATAGAGTAAGCATTGGCAACATATGGCCCATGGACCTAACCTGGCCTGCCACTTGTTTTTGTGTAGTTGGTGATGTAGTTTGAATGTTTATCCCCTCCAAATCTCATGTTGAAATGTAATCCCCAATGTTGGGATGGGCCTGGTGGGAGGCCCCACCTCCAACATTGGGATTATAGGGGTGGATCCCTCATGAATATCTTGGTGCTGTCCTCATGACAATGAGTGAGTTCTTGCTCTGAGTTCACATAAGATCTGGTGATTTAAAAGACTGTGGCATCTCCTCTCTCTGTCTTGCTCCTGCCCTCATCTTCCACCATGATCAAAAGCTTCTTCAGGCCCTCACCAGGAGGAGATCCTGGAGCCATGCTTCCTGTAAAGCCTGTAGAACTGTGAGCCAATTAAACCTCCTTTCTTTAAAAATTACCCAACCTCAGGTACTTCTTTATAGGAACGCACAGATGGACTAATACAGCTTGCGAGTTAACAATGATTCTTATATTTTTAAATGGTTGTTAAAAAATCAAAAGATGAATATTATTTCATGATGTGAATATTACATGGCATTTGTACTCCTACTATGTACCCAAAAAAATTTAAAAATTTTAAAAACCGTAAAAAAAGAAAATTATATGGCCTTTCAAATTTCAGTGTTCTTAAATAAAATGCAATCGGAATGCAGCCATACCTATCTGTTCGCATGTTGTCTGCATCTGCTTTTCACTGCAGTGGTAGAGTTCAGTCGTTTCTCTAGAGACTGTCTTATAAAGCCTAGAATATTTACTTGTCTGGCCCTTTGCTGGAAAAGATTTCTAACCCCTGTTTTAGAAGGAATAGATAACGAAGGGCCCCGGAGAAATGAAAATATATGTCTACACGAAACTTGTACATGAATGTTCACTGCAGCATTATTCATAAGAACCCCAAAGTGGAAATGACCCAAATTCCTATCAACTGATGAACAGATAAGTAAAATTTATCAATCCATTTGTTTGATAAATAAATGGATGGATAAATAAACAAAATGTGGTATAACCATACAATGGAATATTATCAAACCATGAAAAAGATTGAAGTACTGTTTCATGCTACAACATGAATGAACCTTGAAAACACGCTAAGTGAAAGAACCCAGTCTCAAAGGAATGTATATTGTATGATTCCATTTATATGAAATAAGCAGAATAGGAAAGTCTATACAGACAGAAAGTAGATTGGTGGTTACCTAGGCCTGGGGGGATTGGGTGGAAATGGGGAGCAATTGCTAATGGGGCCTATGGAAATGTTCTAAAATTGATTGTGGTGATAGCTGCACAACTCTGTACATATGCTAAAAGTCATTAAATTGTACACACAAATGGGTTAATTGTATGGTATGTGAATAGTATCTCAATAAAGCTGTTTTAAAAAGAGTGGAGCATATTGGGGGAACCACCCCCGATAATTCAACATAATTTCACGTAGGTTCTTTTCTATTTCCCTAAGTGCCAGCCAGTCTGAGAAATAAAGGGAAAGAGTACAAAAGAGAGAAATTTTAAAGCTGGGTGTCTGGGGGAGACATCACATGTCAGCAGGTTCCGTGATGCCCCCCAAGCCGCAAAACCAGCAAGTTTTTATTAGTGATTTTCAAAGGGGAGGGAGTGTAGGAATAGGGTGTGGGTCACAGAGATCACATGCTTCACAAGGTAATAAAATATCACAAGGCAAACGGAGGCAGAGCGAGATCACAGGACCAGGGTAAAATTAAAATTGCTAATGAAGTTTCGGGCACGCATTGTCATTGATAACATCTTATCAGGAGACAGGGTTTGAAAGCAGACAGCCAGTCTGACTAAAATTTACTAGGCAGGAATTTCCTTGTCCTAATAGGCCTGGGAGCGCCACAGGAGAACAAGACTTATTTCTTCCCTTATCTGCAGCTGTATAAGACAGACATTCCCAGAGCGGCCATTTTAGAGACCTACCCCTAGGAACTCATTCTCTTTCTCAGGGCTGTTCCTTGCTGAGAAAAAGAATTCAGTGATATTTCTCCTATTCGCTTTTGTAAGAAGAGAAATATGGCTCTGTTCTGCCCAGCTCTCAGGCAGTCAGACCAATGGTTATCTCCCTTGTTCCCTGAACATCGCTGTTATCCTATTCTTTTTTCAAGGTGCCCAGATTTCACATTGTTTAAACACGCATGCTTTACGAACAATTTGTGCAGTTAACGCAATCATCACAGGGTCCTGAGGTGACATACATCCTCAGCTTACGAAGATGATGGGATTAAGAGATTAAAGTAAAGGCAGGCATAGGAAATCACAAGAGTATTGATTGGGGAAGTGATAAATGTCCATGAAGTCTTCACAATTTATGTTCAGAAATTGCAATAAAGACAGGAATAAGAAATTTTTTTTTTTTT
Organism: Homo sapiens; assembly: GCF_000001405.40. NCBI lineage: Eukaryota > Metazoa > Chordata > Mammalia > Primates > Hominidae > Homo > Homo sapiens. The sequence goes on along the minus strand of NC_000018.10, from coordinate 47,960,709 downwards.
TTTTGAGACAGAGTTCACTCTTGTTGCCCAGGCTGGAGTGCAATGGCTCAATCTCGGCTCACCGCAACCTCCGCCTCCTGGGTTCAAGCACTTCTGCCTCAGCCTCCCTAGTAGCTGGGATTACAGGCATGCACCACCATGCCCGGCTAATTTTGTATTTTTAGTAGAGACAGGGTTTCTCTATATTGGTCAGGCTGGTCTCGAGCTCCCGACCTCAGGTGATCCGCCTGCCTCGGCCTCCCAAAGTGCTGGGATTACAGGCGTGAGCCACCACGTCCAGCCAGGCATAATAAATTATAAAAGTATTAACTTGGGGAACTAATAAATGTCCATGAAATCTTCACAATTTATGTTCTTCTGCCATGGCTTCAGCCGGTCCCTCCATTTGGGGTCCCTGACTTCCTGCAACAGGAGCATGCAACGGGTTTGGGAGCTACTTTAGATAGGGTTTTGGGAAAAGCCTCTCCAAGGATGTAATGTTTGAATTATGACTTCAAGGAAGAGAAAAGGCAGGAGAAGAATATTCCACTCAGAGGAAATAATAAAAGCAAAAGTCCTGACGCAGGAAGAAGCTTGTCTTGTTTGAGAAACAACAAAGCCAAGCATGGCTGCTGCATCGTATTCTGGTGGGAGAACATGAGGTCAGAAAAGCAGGCAGGGTCTAGACCATCTAGCTCCTGTGGGAGCTACTCAGGAAGGCAAAGAGTAGGATGGTGGTTATCAGAGACTTGGAAGGCAAGAGGGGAGGGGGAAATGAAAAGAAGTTTCTTAGTGGGTACAAAAATAGAGTTAGATAGAAGGAATAAGTTCTAGTATTCAACAGTATGATAGGGTAATTATAGTTAATTTATCGTATATTTAAAAATAGCTAGAAGAATTTTAATGTTTCCAACACTGAGAAAAGATAAATGTTTGAGGTGTTGGATATCCCAATTACCTTGATTTGATCATTGTATGCATGTGTCAAGTATCACTTATATCACACAAATATGTGCAACTATGATATATCAATAAAGAAAGAATCGAGCTATAGTGGGAGATTGAATCAGCTCTCTCTGAAGAAGGTGGCTGTGTGTAGGAGAAGGAGTTGCTTGAAAATCTGCTGGTCTATTAAGAAGGATCTGGGTGGGTAAACAACAATGTCTGCTGTGATAATAACCACACAGGAAGATGCTGAGCCCTTGCCATGTGTCAGGCATTTATTCCTCCCAGCATCTTTTGAGATCGGCACTAATAATCTCTGACTCAAGTTACATATGAGAAACTGGAAGTTTAGTGAGGTTAACTACCCAATCCTAGGTCTCAGAGATAAGTAAATGGGAGAGTTGAGATTTGAACCCAGGTCTCCCAGAAGCCAAGGTTTGTGTTCTTTTTTTTTTTTTTAGACACAGTCTCACTCTGTTGCCCAGGCTGGAGTGCAGTGGTGCAATCTCAGCTTACTGCAAGTTCCATCTCCCAGGTTCATGCCATTCTCCTGCTTCAGTCTCCACAGTAGTTGGGACTACAGGCGCCCGCCACCATGCCCGGCTAATTTTTTTTTTTTTTTTTTTTTTAGTAGAGACAGAGTTTCACCATGTTAGCCAGGATGGTCTTGATCTCCAGACCTCGTGATCTGCCCACCTCGGGCTCCCAAAGTGCTGGGATTACAGGCATGAGCCACCGCACCCAGCCAAGGTTTGTATTCTTTACAGCATCATCAAACTGTACCCCTCTCCCCCAAGCAAAAATGGAAAGCCATGTAGGCTAAAGTGGTTGGGAAAAGCTTTATGGAGGAGGCTGGATTTGAGGTAGACCCAGAAACAGAGATAAAAGGAGGCAGAGGGCAGCCCGGAAGAGATGATCAATGTGAGCTAAGATGCAAAGGCTGGAGAACACAAGAGATATGCAGAACACATTGGTGAATTCACCTGTTAGTTTTGAGGGCTCAGTAAGAGAGTAGTGGGATGAAGTCTAGAATGGTACATGGGAGCCAAATTCTGGCAGTCTCAAATGCCATCCTGTCTGGTGGGTGGCATAGAGACATGAAATGTTCTGAGCAGAGGAGTGACAAGGTCACAGTGTAGGTGATAAAGAGGAGTATGGTAGTGAGAGGTAGGAGTAGAATGGGGAAGACACTGAAGGCATGGACTAGAATTAGGGGGCTGTTGCCATCCTTTACCTCTGAGGAATATGGCTTTTACCTTTAAGTGGGGGTAGTGACTGTGGTTGCCCCCCAAAAATAGCTGAACATATGAATTATTTCCATGCAATAAATAGTTGGACTTGGTATTTGAACACAGCATGGAGCTTAGGAGAGGAAGAAATCAAGGAGGATTCCAAGGCTTGGATGACAGAAATAGGGAAGCTTCTAGAATTAGATACGGTAAAGTGTATACAGAAAAGAACAAAAGGCTAAGGATTCCCTCAACCTTGGAGAGTATCACATGTGTAGAAGGTATGCAGACCCTGCTAGTTGCCAACCTGGTATCCACCTGATTTTCTTTACTAACTTAACCCTCAGCAGCAATGGTCCTGCTTCCAAAAATACATTTCCCAGCTCCTTTGCAGTGAGGATGAGTATGTGACACCGTCTCTGGTTATGAGACCTAAGTGGAAGCGTGCTGGGGATTTCTGGGAAGGTTTTTCTTTTCTCATGTAAATGACAGCCTTTCCTCCTTGTGGTTTCCCCTCATTCTGCCTGGATGGAGGACCGGAGGCAAGAGGTTGAACAGCCATTTTGCAGTCATGGCTAACCATGAAGACAAAAGCCACCTGCTAAGGATGAGAGAGCAGAAAGATAGAAGCTGCCTGGGAAACTGGGAACATTGCAAAGCCATTGTGCCAGTCCTGGATTGTCTACCTGTGCACTTCATGTGAAATAAGAAAAACGAGGCCAGGTATGGTGGCTCACACCTGTAATCCCAGCACTTTGGGAGGCCAAAGTGGGAGGATAGTTTGAGCCCAGGAATTTGAGACCAGCCCAGACAACGTAATGACACCCCATCTCTACAAAAAAAAAAAATTAACTGCTGTTAATTTTCGTGGTGGTGTGTGCCTATAATCCCAGCTGCTGGGGAGGCTGAGATGGGAGGATCACCTGAGCACAGGAATTTGAGGCTGCGGCGAACCATGATTCTGCCACTGTTCTACAGCCTGGGTGAGAGAGAGAGACCCTGTCTCAAAAAAAAAAAAAAAAAAAAAAATCTAGCTAAGCACAGCAGTTCACGCCTGTAATCCCAGCACTTTGGGAGGCCAAGGCAGGTAGATCATCTGAGTCAGGAGTTCAACCAACCTGGCCAACATGGTGAAACCCCATCTCTACTAAAAATATAAAAAATTAGCCAGGCATGGTGGCAGGTGCCTGTAATCCCAGCTACTTGGGAGGCTGAGGCAGGAGAATCGCTTGAACCCGAGAGGCAGAGGTTGCAGTGAGCTGAGATTGCGCCATTGCACTCCAGCCTGGGCAACAAGAGTGAAACTCCATCTAAAAAAAAAAAGATCTTTATTTTGTTAAGCCTCTGTAGTAGGGGTACTATTATATGAAGCTAAATGTAATTCCTGGCTGATACAGTGAGTTAGGAAACAAAGGAGAGAAAAGGAGTGATCAGATAAGTAAGAGGAGAGCCAGAAAAGTTCAGTTCACAGGAGCTGATGGAATAGAGTCTGGACCCAAAGAGGACTTTCGCTAAAGGTTGTAGAGTGGGTGAGATGGCAGAGAGGGTGTTCTAAGGACAAGCTCACCAGACCAGAGCCATCAGTGAGATGGTGAGACTGGCAGTGTCACTGGTATGGAGTAGAGAAATGGTCCAGGGAGTCAAGGGGGCAGAAATACATGCACTGTCAGGTAGTTGAAATGAATGTTGAAAGGAACTGGGATGAGGGCAGGAAAGGTAGAAAGAATGAGAGTCAGGTGCCAAAAAGCTATCGAGGAGCCTAGGAATGGGTCCCAGAAAGCAGGACTCGGTGTTGCCTTTAAAGACAGTACTAGCCAGCACCTAGGCAGGGTTTCCCAGCTTGTCATATTCTTGGAGATGTCACAGCAACTCAGTTGGTTTCCATTTATCCTTAATTGACCAGATGTTCAGTAACAGGCTCTCATTCTCCTGATTAATAAAGTTGGACCTAGAAAGCTGTGTGACTACTGACTAATTTCCTGGGAAGTACGTCCTTCCGAGGATCGGCATGCTCAGAATTATGCCTGTTTTTCACAGATACCTGTACTTGATTTCCAGGTAACTGGGAAACCAGATCCATTGTCAGAAGCTTGCTGAATGAGCCCAGAACCGGAATGAAAACACTCCTGCTTGGATGCATGCGCTTTCTCAGAAGTGGTAGTGCAGATGAATCTCCTGCCGCCTCTCTCCATCTGGACTGTGTACGCGTCTCTCAGTGCTGGGCCCTAAGTCTTTCTTTAATCACACAGTGCCCCTTAGAGCTGCTGAGGTTATGGCTTTCTTCACGCTCTGATCCAAGCCTAAGGATAGCCACTGGTCCCCTGGACAGGTCTGATGTAGGTGTGTCCGTTGTCTTCTCAGCAACTAATTTAAAAGCCACCTATAGCTAGGTGGAGAGACTCTGTATCTGGTTATTCTCATCAGCTGTGCACTGATTAGCATCATTTTCACTGTCACAGGGTGATAATTATCCAGCTTCATCCTCAAAATCAGGGTGGGGGGCACATCACTGAAAGCCCTGTGAGCCCAAGACAAACGTGGATAATCATTTTAGTTCTTACCAAATTGATACCATAACTTCAAATCACAGAATCAGCACAACTCCTAATGGTGGCCAAGCAGTCTTTTCAGAGGCTACCCATGAACTTCCAGGAGCCACAGGGGGGTGCTGGGCTGAGGTATCAGCCCACCAATGCTTAGACCTGCTCCTTTCTGCATCGGTGGGCGTGGGATGGTCTTTGCTGCACAGAAGGCAACAATTTGGCTGGTGGTTGGGAGGTGCAGTTTTTGGCTCAGAAAATATGGCCGCTAAACCCATAGGGTAACACTTGTTCTGAGTTTTCTCAAGGAAAGTCAGGAAATATTTGGAAAAGGTAAGCAAGGCACAAGCCACACCCTTCAGTCTCTAGGCCTGACTGTGTGCTTATTGCTCTGTGTTGGTCAGGCCCCAGCTGCGTCACTGCAGCCAGGTCTTAATGCCTCTCTTTCAGACAATGTGGCAGCAAGGTACCTGCCCAGGACAGTGGAGATGTGGACACCTGGGTGCTGGTAGAGCAGTGGAACGCCCTGGAGAAGGACAGCCTGGAGACAAAACTTGAGGTAACACAGCAGCAGCCATCAGTATCGTCAAAGGGCCACTAGGAAGTCAAGTTTTAATATAAAACTAACTTGGGTGCAGTGACACATGCCTGTCATCCCAGCTACTTGGGAGGCTGAGGCAGGAGGATACCTTAAGCCCAGGAATTCGAGGCTGCAGTGAGCTATGATTTTGCCTGTGAATGACTACTGCACGCCAGCCTGGGCAACACGACGAGGTCCTATCTCTAAAAAAAAAAAAAAAAAAGAATTAAAAAAATATATATAAGACTGGGATTTAAATGCCCTAGAAGTAAAATGTCTTATTTTTAGAGGAGGAGGGATGCCTGTGGAGCTTAAGCACAGGTTAGGTGACGCTGTCAGGAAGAATGTGAAAGGGATTCTTTTCCTGAGCAAAAAGACCACATGATTCTAAGGTCTCTTCCAACTCTGAGATGCCAGGTTCTGATACCTAATATATGGCAATTGATGGGACTTATACAGGGAGTATCCAGTATTTATATATTTGGTGTGCTTACTTATCTCCGATCATTAGTTGTTAAAATCCTCCCAGCCATAACTTTGACAGGAATAGAAACGACAGTTTTTGTTGACTGTAAATGGACACAGAATACCGTGGCTTTGGAGATAAATTTTAAAGCACTAGGTATATTTGGCATCAGAAATACATGGCTATCTTGTTCATGCATGCTAATACGGAACAATAGTCAAGAGATGTTAAATGAAGATGAAGCAAGGATAACAGTGTAAAGCGCACACCTCCGGCTGGGCGCAGTGGCTCACACTGGTAATCCCGGGAGGCAGAGGTGGGTGAATCACTTGAGGCCAGGAGTCCGAGACCATCCTGGCCAACATAGTGAAACCCCATCTCTACTAAAAATACAAAAAAATTAGCTGGGCATGGTGGTGCGTGCCTGTAGTCCCAGCTACTAGGGAGGCTGAGGCACAAGAATCACTTGAACCCGGGAGGCGGAGGTTGCAGTGAACCAAGATCATGCTACTGCATTCCAGCCTTGGTGACAGAGCCAGACTCTTGTCCCAACCTCAATTTCAAAAAATGACATATATGTATATAAATATGTATACTTGTACATTCATGGAATAACTCCAGAAAGATATCCAAAAATCCGATACCAGTGTTTTGGTCACTGAGTGGCTGAAGGTAAGAAAAATAATTACTTTCTACTGGTTACTATTTTTGTCCTTTTTGACTTCTGTACACTGTGCTTGTATAACCTATCAATAATAATAATAATAATGATAATGAACCTTAGCTGACTTACCAAGAAACCACAGTTACTGGTAGGCACAGGGGAAGGGTAGGGAGGCTGTGGAAAGGGCAGCCTTTGGGGGGCCCAGGGAGAAGAAAGTCTGTATTTAAATACAGTTCAATCCTGCCCACATTTAGAAATCATTTGCAGTGAATTCCATGTGGGACTAGATTAGTTTGAACTTGAGCCACCCTCGAGTGGATCATAAAAGTGAAAGGGGGGTTCATGACTGTTCATGGTAACAAGTGATTACTTTGGGCTGTGGATATTTTCCTCAAATGCTCTAGTCTTCCTGGATGAACAGCTGGGTGCCTGGGTCCTGTCCTCATTCTGCCACTGCTAACAGTGTGACCTTGGGTAACAGACTCTGTTCTCTAGGCCTCTTGGAGAAGTAATGAGCTCACAAATGTATTGTCTAATTTATTCTGTCTGAACCAGGGTGTGGATGTGGAAACACCACTGCAGAGCAATGAAAACCAAAGGCTGGTCTTGAGGAACTAGAGAGTGTATCAAGGAAACCACAGCAGAGTTGGGCTAAGCCTCGAGAGAATTACCATATCCTGTTTTCTGTCGGAGCCTGGCCAGACCCTTTGCCAGGTTCCAGTGAATCACCAAATCACTCTGGGCACGGCTCAATGCACAGATGGTGCTGGGAGCTGGGAGAGCCGCGTTAGGCGGTAAATCTCTCCTGCACTAATCCTAGGAAGCATATGCTTAATTAGGCAAGGGTGTGTTGGACTTCCAGAGTACAGATAATTGAAAATCAGTGGAGATGGCTTGTTTTCACCTAAAAAAAAAGATGAAATATATGGGTAAGTGACAAAATTAAGGAGGCCCAAATTTGTTAATCTTTGAATTTTTATTGTACACTTAACTTTACAGAAAATAATTTTAACTGAAACGTTACCCTAGAGTCTCTTCTGATCTTGTTTGATATATAAACACATTTTATTATTTATTTATGTATTTATTTAGAGACAGGGTCTTGCTCTGTTGCCCAGGCTGGAGTGCAGTGGCAATCACAGCTCACAGCAGCCTTAACTTCCTGGGCTCAAGTGATCCTCCCATCTCAGCCTCCTGAGTAGCTGGAACTACAGGTGAGCACCATCATGCCTGGCTTATTTATTTTTATTTATTTTTTATTTTTTAGTAGAGGCGAGGTCTTGCTGTGTTGCCCAGGCTGGTCTCAAACTTGTAAGTGCAAGCAATACTCCCACCTTGGCCTTCCAAAATCCTGGGATTACAGATATAAGCCACCTCGCCCGGCTACAAACACATTTTTTAAAATAGGTATTGTATTTTTTATTTCAGAGGTGATACATGTTTTTATAAAAGGGTAATTGTATTTTATATTATTTTTATAGACATTTGGAAACAGAAATATATACAGAAAAAATAGAACTCATGAAAGAGTGAAACAAAGAAAAAAGTACTGTGTTAGCAATGTTGCAGATTACTCAAGTCACACTTGGCTGGATTTTAAAATGTGGTTTCATTTTGGTTTAATATTGTACTGATATTCAATATTAATACATCATCAATATATTTCTGATATTCCCCGTGAGCACCTCCTCATTGGACAGTAAGGAGCCCTAAGGCTTCCCAGTGAATAGTATCCCATCTCCTCTGGTTTAAACAGGCTACTTTCAATTTATAAATTCTTACTTCTCAGAGACCAATCCCCCGTAAGGTGTCAGCTGCCCAGGGATTGTATCTGAACCTGTAACTGCTGAATAGTACCTACCCCGACCTGGCTTCTTGGGATTCTGCGCTAGCACATGTTGCTGGGGCCTTTGAGCCCAGCAATTTAGCCCCACTTGCTTCTGCTGGTCCCCTGACCTTCTCAGCACTGTTGCATTCCCTACCAGGGCATTTGGCTTCACATGGATCCTTTGCTGTCTGTGAGCAGACCATGGAGAGCCAGGAGCGCATGGTCCATCTAACTGCCTATCATCTGCCAAACCTGTCTCAGCTTCTTCCGTGCTCAAAGTAGCCACAGGTAGGGTTTCTACCCTACCTGTATTGTGTCCAGGGAAATGAGCTGCTAGCCCTGATGTCCTTGCACTTCCCCAAATCTATTTAGAATGTGTAAGTGCCTGCCTGGCATATGTGGAGAGGAAAATAATAGGGATCCAGCACCTGACCTTCTTGCACTACATCAGTCTTTCTCCTTTGTTCTTTCACCTGAGTAGGAAAGGTCTGTCTTTGGATGTTCTGCTGTCTCTGTATATGTATAAATATACACAGAGGATATTATACAGAGACAAACGTAGATATTATATAATAGATTATATATTATACGTTATATATTATATAATAGATTATATATTATCTATATTTGTCTCTCTATATCCTCTGTGTATATATAGGCATATATATAAGTATATACAGAGGATATTATATGTATTATATAGTTATATGTATAACTATATATGTATATAAATATATAAATTTATATATTACATTAAATATATTAATATATTTATGTAAATATACTTATATATTAAATAGATATATATTAAATATATTTATGTAAATATAATTATGTATTATATGAATATATTATATTTATGTAAATGTATGTTTATGTAAATATATTAATAATTATATATTAATATTATGTATCTATTTGTGTTTGTATAATATCCTCCTTGTCCCTTCTCCATCCTAGACTATAAGGTTAGCAGACATCACAGTTTAACTGTTACAGGCAGAGTGAAACTTTCTTCCACAGTGAAAGAGACTACAGAAATTTAGAAATCCTGTTTCTTCTGACAAAGTCTGTCTCTCCATGCTATAAAACCCAATTTTGGATATCAGAAGCAAATTATTAACTCTTGTTTTTTGTTACAGTAAGACTTCTATCTGCCCCACCTGACAGCCTCCCACCCCTAATTCCTCTCCTTCCCCTTTACCCAACACAGATGGATTTTGTAGGCTGATCATGGTAAGGTCAAATGCACAGAACCATTAAGGGTTGGGGGGAAGCACATTAATGTGCTTAGAAATATTACTCCAGCTACAACATCTTTAAATTGCAATGTTTTGGTAGTGACTAGGAAGATTAAACATTTTTTAAAACATCTCATGTTTTATAAATATGAAATATTTTATTACTTTATAACAGTTCTGTATATAGTAAGGCTATTAACTCTGCCTTGGTGCACATTTTTTTCTATACAATGTTTTTGGTCTTATAAAATTTCCATTTCTTTCATAAGTTTATGCTTAGAAAACTTGTCCCCAAACTCTATTTTCTTTCACATTTTTCAGTCACTAAAATTTTTATGATTTTATTTTTTCTCTTTAATATATTGGGAATCTATTCTAGGATATACTGGAAGGAGAAGATCTAACTTGATTACTTCTAAACTGCCAGTTTTCCCGGACTCATCTGATGAATATTCTAGAAACATAAGTATTTATATCACTGTATCTCATGCAGATGCACTTGTTTGTGCTTTTCATCACTTAACCATTTTTGAATGGCAAGCATATGTACAACCTCTTCTTTCCTTTCCAAATGAGTGGTTTCCCTCCTGTGTAATCTTTTTAGAAGGTTACTCAATTATTCTAAGGATGCTTCCATTGATGGAAGTTCTTTTCTGGTTTCCTTTGAAAATTATTTTTGGCAACAGCTTTTGAGCCGTATAGAAAACCAGTCTTATAGCTTACTAATACTTTTTTATTGAACCCCCCAATTACTGCAGCTTGATTACCTGATTTGCCAGGTAATGTGGCTCCAGATGACTCCTTCCTATTTCCAAAGAGCAAACACACTTTTAAAGCATGTTGAAGGAGAAAAGGATAACCTCAGTTCTGCTATGTTTGTTTTAAAATTAGTCATGACTTTTTAGTTGCATGTGACCAGGTGTATGTATGCACATACATGAATAAGGTTTAATCTTCCCGTTCTACATATTTGGCTGTAACTACAAATTAGGGTCATGTGCACTTGGGAGGAAGATGACTTTCTAAAGTTACTGGCCTCTAAGCAAGCTCAGAGGGCAAGAAGAACTCTTCCCTTCTCCCTCCAAGAAGAGACTCATTGGATTCACCTCCCATAGTGGGATCCGCCAATGGGGATAGTGAGTGATTCTTGGAAACAGATTAGCTCTCTATTTCAGTGGTAGAGGCCATGGTTCCATTTAATTTTTTTTTCCAGTGCCCTGTGTATTTCTAACAACAACACTGACTAAAGGAAAGAAATGCCAAAACTGATATCCCTCTGGATTTTATAGATTTCCTAATTTTCTAATTGCTACACTCCTGCCAACAAAACACAGTGAAAGAATGCCCCATGAGGAGAGGTCTCAGAACACACCACAGGATGGGACTACAAATTTCAGTGATTACAAACAATTAAAGCAGGCAGCCAACATGTAATTTTCTTTTTAGGCATGGACATAGAATGAGAAACGACTTACTGGGTTGGAATAGATAGACACAGAGCTGTTTCCCTTTGTGTAAAAATCATACTTGATCAAGTAGAGATTACAGCTAATGTGCCCTCCCCCATTTGCCTTTAAAATTGAGGGATGTGGAAATTAGTGAAATTAAATTCACAGCTGCATTATTTGCAAATAACAAAAATTCTATTTGATCCTGCAGATGCCAAAAAAGGAATGTTTTGGCTTGTGGAAAAAAAGAAAGAGTTGAACATCCAAACAATGGGAGAGGAAGGGATACACTTGAGTCTCTAGGAACAATTGGAATCATGACCCCAAATATAACTGGAACTATCTCCCTCTGTTCTGCATTTTGGCTTCTTTCCACGCATTGACTTCATCCTGTCTCACTGCAGACCAGCCTTTTCCATGTATCAGAGTGGACGTCTGCACTAAGCTCCTGAATTTTATTGTCTCTGTACTGGAGAGATACTGCCTGTCATATTGTTGGTAGTCTGAAGTTCAAAAATACTGCATTGGAGTTACTGCAAAAACCTAGGGGTGCCACATGCCCCATAAACATTGTAGATGTCAACAGTTTCCTAACACAGGGTATGAAGTGTCTTGAGGAAGGGCCACTTTTTTTCTAATTTACACAAAAGTGCCATATGGACTCATGGTGGCCCTGGGTAGAGTTCTGATGGACACAGGTTAGGTCAGATGCCCATTCCTGGTCCAATCACTTATGGCCATATGGTTGAGGTCCTCTAAGAATATGGTAGTCCCTATAAGATTCTTATAAGCAGAAGAGGAACAGTTTATAGAGAAGGGAGATGCGGTTCCCTGAAGAAAGGGATGTGCTGGCAGGCAAAATATTAATTGTCCACTATGCCACAGTAGGAGTTTGGTGAGCCTATTTTACATTTTCTTTCTCCTTTGAAAAAATTTCTTGCTTCTGTTGTTCTTTGCGAAATTTAAACCCTGATAGGGCAATGACTGAGGTTCCATATTTTTCCAGAGCCAGGGCAAATACTATTTGTTAAAGAATACACTAATTTATTTATTAGGCGATGCTATGGTTTGAATGCTGGTGTCCCTCTAAAATTCTTGTTGAAATTTAATCTCCAATGCAATGGTATTAAGAGGTGGGGCCTTAAAGAGGTGATTAGACCACTTCCTTCTTAAAAAATGGCAGGAACTTGAATACACTTTACCTATTGAACACTGTGCTCCTGATCTTCTTATTATTATTCAGAATATTAATTTACTCTCCCTTTTATAAGCACGGATCATCAGTTATTTTGATTTTTATTTCAGTCAATATTAATTAAATTTATGGAAACATATTTTCTTATTCTGTCCTCATAATATTTTCTTCTGTTCCATGTCTCTAGTTATCTTTCTTTCATTTTCTTCTTCCTTTCTTATTTCTTTGGATTAAAAGGCTTAAGTGTTCTCTTTTAGTGAGGTTTGAGGGTGGTAAACTCTCTCAGGTTATGTGTATGTACCTACATTTTGCCATCAGTTGAATGGCAGTTTAGCTGTGTATAAAATTCTAGCTTGCCAAATATATTTCCTTGCATTTTGAAGATATTATTCCATTGTACTTTGGCCTGATCTTTTTTCCAGTTAGAAGTCTATTATTAGTCTATCATTCATTGTTAGATGATCTGTTATTTTCGTTACTAATTATTAAAGACTTTTGTTTATGTTCTACAGTTTCACTATAAAGAATCTAAGTGGGGATTTAGTTGTGTTCTTCCTACTTGGTACTTGGAACACACTTTCAAACCAAGGACCTGTATCATTGCTTAATTCTGGCAAATTTTCAGCTACCACCTCTTCAGTTATTACTTCTTCCTTATTCCCTCTATTCTTCTGGAACTCTTATTAGATGTATTACGTGGTCTCTCAATTTATTCTCCATGTCTTTTAATTATTATTTAAAACTTTTCATATATTTTGTGCTGCTTTCTGAGTGAATTTTATAATACTGTAATTCAGTTCATTAATTTGTTCATCAACAGTGCTCATTTCTGGTCTATTAAATTTTTAAATCTGTATTTCTATTTCAAAATTTATAATCAATGTTTTGTCCTTTCTATATAGTTCTTATTTCTGCCTGTTTGCTTGCTTTTTTTTTGAGATGGAGTCTTGCTCTGTCACCCAGGCTAGAGTGCAATGGCTTCATCTCGGCTCACTGCAACCTCCACCTCCCGGGTTCAAGCAATTCTCCTGCCTCAGCCTCCTGAGTAGCTGGGATTACAGGTGTGCACCACCATGCCCAGCTAATTTTTGTATTTTTAGTACAGACGGGGTTTCACAATGTTGGTCAGGCTGGACTTGAACTCCTCACCTCATGATCTGCCCTCCTCAGCCTCCCAAAGTACTGGGATTACAGGCGTGAGCCACCACACCTGGTCGCTTGCTTTTTTAAATGGATTTTAGCATCCCAAGCATATTTATGTTTTAGTCTTTCTCAGAATAACCCCTAAAATATATTTCTAATAAAGCAAATTATATTTGAATAACTGATTTTTACTCTGGTCTTTCTTAGCATTTTAGCTTTCTTCAAATGACTTATAATGGTTTTAGTTTGTAAGATCATTTTGAAAGGGAGATTTGTTTCTCTCTTCCCTATTTAGTAGGTTTCTGATAGCGTCTACTTAGTTTCCCCCACCCTCATGCCAGTATTTCAGTCTAGAACCAAGTCTTAGGTTTGCGGTGGGGGATTCCTGCCCTATAATGACACTGAGGATGCTTCAGATACAGTCACTAGGCCAGGAGGCAGCTTGTTCCATTTCCTAGTTGTGGTGTTATGTTTCTGTCTTCTGCCTCCCTAGGCTTCCCTCCTGCTTTTTTTTTTTTTTTTTTTGAGACGAAGTCTAGCTCTGTCGCCCAGGCTGCAGTGCAGTGGCGCCATCTTGGTTCACTGCAAGCTCCGCCTCCAGGGTTCACGCCATTCTCCTGCCTCAGCCTCCCGCCCTCCTGCTTTTATAAAAGCTATAAGCTCACATACAAGTCAAGAAGAGTTTTCTTTTTCAGCTTCCTTTCATGACCAGGTAAATATTCCTGGCTTTAATACCCCATCTCATGTGGGATCCACTTGGTCCCTATTATTCTACAGGACTGAGCTCCTAGACATGACTACTGCCTCTGCACCAGAAGCCCAGAGCACCATGGTTTTAGCCCTATTTACTTTGTTTCTGGGTCATGGAGATTTTTATCTTGTTATTGAGTCCAGTTGTATTACTTTAGTTTCTTTTTTTAAATCATCATCTATTACTGCTATATTTTTTAGTAAAAGGAATGCTTCTGAATTTACCATTTCCAGTAAAAATTTAAACTGTATCATTTTACAGTAAAGTATCACATAAAAGGTGAAGGGATATTCCTCAAGTTGAATACTAGTGTGTGTACTTATTCTTTTCTTTATCTTTTATTTTATTTCTTAAAGACAGGGTCTGCGTATGTTGCCCAGGCTGATCTCGAACTGCCAGGCTCAAGCAATGCTCTCATCTCAGTCTCCCAAGTAGCTGAGACTACGGGCATGTGTGCCACCATGCCCAGCGTGTGTGTACCTATTTATTTATACTTTTCTTTATTCCATAAATAAGGATTTGTATACAGCATTTATAATAAATAGTAAAATTTAAATAAGATATTAAAATTGAGTTTAAGGAAAATATAAATTAGAATAGATTTATATTCTATTCTATAGAATATACATAAAATTTCCATATTCACATTGCAGATGATAAGGTCCCACATATTGGGCTGTATATTTGCCTCTGAGCTTCCATATAGCCAAAGTGAATAAACACAATTGATTCCTTAGTTCTCTTTCCACAAAGAAAACCCTTCTCAGTTCTTTGAGAGAAGTCAAGTTCTTCCAGCAACACATTCTAAAATAAATTTCTGCTGTGCGTATCATAGAGAGGACACTGACAGGTGAAGTAGATGATGCCTTCAAAAACATAGCTACAATATGAGTTAGCAAGGCTGACTTTTAGAGATTCTTCAATGAAACCCTAAGGCACAATGCCCACTTCGTTAGCACATGGCAGAGTTGAGATAAACTCAGGTATGAGTCATTGTCAAATGTTCTTTAAACCTCACAACACTCCCCCCTCTCTAGGGCTTTAAAGGATCTCCACAAACCAACCCTGTATTAGATCACTTTCGTCAGCCTGAGGCAAGAGGTGAATTCCCTTATTAGTCATTTGATTGTTTTTATTGTTGTTGCAAATGACAGGAACTGAACTCAAATTAACGAAAGCATAAGAAAATTAAAATTTTTAGTTTTGTTAACTCTAAAACCCAACTGAATAATTGTAGGCAAAGAGTATACTGGCTGTAGAGACAACTGACTGCAGGGAAGTGAACACTGTCACGATCTTTTCCCCATCTTGTCTCTGCTTCCATCTTTGTGTTGGATGACCAAAGAGAAAAGAGAGCGCTTCTCCAATGGATCAAGTTACACAATCCTTGGGAGGGTTTGGTTTGGATCACATGCCCATCACATTTATTAGGCACATACTGTGTACCAAGCTCTGTACTCAAGCTCTTATGTGAATTGTATCATTCAATCTTCATGATAACTCTAAGGGAGAGGTAGAAAGCAACTGACTGAAACTAATCTCTGCCATAGGTGGTTTTGACCTTGGCCTTTCAGTTCTTTGATTCCTCACCTGCAACGATCATACCCTCCATCTCACCAAGTCACACAATCCTATGGTCATACCCTAAGGATTGTTTTCAACAACTGCAGATTCCCAATTTCAAGTGTCCTACTCTCCAATCACCACTGCCAGTACCCTAACTCCAACATTCATTGATCTCATTGGGTTTGCCAATTCACTGATCCCACCATTTTTCACTGCCTATCAACCCTCTCTTTTTTCCACCCCCACCTGCACCATCATGTACTTAACTCTCTTCTCACCTGGCTTGAAACTATGGTTCATCTGTGTCCTAGTTTGCTTCCCTCAGAAGCTGACCTTGAGACAAAGATTTGAGTGCAAGTCATTTATTTAAGAAGTGATCCCAGGAAGCATTGGGAGGGGAGTGGGAAAGTCACATAGGGAAGAGAAGGAAGTGAATACAGGGAATTTATTAAGCAGGTATGTGGAACATCCGTAGAATTATTCCCCTCTCAAGAGCAAGGAAATTGTAGTGTCCCATCCATTGTTAGCTAAAGGTTATTCTCAGGGGCTTCCTAGCACTTCAGGCCTATTCTAACATAGACCAACAAGAAGCCCTTCCACAGAGAGCTGCAGGGGCTTGGTGTGAGAAGCCAAGAACACGTGCTGTTATGGGGAGTGCAGAGTGAGGGTAGGGAATTGAGGACCATTATAGCCACTCTGTGGGAGATGCCCTTGCTCATATTTCCAGCCATTGTACTCCCCTAGTAAAATCCCAACCCTGGTGAAACCCAACCACTACCTAATCCAAGCATCTGAATGCAGTTAGAGAAAAGCACACAAACATGCTGACTGATCTCACCTTAAGGAGTCCATCAACATCAAGTGAGTCTTTAGTCAATTCCCTCTCTGACCCTCTAAGACATCAATTTCAACTTTCTCATCTCTTGTCAAACCTGTAAAACTCCCTTTCTCCTTCTCATATTTGGTTCTTGCTCCTTATTTCACTGGGAAATAGATGATATCAAAAGAGAGCTTCCACATGTTTCCAACATCTAAACACCCGAACATCAGAACACTGATATCTACTCATATACTCTCTGCCTTCTCTTGAGTTACCGTAGATCAGTGTTTCTCAACCTTTTCTTTTCATTATTGCCCCTCAAAGTGTCTTTTTAGATACCTTTTTCCTAATTGCCTCATGCCATAAGATTATGCACTGCATGTGTATCTGTGCTTTGTACATAAAAAGAGTAGGAGCCAACTTTTGTCCTCATTGAGGATACGTGCAATAGGTGAACCATCCAAGTTGCTGTGTTAGGCTAAACCCTCCCAGTGCACTGGGTTCCATCTCCTTTCACCAACTCTAGAGCGCCATTCTCACTGTTATCTGTTCTCTTTCCTGTACTAACATTTCCCCCTTTCTACTGGTTTATTCCCTTCAATCTATAAAAATATTCTATGTTCCATTTGATTAAAATCTTCCCTTAACTGCATATCTCCCTTCACTGGTCTTTCCTATTTCTCTATATCCATTACCCTTTACCAAAGACTCAAAAGACCATGTGTAGGTGTGCTGGCCAGCAGCCAGCATCACCCACCAGACATGTGAGTGAAGATGCCTCCAGACAGCGCTAGCCCCAGCCCCAGGTCTCAGAAGGGCTTTTCGTCACTTTCCTTGGAACCAAAGAGTGGAGATGCAAGAAAGACCCCTGAAGGCTAGCTATAAGAGAATTCAAACCCATTTTCACTCAGCGGAACTGTGCGGTTGCCCATGTGACCACACTTGGTAAATATTTCCTGGTTTTCACCTCAATTGGAAATGTCCACTGTGGCTTGTTGATCTTGGGTTATTTTACCTCTATGGGGACTTCTATTACTTATGAGAAAAATATCTTCCTAATGGGGTTATTGGAAGATCAAATGAGATAAAGTGAGCTTTAAGAACCTGGCACAATGAGAGGAGACAATAAATGCTCCCCCAACCTCCTTGATGCCACCTCTTGTATTTCCAGTAGAATTGGAATTTCACTGAGAGAAGGAACCATACCTACCATTCCTTTACATTCTTCATAGCCCATAGGACACTACTTTGTTTGTAATGTTTAATAAATCTTTTTTAAAAAAAATACCCCTGAATTGGACCAGAGGATAAAAAATTTCCAAAGCAAAAATAATTAAGAGCCTTGTTAGTTGAAGGCCCCTTGGTGTAGGGCTGTTTAAAAAATTGAATTAATTATAATTGTGCCAATGAGGGACACTAATGTTGATACACTTTGAATTCTTTGGTGGTGCCTCTTCTTTTGAATAAGAAATTTATTAAATATGTATAATATATGAAATATTATTGGTTTCTTTATGCACCGATTATGTGATTTAACACTTAATGCCTTGAAGTGAGGAACCAAGCATTGTGAAACATTTTGTAGCCTCAGAGATTGGAGTAATCTCTTGTACATAGGAGGGTCACACATATATTTGTTAAATAATAAAAAGAAAATAATTTAAAACATTACTGTTATTACAAGTTGACACCAAATTTGAAGATTTTGATTAAAAGAGAAACACATTTACTTCTAACATGAACACTAAAAAGTAGTATTTCACAAATTCCTTTTCATTTTGTATATTTTTCAATAAGTTTTTGTGTTTGTTTTGTGTTGAGAGGGTCAAACATTCAGTGAATGTTTGATCCACTGATTTTTTTTAATCCTTCCCCTTCAAGCAGAGGAACTTTTCCTTAGCATGGCTTTCAAAGCCCTTAACAATGTGGCTCTTCTTTATTGGTTCAGCTTCATTTCCTTCCACAATTCCTCATGCCCCTCCCCTCTCTTTCCTTTCCTTTCTCCCTCCCTTTCATACAAACATGCTCCTCTCACATCTGGGCCCTTGCTCATGTGTTTGCCTTTGCTCTCTTGGCTCTTTTCCTGGCTAACTCCCAGCAGTACCACCCTGCCTACAGTGGCCTTCCCTGACCGCCAAGACTGGGTGAGTTGCATCTCCTACAACTGTCTCCTCGAACAGAACAGAAGATCCTAGAGGGCAAGGACTGTGTCCTAATTCTTGTCCTCACAGTACAGTGCACAGTCCCTAGCAGATAAGACTCTCCAAGAACATGGCTCCTTGGCATCTTTTTTTTTTTTTTTTTTTTTTTTTTGAAACAGTCTCACTCCATTGCCCAGGCTGGAGTGCAGTGGTGTGATCTTGGCTTACTGCAACCTCTGCCTCCTGGGTTCAAGTGATTCTCGTGTCTTAGACTCCCGAGTAGCTGGGATTAGAGTGGGCCACCATACCTGGCTAATTTTTGTATTTTTAGTAGAGACAAGGTTTCACTATGTTAGCCGGGCTGGTCTCAAACTCCTAACCTCAAGTGATTCTCCCACCTTAGCCTCCCAAAGTGCTGGGATTACAGGTGTGAGCCACCACACCCAGCCTTCCTTGGCATCTTTTAACAGGTCACAAAATGTCATTGGAGATACAGTTGTTTCATTAGTTCAGTGAAATATTTTCTATATTGATAATAATTACAATAACAGGAAGGCTGAATCTTTGCCAGGTAAACTTTAGGCCTTCAATAACCATTAATAATCAATAATAAAAAGCCTAGAAGAACCTTGTAAATTACTGGAGAGCCTACTGAGAGACAAGAGCATCAGAGGGGTGGAGGAATTTTTGAAACAAAGTTATGATTTAAAAAGTAGTAGAGAAATATATGTGAATGTTTACAGCAGCATTATTCATAAGAGACAAAAATGGAAACAAGCAAATGCCCAATATGGTATATCCATATCATAGAATATTATTCAGCTATAAGAAGAAATGAAATACTGATACATGCTATAACATAGCTGGACCTTGAAAACATGCTTAGTGAATGAAGCCAGGTCACAAAAAACCACATACTATATGATTCCATTTCTAGGAAACATTCAGAATAGGCAAATCTATAAAGACAAAAAAGTAGATTAGTAGTTGGCTAGGGTCAAGAGTAGGGGAGAGAAGAATGAGGAGTGAATGCTACCAGTATGGGGTTTATTTTTGAAGTGATGAAAATGTTCTAAAATTAGATTGTGGTGATGGTTGCACAGCTCTGTGTATACTAAAAGCCATTGAACTGTACAGTTTAACTGGTTGAATTTTATGGTATATGAGTTATATCTCAATAAAGTTAATTTTTTTTTTTTTTTTGAGACAGAGTCTCACTCTTGTCACCCAGGCTGGAGTGCCATGGTACGATCTTGGCTCATTGCAACCTCTGCCTCCCAAGTTCAAGTGATTCTCCTGCCTCAGCCTGCAGAGTAGCTGGGACTACAGGTGCTTTCCACCATGACTGGCCAATTTTTCTATTTTTAGTAGAGACAGGGTTTCATCATGTTGACCAGGCTGGCCTTGAACTCCAGACCTCAGGTGATCCACTCGCCTTGGCCTCCCAAAGTGCTGGAATTACAAGTGTGAGCCACCGCACCCAGCCAATAAAGCTGATTTTTAAAAGTAGTACGGAATATTTGTTGCAAAGTTAAATATCAAGAGGCTGTGAAAAAAGTAATTTTCTACATAATCTTTGCTGATATAGTTCTACTTTGTGCTTTTTGGTAAATGAAAAGCCAAATCTCTAAAATCTGGGCCTTGAAACCCTGTGCACACAGGCCAGAAAGCCCCCCACTCAGTGTTGACCAGCCAAGTGGGTGAGAAGTCGCAATTACAGGATGCTAAAGATGACAGCAAAGCTGGTGCTGTGTGATGAACTCAAGGAAGAGAGCTGTAAATGAGGTGAGTGAAATGATTATTCGAAGGACATAGCATAATTAAGGGAAACAGCAAAATTACGTTTACAGTGTAAAACGTAAACATATACCTGGAAACTGACAGCTTGTAGAAAACGCAACTGTTTTTGTTGTAGACATCTCTCTGGCTAGCCGTCATATTTGGAAAGCATTCATTTCTGGCATCAATATAGTCGGGTGTAGTAGGAAGGAATCTGGTCTAGGTCTTGGGACACCCAGGTTCCAGTTCTGGCTCTCTCATTTATTCGCCGTTCAACAAACAACTATTAAGGCTACTGTGTGCTAGGCACCGCAGCTAGCCCTGGTGACTCAAAGTTCAAAGACGCACTTGTTCCTACCTCGAGGATCGTACTGTTCAGAGAAAGACAATTCAAAATATAGTAAGTGCTGTGGCAAGGAGCAAGGTACATCTTCCATCTTGAGGCATGAAGAAAGAAGGAGTAGGTGTGAGGGAAAGCCTTGCCACAACTTGAAGTTGTATTGTTTCCTTGTTAACTCTTTTTTTAAATATAGTTTTTGTAGAGACAGGGTCCCACTATATTACCTAGGCTGTTCTTGAACTCCTGGCCTCCAGCGATCCTTCCAGGCCTCCCAAAGCTCTGGGATTACAGGCTTGACCAGCGGCCACTGGCAGCCACCTTGTTAACTCTGCTGTCCCACAAGCATATCAGCTCATTGAGGAAAAGGAGGCTTTTTTATTACATTCATTTTTTATAAACAGCTTTATTAAGACATCACTCACATAGCACACAATTCACTCATTTAAAGTATATGATTCAATGGTTTTTAGTATGTTCACAGAACTATACAATCATCACTGCAATCTAATTTTACAGCATTTTCATTACCACAGAAAGAAACCCTGTACCCATGAGCTGTCACTCCCCTTCCCACCCCATCTCCACTCCCAGACGTTGCCAAACACAAATCCACTTTCTATCTTTATAGATTTGCTTATTCTAGATGTTACATATAATGGAATCACACAGTATGTGACCTTTGTGACCGACTTCTTTCACTTAGCATAATGGTTCAAGATTCAGTATTCATCCATATGGCAGCATGTTTCAATACTTCATTAATTTCATGGCTGAATAATATTCCATTGTATAGATACGCCACTGTTTATCATTCATCAGTTGGTGGGCATTTGGGATGTTTCTACTTCATGGTCTTATGAATGCTATGAACATTTGTGTAAACGTTATTGGGTGGACATATGTTGCTATTTCCCTTGGGTATATACCTAGAAGTGGAATTGCTGGATCATGTGGTTACTCTGTCTAATCTTTAGAGGTGTTAATACTACCAGATTGCTTTTCAGAATGACTGCACCATTTTACATTCTTGCCAGCAATATATGAAGATTCCAATTTCTCTACATCCTTAGGAACACTGGTTATTTTCTGTCTTTTTGATCATAGCCCTCTTAGTGGGTATGAAGTGGTCACTTTATTCATTTTTGTATCCCTGGTGCCTCAAAGACAACATGGCACAGGTAGATGCACAATTTATTTGTTGAGCAATTTTGAGAACATGGTGGACATTTGTCATTTAGGGGCTCCCCAGAACCTGGCCCCCTTTATTTTGTTTAGATAATTATCTGAGGATTACTGGAGAGAAGCAGATCCCCACTATAATATAGAAGGCTACCAAAATGTTAGCTCCTTACTTTCTCAACCCTGCCTGCAAGCAGAGCATGCAACATAGGCTAAGCTTGGTTGACCTAATAGATCTGCCCCGGGCTTCAAAGACAGGGCTCTAGTAATGCAAAATACGGGTGGTGGAGAAACAATTCTGGTGGCAGTAACAGGCACTGCAGTGACATCTGATTGCCAGGAGCAACAGTGCTGATAGTGAGAGTGGTGGGTAGCGAATGGTGGGTAATGCCCAGTGACACTGACTTGGAAGTGAAGGCCATGGCATCCTGTGTGGAATGGTGGTGGCAGTGATGGTTGCCTTCCTCCCTCAGTATGTGGTCCTGTGTCTTGGCTGTCTTCCTGGCTGCTGCCTAGCCTTCCTTGTTTCTTCTGCTTATTGTCTGAGCCTGTTTCTGCAGGGGCCTTCCCAGCAATTGTGTCAGCCACCCAATATCCTTTCACCAAATTCTCTTTCTCCTTAAGTCAGCCAACATCAATTTCTTCTGTTGCTTGCAACTAAGAACCTGGCTGTTACAATAAACACTGAATGGCTGAGTGTGTGTGTGTGTGTGTGTGTGTGTGTGTGTGCGCACGTGTTTGTGTGTGTGTGTCTTTGTATGTATGAATAGAGAGGTCAATGAATGAATGAGGGTACTGAAACTCTATACAGAGCTTCGAAGGGTGAGCAGAGGTTGGTCAGGCACCATAGGGCAAGTGCTTTCTAGCAGAACAAAGAGCACAGCATAGGCACTGGGGAATGAGAGAACATGGTGATTATGGAAACTGTCAGGAGTTCAGTCTGGCTGGGGAAAAGGGAGCAAGATGGGGAGTGTTGAGATGTGACACTACGGAGACTGGCCTGGGATGGATCATTAAGGATCTTTTAGGTTATGCTAAAGAGTCTTGATTTTATCCTGGAAAAAAAAAACAGGAAGAAGGACACTATAAATCAAGGTAGTGATATCAGATTTACATTTAGAAAATATGCTATTAAAAAAATTCTGGCAGCAGGGAGGAGGATGAATTGGAAGGGAGCAAGAGTAGAGACAAGAAGACCAGCTGAGGAGCTAAAGCAATACTTCCAATGAAAGACAGTGAAGTCTGAACCGAGGCAGTGAGCTTGGAGAGGAGGCATTGGATCTGAGATATATTAAAAAGGTAGAACCAATGGAAATTTTGTCTTTGATATACAGGAATTAAGAAAGAAGGAAGACCATGGATGACTCCAAGGTTTCTGTTTAAGCAGATCCGACAGGTGGTGGTGTCATTTATGCAGGCATTTATTCAACAGAAGTTTAATTAGCACATAGTGTGGTAGCTGCTGTGTATAATGAAGTGGATAAAATAAACCTGGTTCTACCTTTGCTGTAGTAATGATTACCCTATGTCAGCCTTAATTTACATGTCTTCTCAGATTTTCTGAGCCTTACCATCTCTGGGACCCTTAACCTCTTCTTCTGTTTCAGCTGCTACCAGTAGAGACTTAGTTAAGTTCCTTGTGGTTTAACTGCCTGAAGCCAACCAGCCACATACCCACAGTTTCCTCCCACCGCTTCTGAACTCCAGGGCATGGGACCTGGCTTTCTGAGTGACTGTTAAAGAAAATGGATAACCCAACTGGGAAGTGAGAAAATTTTAACTCCCTGAGGGAAAAGCTATGACCAACAGGAGACAGGAGACACAAAGATAAAATTCCTTCCTTATTCACATTGTTTTATGGTGTGATTTCTTCATACTGCCTGTCTGGAGATGTCCTGTATGGTCAAGTGGCTGTACCTGCCCAAGAGACAGGCTGTATTTCTTTAAGGCTTTTCATGGAGTAGTGTTTAGCACAGCAATGCATTGCTGTACCTTGTTCCCCATTTTTTCTTATCTTTTTCCTCATACTGTTGCCCTGGGATTATACCTTCTAAAAAACGCATCAATACTTAATCCTTGCATCAGGGTTTGTTTTCTAGGGAACTGGGCTAAGACATACTCAGATAGGAAAACAGAAGGAGGTCATCAGTTCCATTTGGATATGCTAAGTTTGAGTGAACTTGAGTGAAAATTATTCATCCATTCAAAAATACTTATTGAGTGCCTCCATATATGCTTGAATTAGGGATACTATGGTGAACAAAACAGACATATTTCCTGCTCTTTTAGAGCTTACATTAAGTGTTAAGGGTTGACAAGTAATAATTCAGTACAGAATAAGTAGACGTGATGATTCTACAAAATGATAAAAGTTTTTAAAGAAAAAATTTTAAAGGTGATGTGGTAGAGTGTGACATGTGTATGTTGGGAGGGACGTGTGTATGTATGACCACCCTAGACAGGGTGGTCAAGGGAACAGAGAGTAAGTGGAGGAAAAAGCTTCTCCAGAGGGATAGGCAAGGCTTTTGAAGAAAGTGGCTGGAAGGGTCAGTCTGGAGACAGATACATCTGTCCATCACTGGGGGTTCAGGCGTGGGTAGGAAATTTGCCTCTATTTTCACCACGAAATAGTTGGTGAGGACATATGCATATAAAGTAATGGGAACTTGGAGTTTTGTAGAGCAGCAAAGGTTCAGAAGTGTTGTTTTGCAGCATGGGTGTGCATGCAGACCAGGAACAGGAAGAAGAGTCAGTGGGCAGTGCCAGAGCAGAAAAGGTGGATACTACCTGCACAATCCATGGCACTAAGTGGTCACAGGACTTTGGAGAAGTAAGCCTGGGCCTCAGTTTCCTCAACTGCAAAATAAGAGCACTGAATCAGGCTCCACGATTTTACAAAGGAAAAGAGGAGTTGATATGAAACTACTATATAGCTATGCAATTTTTCCTTGAAACTCACCAGTGAAGTCTTTAGGACCCAGTAGTAATTGGCTCTCCCCCACCATTAATTACATTCTGGCCACTTGTCAGCTAACACAATTGTCAGACTCCTTCAGCAAAATGTCTTTTTCATAGCAAGGACCATTTACAGTAAGGACAAACAATTGGGACTCATTAATTCAATAATTAGGACACTGCTTATGCATCTATTGTCTACTCTAGTCAGCTATGTTAAGTAAGCTCTTCAGTCTTCATCACAGCAATTATGCTAATAAGCTTGAAATTTTCCAAGAGTATTAAACCTTCATACACTTATCCTGCCTAGCAGCAGCCTGGCTCAGTCAATATTGTCACCCACAGACAATTATAATGAAAGCATAAGGCCCAATTGTTGGCATGTGACTACCAAATAATCTCCCCTCACAACAGAACTTCAAACAATTTGTATATTGTTCTTTCAGGGTTTAGACACTGGCCTTTGTTATTCTTTTCTCAAAATATGTACATCTCAGATATTTAAATGCCTTTATGGGAGAGCTCATTGCATTGGAATTGTATTGTAATTTTCCAAATAATATTTGAACAGTCACTGAGTTATCCAATGATCTATTCATCTAATCATTATTTATCCATTTAAGTGTAGAGATAAGAAATATAATAGTAAGATGCCTGGAGAATGATGAGAAATATAATTTGTTTTGCCATATATTTTTGTCTTTATCCGAGCCAACTTCTCTTTTAATCTCTTTCTCTCTTTAATTATAAAAAATCCTGTCTTATTTTTTTTGAGTGACTTTGGCCAAAGAGTGAGAATTTTCCACTATGATCAACCAATGCTTCTGTGGTAGGTGCATGACAGACACCTGATGAACACTTGTTACATTTGAAGTTTTTTTCTCATATATGCCTTATTCCTGTCTCCTGCATTTCCTATCAGATGTGAAATACTATTTCTTTTTAGCAAAAACTAACATGAATAAGGATTGTGTGTTGGGGGGGGCGCATATGTTCAAATCTGCAACATAAATTCATTTGGAACCTGAAATTTCATTGTATCAATATAAATATCTAGCTGGTGTTGGATTTCTTCCTTATTATTTACAATAAAAGTAAGCCCATGCATTTGTTCTTTAAAATTTTTACTTATCTCATTTAATCAGGGTCCTCTCAGTTGCAAATAACTGGATCTTTCCTTAAGATGTAGTAATGCTCACTGCAATTTAATCCCACTAGGATGAGCAAATGATGTTGAAAAGAGACCCAACAGTTGTATGGAGGGCCACTATAAACCGGAAGAATGGGCGCAAAGCTGTGTAGAATGTTTGCAGATCTGTGACATGTTTTTCTTTTATACAAATGCTGTATTTCATCTTTCTTCAATTACTTAGTATTTTGGTAAGGGTAGGGGAAGACAAGTGAAAATAAGTTGTCCTTGTCCTTCAGGAACTTACAATCTAGATGGGGAGACAATATATATACACAGGAGAAGCTGGAAAAAAAAACTGCTCAAGACTAAATGAATGGTATGTATATCATCGTAAGTATAAGAGAGAAAATTCATATGTGAATGGTATAGCTTTGGGCTGGGGAAGCCAGAAAGGGCTTTAAAGATTTACCAGAAGGGGAGAATATGAGTTGTTTTTTGAAAGATCATGACTGTGTGTGTGTGGTGTGTGTGTGTGTGTGTCTTTGTATGTATGGATAGAGAGTTCAATGAATAAATGAGGGTACTGAAGCTCTATACAGAGCTTCCAAGGATGAGCAGAGGTTGGTCAGGCACCATAGGGCAAGTGCTTTCTAGCAGAACAAAGAGCACAGCATAGGCACTGGGGAACGAGAGAACATGGTGATTAGGGAAACTGTCAGGAGTTCATTCTGGCTGGGGAAAAGGGAGCAAGGTGGGGAGTGTTGAGATGTGACACTACAGAGACTGGCCTGGGATGGATCATTAAGGATCTTTTAGGTTATGCTAAACAGTCTTGATTTTACCCTGGGGAAAAAAAAACTGGAAGAAGGAAACTATCAATCAAGGTAGTGATATCAGATTTACATTTAGAAAATATGCTATTAAAAAAAATTCTGGCAGCAGGAAGGAGGATGAATTGGAAGGCAGCAAGAGTGGAGGCAAGAAGACCAGCTGAGGAGCTAAAGCAGTACTTCCAATGAAAGACAATGAAGTCTGAACCAAGGCAGTGAGCTTTTTCAAAAAAATCAAACTACAGAAGAAATAATGATGAAATTTAAATTTTCCACTTATGACCCTCAGGCTCTTTCCAGAAGCAACCACCATTATCATTTTTCTTTCGTGTCTTTCCAGTGCACTTAACTACTTTTGAATTGGATTCTGAATTGATTTGGATGTAATTGATTTTGCAGTGTCATGTTTAATGAAGGGTTAAACTTGGTCTCTATCCATATAAAAATAAGACTCATTCAATCTAATTTATACAATAGGGACCTACTGATAGATCTTGAGGTACCCTAGTGGATTTCCAAGCTGTTTGTTGCCATAGCAATCCCTGCTCTATGTGCCTTCAGTTTCTGTCTTGACCCACTTTGGTTTAGATGCATTTCTAGCAGAGGGGACAGTAGGCATGCTCCCATTTCTAAGCCCCTTGGGGACTGCATTGGTAGCCAGATTGTCCCTTCTCCCTCTTCCTCAATTGTAGATCCTGGAAGGCTTCCTAAATGGAAGAGTTATGGACCCAAAGTCTGAGACTTTGGAGAAATGGTCTAACTTAGACCTCAGGCGTACTACCCACTTAATTAATGTAACCTCAAAGTACCTAACTTCCATACTAGGAGCACATTCTGGAATCCCAGCCAGGCCTGCTTTGGTTCCTATTTCTACTACTCAGGTGGACACCCAAATCCACACCCTGTTCACACAGGAGAAAATACTTGTGTGACCAGGGTAGCTTTTAATATGCTACTTCATATTACAACTGTTGACTTGTATTAGCAGGAAGACAGACCAAAAACAAGAAACAGCCTTCCTACTTGTAAGTTGAACAGCCTTTGCCCTGGACCGTCCTCCCTAGTGGCTCTGGAAAGAGGAAACAAGGCAGAGGAGGTGGGACAGCTCCACCAAATGGCTTCCTGGGTGTCCTTCACAAACTTTTTTATTTTTATTAAGGGGTTAGTAGAGCTGCCTCTAAACTAACAATGGAAGAAACCACCCTGGAAGGGAATTTTTGGAGGAAGAATTTCTGCTGAGTAGGTTCGTCTCAGCATAAATGTTCGCACGCAACAGAAGAGAAGTTAATGATCACTGACTTTCCTTGAACTTCAAAGCCCTATGTTATTTACTTTCATATTTATTATTTAATCATCACACAACTATATTTAAGTAGGTATCGTTGCAGGTGAGTTCCATTTGCCAAAGATTACAGATCTGGAACAGAGTCGTACTCAAAGCTACAACGTGCCTGACTCCTGGGTTTATGCTCTTCATCGCAACCTTCCCGTGAGAAAAGTTCCTCTATGTGTGAGGACAGAGACGGTGGAAAGGACAGAGATTTTGAAAGGACATCTGGAAAACTTGTATGACTCAGGGGATGGCCACATCTCTCTTAAGGTCCATCTGAAGGCACCCTCCTCTGGGACACGTTCATTTCTCAGAAGAAAGCGTATACTTCAAAAACTCTTACTGTTTGGAGTGCTCATTTGGTACTTCCTGATTACCGATTTGTATTGCTAGTGCTTCTTTCCCGCTTATTTGAAGTCCCCAATTAAATCTATAAACTAAGCCACACATGAGAATGAATTACTGGACAGGCAGCCAAAAAAAAACTGTGTTCTAGTCTTGTCTCTGGCACCTGTGTGAAACCTAAGTTTCTTTTCAACTTTAGTTCTACGGTACTCCCTGCCTGTGTCACAGTGGGTGCATAGTAAACACCTGATGTGATTAGTTGGGCTCAATATTTTGTCAGCAGAGGCTTGGGTGTTCCTAAGGGTAACCGCAACAAGGTTTTCCCTGGGTGCAGTTATGTTCTGGGCAGCCGTAAGTTTAGGGCCTTGCTGCCTCCTGTAGGGCAGATGTGCAAGTTGGGGCCTAATCGTCGCAACAGTGGAGAAAAGGGGAAGGGAAGATATCCCAGCCATTAAGGGACATCGTGACAGATGTTTCTTTTAGACTTCACAAAGACCCTTCGGGACATGGATTATTGATATCATTTTTACTGAAGACGGAACCAAAATTTAGGTTAAACACTTATACCTGGCATCCCCTACCCGGGCCCTAAGTGCTCTCCAAAGACCCCACCTCTGGGCTTATTTACATCGCGAACCCGCCCTCGTTCAGCAACACGAGGGCCCCGCCCGCTCATTTGCATAGGGCGCGCCCAGTCACGGGCCGGGTCCTCGGGCTTCTCCCGAACCCCTTTTCTCTCTCAGGCGCGTCCTCCGCGCTGCGCGGGGCCTCCCCGTGGGATGAGCACGTGTCCGCTGCCGGCCTCACGACGGACGGTGGACGAGGCGGCAGGCCCCTACAGGCCCCACCCACGACGCTGGCGAGGGATCGGGCGGTCACCGGGAATCGTCTTAATGCGCGGCAAGGCGCGGGCCTCTCCCTCTCCGCCCGTGAGCCCCGGTGGGAGCGCGCCGGCGCCCAACTCAAGCGAAACCGCGGGCGTCCCGCCCCGCCCGGCCGCGCCCCGCCTCGCCTCACGCTAGACTGGGGAGGCGGGACCAATCAGCGAGCGACGTCTCCCTTCCGATTCGAGGCCCCCGATGCGCGGCTCACACCCCGAGCTTCCCTCGTGCTGATTGGCTGCGGGCGCCGCCGGTCCGGCCGGGAGGCGGGGCGGGCCGTAGGCAAAGGGAGGTGGGGAGGCGGTGGCCGGCGACTCCCCGCGCCCCGCTCGCCCCCCGGCCCTTCCCGCGGTGCTCGGCCTCGTTCCTTTCCTCCTCCGCTCCCTCCGTCTTCCATACCCGCCCCGCGCGGCTTTCGGCCGGCGTGCCTCGCGCCCTAACGGGCGGCTGGAGGCGCCAATCAGCGGGCGGCAGGGTGCCAGCCCCGGGGCTGCGCCGGCGAATCGGCGGGGCCCGCGGCCCAGGGTGGCAGGCGGGTCTACCCGCGCGGCCGCGGCGGCGGAGAAGCAGCTCGCCAGCCAGCAGCCCGCCAGCCGCCGGGAGGTGGGTGCGTGGCGCCGCGGCGGCCGGCGGCCGAGGGCGGAGGGCGGAAGCGGAGGTGGGCTGGCGGGGGAGGGCGCGGCCGTGCGGGCGGCCGGTAGGGCTGCGGGCGCGCGCCTGAGGGGAGGAGGGGCAGCGCGGGCGCGCGCGTCCTCACCCCCTCCTTCCCCGCGGGCGGCGGCCAGGCTCCCTCCCCTCCCCTTCCCTCTCCTCCCCTCCCCTCCCCTCTCTTCCCCTACCCTCCCGCGCGCCCGGGCCGCCGGCCGGGCCCGGGCCTGGGGGCGGGGCGGGAAGACGGCGGCCGGGAGTGTTTTCAGTTCCGCCTCCAATCGCCCATTCCCCTCTTCCCCTCCCAGCCCCCTCCATCCCATCGGAAGAGGAAGGAACAAAAGGTCCCGGACCCCCCGGATCTGACGGGGCGGGACCTGGCGCCACCTTGCAGGTAAAGCCTGGGCGCCCGCGGGCCTCCAGCTAGGGAAGTGTTTGCGTGCGTCCGCGGCCGGGGCGATGGGCCGTGTCACATGGCCGCTGCGGGTGGGGGCTGGGGTGTGGTGAGTTCGGGGGCTGTGGGTGCGCCGGCCCGGGCGTGCGGGTTCGGGGCCGGAGAGCCGGGAAGGGACGGGGCTCGGTTGCACTGCGCTGCCGCCCAGGCTGACGGGGGCGGGGGCTGCCTGCGTCCCTTCCCCTCGCTGCTCTCACACTCCATAGTTTGTGGTTCTGATTTTTAAAGCCGAAGGGCCAGAGCTCTTGTTTCAGGAGTTGTGGGGAAGCCTTGTTAGGGACGCGTAATACTTTGCCTCCACTTTTTTTTTTTGGTCTCGTAACCTTTGTTAACAGTGGTAGTCTCGGGTTTTCCATGGCTTGTGTGTACTCACAAACACGCACACAGCTGATAACTCTGTGATCATCCTTCACTCACTTGTGAAAGTTGTTCTGCGGGTGGAGCCTATTAGTTTTTATCACACGCCTTTGGAAAGCCCTCGAAGTGATTTCTCGTATTTCAAACTTGGTTTTTAAAATTGCAACTTACTTTGTTCTCTTGGAGGGGGATATTGTCTTTGGGTCAGGTACTTTTGTCTTTTACTTATCCTTAAAATGTCCTTTTGATCCTAAACAGAAAAAGAATGCCTGGGTTGGTTTTGTTATTCCTTTCTCTTGACCCTTTAAAAGCAAAATACCACCAGTGTGTTGTCAACCATACCTTTAAAAAAGAAATTTCCAGGTAAAACGAATTTGCAAGCAGCATTTTCCATCAAAGTCATGTCTTGTTTGTTGCAATTTGGACTATCTTAAATTTGGGTTTGTGAAACTTTTAAAACGACATGTGTAAAATAATTGTTAATAAATAAATAACTTGGAATAATTACATCTTTTTAGAAATGGTCTTTGAAATGTGATTTAATTTCCAAAATTCTTTTTCTCTCTTCTGACTTCATATGAATTGAACCTGATAGTTTCGTATGAATGAATCGCTGATAGGATGTTTTCCTTGAGCCTAGTAATAAATTTGCTCTTATTATGCTGAAAATTTGCTATTCTACTTTAACACCCTTTAAAAAGTTTCCATCTTACAGAGAAGTTAGTCAAATAGTTAAATGGAGTTTCAACAGTTTTAATACATGAATTAGTGAAGCAGATGAAGCAGAGATGGGAGAAGTAATTTAAAATGGGCTTCATAAATGTACCATAGTTTGAGGGTATTTAAAAAATTTGCCTTCGGAAAACCCATACAAGATATTTAAAGAATTTCCTCTGCCAGAAGGTCATTTAGCAAACGTTTATATTAAATTCAAAAGTAATACTTTTATTTTTAAAGTTCCTTAGCCGTTGCCGTAAACTTAGCTGTCGTAGTAAATATAAATAGTTCACATCTTTCGGCATTTCTAAAGAGTGTGCCCACTTTTACTATAAATATTAAACTCTGCTGGATTTAATTGAGTTCAAGGCTGTTCACTGGCCAGGTTTAATTAATGTAATGTGATTGGAAACGTTCATTTTGGGGTTTTAGTAAGAAATTGCTCTTAGAGCTTGGTTTTTATACTTAGCCACACCTTCTAAAGTGCGGCCACAAGCATTGTAGGTGTTCAACAAAAGTTTGGGTTTTCAAGGTTGTAACCTACGTTTACTTAGTCATAAGTGGTCATGTCTCTACACAGTCTGTAAGTTTCATGAAATAATAGTCTTTTAAGAAACTGTGCAGGGTAATTTCCTGTTGTTTGTGTCTTATCAGGCTTGGTATGTGTTTTAACTCTTGTGTAGGAATATTGGGGATGGTTTTGGTATTTCAACAGAACTTTAGTAGGAACAAAGGTTGTTTCTATTCTACTTCAAGATGGCCAGAGGTTGTTGTCCCCTTTTCATTTTCACATTGTAAATATTAGAATCATGTTGCTATAATCTTTACTTCACATTTGGGGGAATATATGTCAATGGAAAAACTCGGTTTAGCTGTGTAAACCGCTGGCCAAAGACCTATTGAATTTTTACATTTTGCAAATACTGTCAGTTTTAAAAGTCTTTCCTTGTTCTTGTTTGGTTTTGATTCTGTTGGTTTTGTGCTTTAGGGCTCCAAAAACCTCGTTTTGTAGCAGCTTTTTTATACAGGTGTTTTTGTAATGCATATAAAAGCTGTATTTAGTGCAGTCTGGCAGATGGAGATTTATTCATATTCTTAGGACAAAGAGTCATTTTTAGAGGGTAGAGGGGGGCATGTCTTTTAGATTCTTAGTCTTTTGATGGGTGTAGAAGAGCCATTTTTAGGCCCTTAGTTTCTGTGAGAGGTAAGATGTTTTCCCCTAAGTATTCCAAAGGTATGTCAGAAAATGTGAAACGTAAGGAATTCACAACCAGTTAAGAGAGGTTATGAGAGATTATGCATTTATATATTTTATTTTATTTTATTTTGAGACGGAGTTCACTCTTGTTGCCCAGGCTGGAGTGCAATGGCACGATCTCGGCTCACCGCAACCTCCGCCTCCTGGGTTCAAGCGCTTCTCCTGCCTCAGCCTCCTGAGTAGCTGGGATTACAGGCATGCGCCACCATGCCTGGCTGATTTTGTATTTTTAGTAGAGACGGGGTTTCACCATGTTGGTCAGGCTGGTCTCGAACTCCCGACCTCAGGTGATCCGCCCACCTCGGCCTCCCAAAGTGCTGGGATTACAGGCGTGAGTCACCGCGCCTGGCCGATGCATTTATTTTCAACAAATACATTTATTCATTTATTCAACAAACAGCTTTTTCTGTGTGTCAGGCTCTGGACTAGGCAATAAAGTCTCTTAACAGCAAACAAGTACACCCCTGTTCCTTAATGGAGTTAGAAAAGTGGAAACTCATGTCCCTTGCCCTATTCTCCAGTGTTTAGAGTAAGACAGTTGTTAGTGTACAAATCAAGGGCACATGCATTACTGAGCCATTCCTAAAGTGAGCTTGCCTTGCTTCCTGTAACATGTAGCAGATAGCACTAGGGAAGATGTGAAGTGTTACTCAGTGTCACTGGGAACAATCTGTGTATTTTGGGGGGACCTTGGCACCAGTTTTGCACAGTCTATACAAACTGAAGATACGGCCAGTCTTTCAGAAACATGTTTATTGCTGAACAGATGTACACTTGTAGAGCTAAGCTTCATCTGACCTTAATTTGATCACTTATTGCCCTTTAATTACAGAAGCTGGTTAAGGAAAGAAAGCAGAGTTGAATAACTCAGTGAAAGGATCGGGAATAGTGTAAAAAGTTAGTTAAACCGAGACCCAGGATTGGACAGCAGTCTCATGTAGTGGAAAGGCCTTGGGTTTTGGAATCAGAGAGCCCTAGCCTAATATTTTGTTTCTCAGTTACAATACTGGGCAATTTACTACCAACCCCAGGCCCTTGGTTTTCTGACACAAAATGGAAGTACTAACCCCTTCCTCTTATTCAGTGATCACAATTCAAGTACCTAGAACATTGCCTGAGATATAAGGGTCCTCCCAAATGATTTCTTCCTCTCTTGTAGTTGTGGGTTTGTTACTTGGGCTCTTTCTAATCCAAATGATTTGCCTACACTGTTATTATGGACCTATTGTAAAATGTATTTGAGAAGCAGACAATGAACAACAAAGGCCTGGGATAGCCAAATTGTCCCAGTCCATAGCTTAAAGCTTAGGAGAGCCTTGGAGACCCTTAATAAGAATGTGTTGGCATTTATTTAAAGTGTTTCTAACAAGCAAAGTTATCTGGCTTCTAAACCTGCACTAGATTAGAAACAAGTAGATTATGGGTACTGTGGGAGGCTTAGAGGGGGTGTGGTGGGGGCTGGGGAGTAGGATGTTAGCCTAGTGTCTCTTGTCAGAAAAAACAGATAACAGCTCGGTGAGGATAATAGAGATAATCTACAAGACACAAAAATAGTCAAAGCCTGACTAGCATGTCTGGGGCCATTGAGTGCAGGACCAGACCTGAAAGCATAGTAATGAATGTTCATCAATTAGCCTAAATCATGTTTGGGAAAATCTTTTTAAGAGTGCAATAATCTACGTAATATACTTTAGATTGTCACTCAGGATGATTAAGAAATGTTCTTAAAGGGGTTGAAGATTGTGCTATAGCTTATGGCTTATTTCATGAAAGATCACAGTAGCTGTTATGACCAAGATGTTTTTCATTTGTTTTGCCATTCAGACAGCCATTCAGATTCCAAGCTGAAAGGGTAGCCAGCAGTAAAGAAAGGCTGTTTCAGTGTGGTAGCACCCTATGTCACCCCTTTCTTTGGTGTAAGTAATTTTTTTGTCAGTCTGCAGGAGTATCATATAAATTTTCACTTGTGCTTTGACAGTAGTGTATGCTTTTCACTGTGTTTTGAGATAGAGTATGCTCGAGATTTCTAGGATAAAGCAAGAGTGGATAGTTGGCCAGTCTCTCTGTTGAGGGTTTCTTGACTCTTGTCATGTGACTTCTGCCCAGTATTAGCACTGATAATTTTTTTGATCCCCTTTCTTGTAACCTTACCTCAGGGTTACTTCTTAAACCATCTACACCATCAGATAATTATTGGTGACCTTGTAATATGTAGCCTTGGCTGTTTTTAAGAATCAGGTTTTTTTTTAGCAGTAGTACAAAAGTACTAGCCTTTTTGGTTTAAAAATGCATAGTTAGAGGCTTATTGCTTGTCATTGATCAATTTTGATCATTTTTTCAGGTTGGTGTAATTGTGATGTATTCAGTTAGGACATAATTCAATGTTGATTCTAGATTTACATCTCAAAGATAGCTCGCAGCTTCAGTTCAGCAATTTCATGTAGGGAGAATATAATTTTTCCAAGCCAGGTGGATTTAGACACTGCCTTTAGTTTGGTCAGATAGCCAGAAATATTAGGGCAATTCTGTGTCTTCTGTGCTTGCCTCACATTGTACAGTGTGAGTGGTTCTCCTTGGCTCAGTGGGTTCCTCTTATTTGTAACTGAGGCACATTGATAGGACAGGTGCTTGATGTATCTTTAGGTTTGTAGTCTTAAGAAAATAGAAATTCTGACGTGATTAATTCTTATCAAAGTTTGTGAATTTACTGTGAAATTGTCACTAATTATCCTAGGTAGCCCTGTCATTTTTCAAAATCTGGTTTTACATTGGCCTCAAGGCTGTAGAGTAGTGGAAAGCGAGGATAGACTTTAGTTGCTTCTGTTTAGTACACGTGTCTACCTTAATGTAAAAATTTGCATTTCCTTGAATAATCTACAGTGTCATACCTTCCCTCATTTTGTGGGGAAGGGGGATGTAGTTTCACATTTAATGTATTCAGTAGGAATAATCTTGGGTGAACCACTGGTATTCCATCTGTTCATTAGTTTGAGTCTCTTAAGTCAAAAAAGACTCTTGATCTGAGGAAGTAGCATAGTGAATCTGTGATCTTATAGTTTGCCTATGTTTAAAAGTAAACTACATTTTCATATGCTGCTTCAGCTACTTCCAGAAATTCTGTAGAGACATAATGGTTAAGGTCTTGTAAATATCAAGGAAACGTTCCATCCTCATCACGTCTTTCATTTCAGAATGTGAGGTGGTGAGGCCGGAGGCAGTGGCTCACGCCTGTAATCCCAGCACTTTGGGAGGCTGAGGCGGGCGGATCACTTTGAGGTCAGGAGTTTGAGACCAGCCTGGCCAACATGGTGAAACCTTGTCTCTACTAAAAATGCAAAAATTAGCTGGGTGTGGTGGCGGGTACCTGTAGTCCCAGCTGCTCAAGAGGCTGAGGTAGGAGACTTGCTTGAACCGGGGAGGCCGAGGTTGCAGTTAGCCGAGATCCCGCGACTGCTCTCCAGCCTGGGAGACAGAGCAAGACTCCGTCTCAAAAAAAAAAAAGAAAAAAAAGAAAATGTGGGGTGGCAAATCTTTTTTGCAGAGCCTCCTATATAAAATCCTCATAAATGATGCAGTGGAAGCTGGGCCCGTGAGCCTTCTGCCTTGACTTGAGTGAACTATTGAAACTCTTTTGTTGACTAGAGATACTTTATCTGTGGTAGTAAATGTAAATTTTCCTTATTGAGATCCACTTTTAAAATTCTTTTTTTTTTTTTTTTTGAGACGGAGTTTTGCTCCTGTTGCCCAGGCTGGAGTGCAGTGGTGCGATCTTGGCTCACTGCAACCTCCGCCTCCTAGGTTCAAGCAGTTCTCCTGCCTCAGCCTCCTGAGTAGCTAGGATTACAGGCATGCGCCACCATGTCCGGCTAATTTTGTATTTTTAATAGAAACGGGGTTTCACCATGTTGGTCAGGCTGGTCTCGAACTCCTGACCTCAGGTGATTCGCCCACCTTGGCCTCCCAAAGTGTTGGGATTACATGCGTGAGCCACTGCGCCCGGCCTAAAATTCTTAATAGACAGGTAGTTAGGTTGTAGTTCATGTTAGCTGATCAATTAAACTTTTTTTTAAAAAATGTTTTAGTTATCAGGAGGGTCCAGCTTTGGCCTGAGGTTGTGCATTGGCCATTTCTGCTCGAAACCAGTAGTAGTCAGACTTAAAACATGTGCACACCTGCACACACAGCAGCAACTAGAAAGCCTTTAGAGAGAAATATGCAGAATTTCGAAATGTAAAACAGATAAAAGGAGTAAAGCTGTTTTGTGGAAGGAAGAATAGGCAGTTGTTGAAGTCCTGCCTGATCAGTTTTCCTCTCATCCTCACCACCAGGAAGCCTTTGAAGCACAGCTGAAGAACAGTAGGTCTTGGAGAAATTTTTGCTGTAGACCTGCTCTATCTTAACAGGTAGCTGCCAGCCACATGTGGCTATTTAGCACTTGAAATGTGGCTGCTGTGACTGAGAAACTGAATGTTAAATTTTACTTAATCTAAATTTAGATAGCCATATGCAGCTGATGGCTACTGTATTAGACAGCACAGATACCCAAGGACATTTACATCATTGTATAAAGTTGTGTTGGGTGGCACTACTCTAGACTTTGCTTTAATTGAGCTTTTATGGCCTGAGGACCCCACTCACGTGAATTGACGTGGTATTAGTTGCTGCTTCAGAAGAGGGTCAGGATAGACTTTGGGAATTTGAAGAGCAATTAGAGTACTTGTACTTTATATTTGTGCTGATTTGAGTCTGGGCCTGTGTAGTGTTGTCATAGGTGCTTTTTTTTTTTTTTTAATAATCTGGGAATGATAAACCAATATGTAAGTTACGTGTTTACAAGTTGATTATAGAGTTGTGGATTCCACAAAACTCATTATAGGTGATAGGAATATAACTCTTAGTTAAAAAAAAAAAAATAAGTAGTCTCTTTACACAGCAGTCCCTATTTAATGTGGACTTTTGCTAAAATAATAATTTTCTTGAATTAAATTCAAGCTTGCATTAGGTTTGACAGTCCATAAAGTTGAACACATGAATGTTTTCTGTTTGCTTTTGTTTAAAAGACATGACCCATCATTCTCCATGGGGGCCGACCTAGGTTTCCAGTTGGCAGTGTCTTTCCTTACTAGCTTACGCTTTGGAGAGAACATAGTTGTAGTGAGAATTGAAAAATCTGTTTTTAAAAAATTGGGTTTTATGTATTTTAATTTTTTTGAGGTTTTCTATTATCCTGGTTACTAATGAATTATTTATTTGACTAAAACAGTTATACAATTCCAGGTCATTGATGCTGCTGTTTTTTTCTCTGCCTTGTAGTATGTTTGAACATAGATTGCTAAAAATCTCGGTCTCCACAGAGGATTGGTTCCGGGACTCTCCTGCAAGCACCAGAATATGAGAACGCTGAAGTCCCTTGTATAAAATGGTGTAGAATTTGTTTTATGCACATTTTATTGTTATTCTTTAAATCCTCTCTAGATTACTTAATATCTAATACAATGTAAATAGTTGTTATTCTATATTGTTTTAGAAATGATGAGAAAAAAGTCTGTACATGTTCAGTACAGTCACAGTTTTTTCCTGAATATTTTTTATCCATGGTTGGTTTAATCCATGTATTTGGAACCCACAGATAAGGAGGATTGACTGCACAGTGATTTTATATTATTTCTAGTGGGACCTTAGATGTTCTAGATGAGGCAGCACCATCATATTTAAAGTATTTTTGTTGAAATAATTAACTTTGGTTTTCTTTCTAAATAAAAATTCACATAGGTATTTGGGGAATATTTTGTATTTTCCTGCAGTTTGAAGATTTGAAATTTCTCTTCCCTCCATACCTTTTAAAAGTGCAATCTACTTTTGCTTTCTACATTTAATCACTATCTGTTCTTGACTTCAACTTTGCAAACATATTTTTTAACCATTCTTTTTCACATTTCCCTTCCTACTGGCCTTCCGGATGAACTGTCAAGTTTAGCAGTCTTTTCTCAGTGATCATACTTTCTTCAGTGTTTGCTGTTATTGTTTATACTGTCTTTATCTAAATTTCTTAAAATG